>NC_000002.12:54129746-54432776 GCF_000001405.40 Homo sapiens
TCCAGAACTTTGAATGCAGTAAATTGAGCATCATCACTTTGAAAGTAAACTTAAAGTCTAATAAATATGATTATATGTATATTCACAATATACATTAACAATAAATATAATATATAATCAATATGTTAATATTATTAATGATATTATATTATAAATGTATAATACATATATAATAAAGATATATAAAAATTTATATGATAAATTATTATAGGATAGTTAAATATTTCACATAAATATTTATCAGCTGGTTTTTAAAAATTCATTTATTCAACAACCATGTGCCAAGCTCTGGTCTAGGTGTTGGGGACACAGTGGTAAGTAAACAAGACAGAAAAATTCCTGTTCTTATGGAACTGACAATCTACTATAAAGATAGGAAATCAAAAAGTAAACAATGTATGTGCAAGAAACATGGGGTGCATTGCTGTTTTAGATAAATTTGTTGGGGAATATTTCTTTAAGGAGGTGACATTTGTATGGAGGGATAAATAATGGGAAGGAGCCAGTAATGAGAATATCAGGGGGAAGAGGATTCAGGCAGAAGGAATAGTCAGTACAAAGGCTAGGGGGCTTGGCATCTTTAAGGGGCCAAAGGAGGCATATCTGGCTGGAATGGGGTGAGTAAAGAGGAGAGAAGTAGGATATGAGGTAGAGGAATTAGGGGGCTGTGGCAACCAGAATACATTTCATTTCCAGTGTAGTGGGAGCCCCTGTGGGCTTTTAAGCTGGGGAAGGAAATGCTTTGATTTTTAGTTAAGAAAAGGAAACCATGTTGGGTGCTTTATGGAGAATACACTGTAAGGGGGGCAGAATTGGAAGCAGGGAGGCTAGTTAAGGAGGTTCTTGTAGTAGATGAGTTGAAAGATTATGGTAACTTTAAGTATATAAACATTATCACCCATTCTTCTAGACACAGTTGGAACAGAATTAAACTATTTTTCAGTAAATCTTCAGTAACGACTGGGGCCTAGAAATAATTTAGAAAATGAGTACAATGCATGGGTTTGAATATTTAACTATGCGTGGTATCCAGATATGCCCTGATCTCAAACCTCGGGCCTTTGAGCATGCTCTCCTATCTGTAATGTTCTACTCTCATCATACTAATTTTTGCTCATCATTGAAGTCTCAGCTCTAAGACCTGTTTTTCAACAAGCCAGCCCTAAAATCACCCAAGAGTGATTGTCTGTCATGTAGCTGTCTTATGAACTCTAATTTATATCTAGGCTTATGGATTTTACAGCTCCAAATTGTCCATTATTTTAATTGCCATATTTAATTGCCAGTTTACTTGTCCATCTTTCCCACTAGATTGTAAACTCTTAGATGCAGGGACTGTGTCTTACTCATCTCATTCTTTGCACTTAAAATTAGACAATTGAAAAATGTTTGTTAAGTCAATAATCAATGTTTAACTGTGTGCCTATTAGATTTACCTGAGTTACCTCATTCTTAGATTATGTTAGTGTGAATAAAATATTACATCAATAGATTGGAGCAGGTAATTTCCTTAACACTGCAACACATAGTGGAATATCTGTGTTTGATTCCACTTTAAAAATTTTCTCAAACCCCATCACCATAGGCTAATGGTCTTTGTCATCATCAATGAATAGATGGTGGAAGGGCTGCTCGAGATTCGTAAATGTTGAAAGGACGTTGCTCTTCACTGAGGGGCATGTTGTCAGTTTCCCTCTTTGGGCAGCTCCAGTATTTCTACTAGTAAGTGGTACAGATGGAGGGAGAAATCTACGTGACAGGCTGCCTAGGCTGTGCCAATGTCAGGTCCCTTTAGGGTGCAGGAGGGGAGAGTTGCCTTTTTATCATGCATGGTTTTTTCCATGTAATTCGTCTGACTTGTGAAAAAAAGGTGAGGCAACAATGACATGCAAATACATGAGTTATTACCAACACCAACTTGAACAGTGTGATGGAGCGTGCATCAGATCTGTGGTACCCTACGAGATTTTAATTTTCTCCTTTTGATGCAATTCTTACCTGAAATATAAACTCTTTTCAAATCTCTCCCAGACCTTTCTTTAAGGGGGAGTCAGCCATTGCTTCTAAACTTTAGTGGGCATAAGAATTGCCTGGAAAGCATGTGAAAACAGATTACTGGGCTCCACCTGTAGCATTTCTGTTCCTTGGAGGAGGGGCCCAAGAATTTTATTTTCTGAAAAAAACTCTCAGGTGCTGCTGTTTCATGGACTACTCTTTAAATAGGAAAGAGATGGACTACGTGTTTCTAATTTCTGTTTACTGCCATTGCAAGTGCTTTCTCTTTTCATAACGCTAATATTCTGGCCTGTTAGCGGTTGAGGAACTCAGAGGGGAATATACACAATACAACCTAGACCAAAACTTTCAGTCTACTTACTTGGTCAGTGTCTTACTGTGTTCTGGGATCCCCTTACCCTTATGATAAAAAGACGCACACTTTTGCCTGCACAGTGCAGCTTGTCTTCTCTCCTGTTTTATCTCTCTCCTACCTGGTCTGGTTGACCTGAAGTTTCTGGAATTTTCTGCTAATTCCTTTTATATCTACCAGCTAATGTCTTCCCCTCCATCTATATAACAGATTGCCTTTCTGATTCTCTTTCAGATCAATATGTCCCACTCATCATTCCTCCACATTGAACATCTATCTCTTGAAATATTTTTATAGCCCTATAAAAACTCCATTTGTGATACTATCCTGTCTTCATTGCTTTGCTGCTTTTTTTTCCTTCATACTTGTTGGGTACCACAGTATACTACCATCAGGAAACTATAAATCTGCTTACAAAACTGCATAAAATATCTAAGCTACTGATGCTTTCTTCTGTATCCTCTTAACCAGGCTTAACTGCTGTATGTAGAATCAATACCTTTTGGACTCTTTGGAGATTGATCCATCCGCTGTGACTTCCCAGTGTATTTTTTCCCAATGTATTATTTTTCAATTGAGATAGAATATAAATTCAGCAACATTCACCTTTTATAGTGTACAATTGAATGATTTTTTTTTTTTTTTTTTGAGACTGAGTCTCGCTCTGTTGCCCAGGCTGGAGTGCAATGGCATGATCTTGGCTCACCGAAACCTCCGCCTCCCAGGCTCAAGTGATTCTCCTGCCTCAGCCTCCCAAGTAGCTAGGATTACAGGCACCCACCATTATGCCCAGCTAATTTTTGTATTTTTCTTGAGATGGGATTTCACCATATTGGTCAGGCTGGTCTTGAACTCCTGACCTCAGGTGATCCACCCGCCTTGGCCTCCCAAAGTGCTGGGATTACAGGTGTGAGCCACCACACCCGGCCCAATGAATTTTTAACAAATGCATACAGTCATGTAATCCTCACCACAACTGAGATATAGAACAGTCCCATCACCCCGAAGTTCTTCACCCCCCATTGTAGCACTCTCCCCTCTACTCCTGGCCCTTGGCAACTGACAATCAGTTTTCTGTCCTTATAGTTTGCCTTTTCCAGAAAGTGGAGTTACACAGTATGTGTGAGTCTGGCCTCTCTTACTTAGCATAATGCATTTGTGATTCATACGTGTTGTTGCTTGTATCCCTGGTTCATTCCTTTTTATTGCTGCAGCTGCATGCTATTCCGTTGTGTGGATCTACCACAGTTGTTTATCTATTCCCAATGTTTTTTAATTGCTATATCCTCTCCTCTAAATTTAAGCACTTTTTTTTTCTGTCATTTGGCTTTTGAGTACGAAAAAGTAAATTTCCAAATTTACCATGTGTTCTAGGTAGAAATAAAAACTAAGTTGCAATAGGTACTAATAAGCTCTGAATTTCTGCACCTGATACATTCCTGATGTTTCTTTACTTAGGCCTATTTTAACCAACTCTCAAGTAGGAGCCCAGATGTGGGGCATATCTATACCAAAGAAGCCTGTTCTAATTCATCCTTTTGGATCAAGAGTTTTCCAAGTTGCAATTTGAAGGACTGACTTGAGATCTGTTATTTAGGGTCATTGCTGCAATTCCCAGGAGAGATGTAAGAAGGCCTTCCCTTTCACTAAAGGGGTCCCATACCATAAATACATATCCCTGATAATTTGGAACCAGCCTGTCTCTTGTGTCACCCCCACTCTAGGGCCCAGTTCTCTATGTATCAATATTTGGTTCTAGACCACCCAAGGTATGAAGTCCCATAGTATTCTTGACCTCTGTCTGAGATGAGACTCCTATAGTTTTGCAGGCTGGGTAAGCAAAGTATAGGATACCATCATAGTTGGCCAATATAGAACAGCTTATCATGGTCTAGATAGGGAAAACATAACCAAGACCAATGATACTTCCCAGCCTACATGGTTCAAAGTATTAACATAATGTAATCTACACTATAGAGATTCTAAGAATCATTTCCATTTCAGTTAGTTTCCATTAGTACTTAGGCTTCAGAGCTAGGGACAGTGGCTCATGCCTGGAGTCCTAGCTACTCAGGAGGCGAGGCAGGAAGATCCCTTGAGCCCAGGAGTTTGAGGGGGCAGTGAGCTACGATTGCATCACTGTATTCCAGCCTGGGTGCAGAGCAAGACCCTGTCTCTAAAATAAATAAATAAGTAAGTAAATAAATAAATAAATAAATAAAGAACTGAGGCTTCAGAAGCCAAGTTATGGTCAAGCATATCATTTCATAAGTTTCATTGGTTCTATAACTAGAAATAAAATACACAAATGTTTTATTACATTTAAATTTGTATTTAGTCCTTACATTTTAAGAAGATATCTTAAAAGTTGAGGACAGCTAAATTTTATGCCAAGTATACTCAACTGTACCTGTAATAACTATTTTGTTTTATTTAGCATTTAAAAATAGAATAAATATGTGCTTCAGCATTTTATTTATTTGGATTCAGCAGAATATTACTATTTTTCTCCAAAAAGTCTTCCTTTTCTCTTTTCATTTTAAAAGAAACTAATTTTCAAAAACACTTTCTAAATATATTCAGAGTAAACATTTTATTTATTTCATTTACTTACCACTTAATAAATACAGGGGTTCCCCCTTGTTCTTGGGTCGGGATGCAGTCCAGGAACCCCAGTGTATGCCTGAAACTGTGGATAGTGTAGAACCCTCGATATGCTAAGCATTTATCATACACTGTGGCCATAACTTTTACAATTTGAGGTATAACAGCAAAACTAACACAAATTTCTTCTTCCTTCTTCACAGTTTCATGGACAGAAGATTGTTTTTACTTTAGATCTTAGCAGCGTCAGCATACAATGTTTTTCTTTCCTTATCAAGTCGAGAACTTTCACCTTTTCACTTAGAGGAAGCACTTTATGGTTTCTCTTTGGCGCATTTGCCAGCATCACTACTCTCGTGCTTCGGGGTTCATCATTAAGTAAAATAAGGGTTACTCGAACACAAGCACTGCAGTACCACCAAGTCAGTCGATCTGATAACCAAGAGAGTGTCTACAGTGTGGATCTGCTGGACAAAGGGATAATTCATGGGTGGGACAGCATGAGATTTCACTATGCTACTCAGAAAGGCATTCAATTTAAAACTTATGAATTGTTTATTTCTGGAATTTTAAATTTAATATTGTAGGACCACAGTTGATGGAGGATTAAGTGAAACTGCAGAAGGTGAAACCAAGGATAAATGGGGACCACCTAGATAAAAGTTAAGTCAGGAAACATATAACCTTTTAAAGGAGGACAAGCTGACAATTCTTTTTATCTTTCTTTTATACAGGTGTTTGCTTCAGAATGGTAAGTCAGTACAATCTTTATTATTTTGCTATTTTTTTTCCACTGTTATTCCCAATTACAGAGATAGGGCAGTTTTCTACTTGGCGCTAGTCTACTGTTTACTCCCTGTCCTTGACAGCAAATGAAGAAATATATGTATTTCTTTGAAATTACTGATTGAGATTTTTATTAATGCTAAAAACATTGTACCCTTCTTAGTATTTACTTAACATTTTCTATATTCAAAAGTACCTCTCTTTGGGTGATTTTAATGAAACGCTTTGATTAGGTGTATTGAATACAAAGTATGGGACTTTCTACATGTTCTGGATGGAAGAAATCCTCTAGGCAACGGTACATATGTTGCACTGCAAAACAAAACACGCTAATGTTGCATAATGAAGTGGTTCCCAGGATTTAGCAGATTAAGCGCCACGTCGTGTTTTAAAATTTATTTATTTAGTTTGGAGACGGAGTCTTATTCTGTTGCCCAGTCTGGAGTACAGTGGTGCGATCTCAGCTCACTGCAGCCTCCGCCTTCCAGGCTCAAGTGATTCTCCTGCCTCACCCTCCCAAGTAGCTGGGATTACACAGGTGCCTGCTACGACATCCAGCTACTTTTTTATTTTTAGTAGAGATGGCATTTCACCATGTTGGCCAGGCTGGTCTTGAACTTCTAGCCTTAAGTGATCCAGCCACCTCAGCCTCCCAGAGTGCTGGAATTACAGGTGTGAGCCACCATGCCCAGCCAAGCTAATTTTTTTTAACTTTTAGTAGAGACAGGGTTTCACCATATTGCCTGGGCTGGTCTTGAACTCCTGACCTCAAGTTATCCACCTGCCTTGGCCTCCCAAAATGCCCATGCCTGGCTCCATGTTGCTTTTAAATTTTTAATTTTTTTAAAGTACTCCTTTCCTACAACTTAATTGTGGCATGCATTTTCACCTACTATCTGAGGTGGGTCACTAGATTAGGTCCCTGGTTCCCAACTCCTGAGGGTTCCAATATTTTCCCACTGGTAAAATCTCTATTATGAGGCAGCCCCATCCCCCAAAATTCAGATTGTCTCCATTTTCGTTATTATCTAATAAGAAAGTGACTTATTTTCAGGGCCACGTCTTACATCAGTCTTAGCTGTTACCATTTTGATTTGTGTTGTTTCATACAGCTGGGGATGTGGAGTGTAGAGATCTTGATCACCCTGGCCTCCATACAGGAGAAGAGTATGTTTTTGAAAAGTTCTAAGGCCGGATGCAGTGGCTCGCGCCTGTAATCCCAGCACTTTGGGAGGCTGAGGCAGGTGGATCACCTGAGGTCAGGAGTTCAAGACCAGCCTGGCCATCATAGTGAAACCCCATCTCTACTAAAAATACAAAAATTAGCTGGGCATGGTGGCAGATGCCTGTAATCCGAGCTACTTGGGAGGCTGAGGCAGGAGAATCGCTTGAACTTGGGAGGCAGAGGTTGCAGTGAGCCGAGATGGCGCCACTGCACTCCAGCCTGGACGACAAGAGTGAAATTCCATCTCAGAAGAAAAAAAAAGAGTTCTAGTAGACTGGATCAATAGAAATTTTAGTATGATGTAGTTAAAATAATTCAAAATCAAAATGTTGCTACTTACATAGCATAACTGAATTTGGAGCTAGAAAAAGGCAATTTTAAAAGACTATTAATAATAATAGGAGAGATAAATCTACCCATAGACAATTATAACATTTCTGTGCCAAGTCCAGAGCCAACAGAAAACATCAGAATCTTTTAGTCTTATAAAAACTCTGCAAACCAGCATGTTTATGTTAGTGTTCTTGCTAGTTTAATTTTCTTTCTTTTTTAAAAAAAAATTATTTTAGGTTCAGCGGTACTCATATAGGTTTGTTATATAGGTAAACTCGTGTCATGGGGGTTTATTATACAGAGTATTTCATGACCCAGGTACAAAGCCTAGTACCCAAAAGTTATTTTTTTCTACTCCTCTCCCTCCTCCCACTCTCCACCCTCAGGTAGGCCCCAGTGTCTGTTGTTCCCCTCTCTGTGTCCATGTATTCTCATAATTTAGCTCCCACTTCTACGTGAGAACATGCAATATTTGGTTTCTATTCCTGTGTTAGTTTGCTAAGGATAATGGCCTCCAGCTCCATTCATGTTCCTTCAAAGGACATGATCTCATTCTTTTTTATGGCTGCATGGTATTCCATGGTGTATATGTACCACATTTTCTTTATCCAGTCTACCATTGATGGGCATTTAGGTTGATTCCATGTCTTGGCTATTGTGAATACTGCTGTAGTGAACATATGTGTGTATGTGTGTTTATGATGAAACAATTTATATTCTTTTGGGTATATACCCAATAATGGAATTGCCGGGTCACATTGTAGTTCTGTTTTTAGCTCTTTGAGGAATTGCCACAGTGCTTTCCACAGTGGCTGGACCAGTTTGCACTCCCACCAACAGTTTGTAAGCATTCCCTTTTCTCTGCAACCTGGCCAGCATCTGTTATTTTTTGGCTTTTTAATAATCGCCATTCTGACTGGTGTGAGAAGGTATCTCATTGTGGTTTTCATTTGCATTTCTCTAATGATTGGTGATATTGAGCATTTTTTCATATGCTTCTTGGCCACACATATGTCTACTTTTGAGAAGTGTCCATGTCCTTGCCTACTTTTTAATGGGGTTGTTTATAATTTTCTTATTAAAATGATTTTCCCTCATTTTTGCTGGAAATTTCGAAGTGTTGTAGTCTCTATTTCTGCTTATCAATACTCTATGTTGATCATAATTGTATATGTTTTTTCTCAGTGATTGAGAATCTTGGATTGATTATGATTTGGAACCCAGGTTAACAATGTAATTTAGTGTTAGCAGTCTTAAGGGCAATGCAGCTAAATTTTATGTATCCAAAAACACATCATAGGAACTGTTTCTGAAATAATTCTCACTCTCAGCGTAGTTTTTCATAATGTTTTTATGATAGTGGAATTGTTTTTACTGAAAGTGAAATTTAACAAAAGATACCATTTATGTGAAGGTTCTTATAAGTAGAGGTTACTGTAGGTCATCTATACAATTGTTGGCATTGACTACAAAAAATGATTATTAGGTTAGCATTTTTTGGATATTAGAATCAAGTATGTTATGAACTCAGACTTTTGATGCTGCACTTTATTCTTCTTGTTTTTTCCTGAAACAGTATACAGAAGATGAAGCTAGGAAAATAGGAGTGGTTGGCTGGGTGAAGAATACCAGCAAAGGCACCGTGACAGGCCAAGTGCAGGGGCCAGAAGACAAAGTCAATTCCATGTGAGTAGTAAAATTAATAACATGTACATGAAATTTATGAGGCTGCTGTTTTTTAGTTTTTTAAGACATGGTCTTGCTCTGTTGCCCAGGTTGGAGTGCAGTGGCACAATCTCGGCTCACTACAACCTCTGCCTTCCAGGCTCAGATCTCCCCGACTCAGCCTCCCAAGTAGCTGGGACTACAGGTGTGAGCCACCGTGCCTGGCCTTATAAGGCTACTTTAATGTTTCATTGGACAGTAAGAATAGTATTGATGGACCAGATTTTGTTTGTAGATTACAATCAAACTAATATGTTTGTAGGCAGGCCTGTGAAGAAATTCTCAGAGTTGGGAGTAGCATTTCTATGTTTAGGAATGGACTTCCCACTTGGGCTGGCCTCGAGAAGAATTGTGGCTTCCCTCTCCAATTTGTATGTCCTGTGGCATCTCCTCCAGCGTTAGGGAGATGTCCAGGGCCCAAGTAATTCTCATTTGAAGTGTTGTGACAGATGCGTAGTGCCTTAGGATGGTTCGTGAAGTTCTTAGGGTAGCGTTCCAGGCAAAAAGATTGCCATCTCCTTTTTACAGTTAAGTGCTTTATTTATCTAATTGTAATTTTATTTTTCCTGCCAATGAGAGTGTGTTTAATGAGCTGGAGGGTTACCAAACTATGAATCCTTGAAGTCCAAGAGAGGCCAGATTCAGTAATATGGGGAAAAATGTCCTGTGTACACAATGACGTTTTCAAAAGCCTTGTGTTTTCAGCTTCATAATTTCCACTGCTCTTTGTAGTCTTTTTTCTTTTAAATTAAAAAATAGCTAACATTTATTGAGCATTTACATGTTGGGCAATATGCTAAGTACCTTGTATGAATTATCTCAATCTTCACAACAGATCTTATGAGGTAGGTACTAAGTAACACTCAATTTATTTTATTGTTTGCAATTTATCTTTGTTTTCATTACTTAATATTTTTAGATTTCCAAAGCAATAGGTTTTGCTTATTGTAATAAGTGAAGTAACGTAACACTGAGAAGTATAAAGGTAAAACTTGTAATGTGTACTTTTCTGTCTATTTCCCTCCCCTTTATTAACCTCTGACAAGGAATACTTTCTACAGCTTTCTCTTTCACTTAAAAATAGTTAAGTATGCATTTGTAATTAAGGTTTTGCTGATTTTTACCGAAATAGAATACCTTGTGCATATTTTTCCATAATTTGTATTTTTATTTTCTGGACATTTCAGTAAACAGTAAATATATAATTATCAACTCCTTATTTTTCTAATTTTAAATGTTTACGTGCATACTTGTGTTTGTGTGTAAAACTACACCTCAAATTGAAAAGTGGGGTCCAAAAGTTCAGTTTCACAAACTGTGGGGTGACAGTTAATGAAAAACAATATTTTTAAGTAGAATTGTCACAAAATGTACAAGAAATTTTGGGACTTTCGTTGTACAGAACTGATAGTTCAATGGAAGAGAAAATGCCAAATGATTGTGTGGAAGTTTTAAAGTAGAGATTATGTCCCATGATTCGAGGGAGCCTAGAAAAAAATAATAATATAGTTTTTAAAAACGGGGAGTATGTGGAAGATAGAAGCTCATACCAATCATGTCATATTCCTAATCCACATTATAGAGGGTCATTGATTAATTTGCTTAACATAAATGAAATCGTATCATACACTGTGCTCATGTTTTCTTTTCAACCCCTGCATTCTCCACCCTTCTTAAGTAACCTGTGTTAGCAAGCTAGTGTGTATTCTTCTGCTTGTCTCCATGTTCACATTCTCTCTCTCACACACACACACACACACACTTGCACACACACACTTTTATGGATTTTGTTCAATATTTGCTTTTTAAAAATGGGATCACGGTGTATTCCCTTCTCTGCATCTTACTTTATCACTCAAAGATACATCCAGGAAAATCCTTTCAAGTCGAATGGTAATCTCTAATTCATTCTTTTTATTGGCTACTTAATATTCCACAATATATAGATTTATTATTACCTTATTGCTGGAAATGCATTTTTTTCTGTCTTGTTTTTTGCAATAAGAGCAATGCTGCAATAAAATTTTATTGGTGATTTTATTTTGATTGCATAGGTTCCCAGGAGTGTGATTTGTTGGTTGAAGTGGCTATGTATTTTTAATGTAAAAATATTTGTCAGACTGCTTTACAAAACAGCTGTAAACAATTTACATTGTTTTCCTCCTCATCCTGTCAGCAATTGGTATTGTACTCTCTAATTTTTCTTTTACCTGATTGGTTGTGAGTGATTATTATTTTTTGCTGTAATTTGCATTTCTCTAATGACTAGTAAGTTGGAGCATCTTTATGCTTATGTCTGTGAATTTGTTCTCATGAACTCCCTTTTCACATCCTTTACCCATTTTTCTATCGAGTTGCTTGTCTCTTGCCAATTTTTAAAAGCTCTTTGTATATTGGTTATGGTTACTAACCCATTATCTGTTATTGCTTTTGCAGGTATTTTCCCAAATCTATAATTTGCCTATTGGTTTCGTCTATGATAGCTTTGCAACATAAATTGTTTTTCATTTTTATTAACTCAAATATGGCTATTTTTTTCTCTCTGGTTAAGAAACAGATTGTAAGTGTTGTCGCCCAGGTTTTCTTCTAACTTGATGCTCTATTTATTACATTTAAGCATTTACTCCATCTGGAATTTGTTTTTTATTTAAAAGATGAGATATTGGACCAACTATTTTCTACCAGATGAATAGCCAGTTGTCCTGGCGCCACTTACTAAATAATCACTCTTTCCCCCATTGCATTGAAATACATTTTTGTCATACGTTAAAATCTCATATAGACTGGATTTTATTTCTGAATTCTCTATTCTGTTCCACTGATCTATTTCTCTGTTCCTACATCAGTATACCATATTGATTTAATTATACTATCTCCACAGTATATTTCCTCTCACTGTTCTTTTTGATTCTTTTATTTGCTTTCTTGGGCATTTGTTTCCTCTCTTAACTTTAAGATACTTTTACCTATTTAACTGGAATTCTATTCTGTTTATTAAAAAGAAAACTTACATGATTGTGTCACACATATGCTTTTAAGATAAACTTTATGTATTTATTTATTTTTTGAGACAAGGGTCTTGCTCTCTCTCCTAGGCTGGAGTGCAGTGGTCTGATCTAGACTCACTGCAGCCTTGACCTTCTGGGCTCAAGTGATCTTCCCACGTCAACCTCCTGAGTGCACATGCTGGCTAATTTGTGTGTGTGTGTGTGTGTGTGTGTGTGTATATTTTGTTGTTGTTGTTGTTGTTGTTGTTGTTGTTGCTTTGTAGAGATAGTGTCTCACTATGTTGCTCAGGCTGGTATAGGACTCTTGGCTTCAAATGACTTTCCTGCCTCAGCCTCCCAAAGTGCTGGGATTACAAAAATAAACTTTATTTTTGAGAACAGTTTTATATTTACAGAAAAATTGTGAAGATAGTACAGAGACTTTCCATATACTCCCCACACAGTTTTCCTCCTATTAACATTTTACATTAATATGATACGTATGTTAACAATTAATGGACCAATATGGATACATTAGTATTAACTAAAATCCCTATTTATTTAGATTTCAATTTTTACCTAATGTCCATTTTATGTCTTAGGATCCCATTATTGTATTTGCTTTTTAATTGGGCATTCTCTTGAAATTAAGAGAAGTGACATTTTGGCTGGGTGCAGTGGCTCATGCCTGTAATCCCAGCACTTCGGGAGGCTGAGGCGGGCGGATCACTTGAGGTCAGGAGTTCAAGACCAGCCTGTCCAACACAGCGAGATCGTGTCTCTACAAAAAATACAAAAACTAGCTGGGGTTGGTGGCACACGCCTGTTGTCCCAGCTACTTGGGAGGCTGAGGCAAGAGAATCGCTTGAGTCTGGGAGGCAGAGGTTGCAATGAGATGAGATTGCACCACCGCACTCCAGTCTGGGCAATGGGAGTAGCCTGTCCCAAAAAAAATAAAATAAAATAAAAATAAAGACAGAAGTGACATTTTTATGATATTAAATCTTCCCATTTAAGAACACACAGATGTTGTTCCATTTGCTTAGATTTTAAAATTTATCCTTCAGTATGATTTTATGGTTTTCTTTATATAGGTTTTTGTACTTTTCTTGCTAAGTTATTTCTAAGTATCTTAATGACTTTTTCACTATTGCATATGGATTTCTTTCCCATTTATGCTTCTAGTTGTTCATGCTTAAATATGGAATATCTAATGACTTTTGTGTATTAATTAGATATCATAGTATTACCTTATCAGATATTCTTATTAATTCTATCAGTTTTTTAAAAAACTATAGTCTATTGGGTTTTTAAAAAATACAGTTATGCAATTAGTAAAAATGGTGTATCTTTGTTTCAGTGACTTCATTTGTCAGACCTGCCATGACAATGTTGAATAATAATAGCCATAGCAGGCATGCCTGTTTGGTTTCTGACTTTATTTAAAATAGTTTTATTGTTTCACCTAGTAAAAAGATGTTTGCTGTTGGTTTTAGGTAAATATACTTTATCACAATAAATTTTACTTTTGCATTCCTTGAATTAGCCTTTGATTGGTTACAGTGTGTTATTCTTTTAAATTATTGCTGAATTGCCAAGTATTGCTTGCCAATATTTTATTTAGAACTTTTGTATATATATAAGTCACGTAAGGTTTTTGTTTTGTTTTGTTTTGTTTTGGTGGAGTCTCGCTTTGTTGCCCACGCTGGAGTGCAATGGTACGATCTTGGCTTACTTCAACCTCTGCCTCCTGGGTTCAAGCAATTCTTCTGCCTCAGCCTCCCGAGTAGCTGGGATTACAGGCATATGCCACCACTCCCAGCTAATTTTTGTATTTTTAGTAGAGACAGGGTTTCACCATATTCGCCAGGCTGGCCTCGAACTCCTGACCTCATGATCTGCCTGTCTCGGCCTCCCAAAATGCTGGGATTACAGGCATGAGCCACCATACCCAGCCGGTTTTTTTTTTTTTTTTTTTTTTTTGGGGGGGGGGTATTCTATCATGTTTTGATTTTAAAGTTTTATTGGCTTCACAAAACATATTAGGAAGTTTTCCATCCTTCTCTTCATTCTGGAATAACTAAAATATCAGAATTACTGTTCTTAGGTTAGTGGAAACAAATTAGGAAATCACCTGGTCCTGCTGCCTTCTCAATGTTGACCTTTAACCACCTTTTCAATCTACCCTGTGGTAACTGGTATGTTTGTTTTTTGAGAAAACGTTTTGCTCTGTCACCCAAGCTGGAGTGCAATGGCACAATCACAGCTCACTGCAGCCTTGACCTGCTGGGTTTAAGTGATGCTTCCATCTCAGCCACCCAAGTAGCTAGGAATACAGGTATGCACCACCATGTCCAACTAATTTTTAAAAATTTTTTTGTGGAGGTGAGGTCTCATTACGTTGCCCAGGCTGGTGTTGAACTTCTGAGCTCAAACGATCCTCCTGCCTCGGCCTCCCAAAGTGCTAGGATTACAGGTGTGAGCCACTGCACCCAGCAAGTAACTGATATAGTTGAGTTTTCCAGATGTTCTTGGATTCCTTTTTATTTTGCTAGGAAATTATCCAATTTTTCTAGGTTTTCAAATTTGTTGCGATAAATTTTATAATTTAAAAAATCTCGGCCGGTGCGGTGGCTCACGCCTGTAACCCCAGCACTCTGGGAGGCTGAGGTGGGCAGATTATGAGGTCAGGAGTTTGAGACCAGCCTGGCCAACATGGTGAAACCCCGTCTCTACTAAAAATACAAAAATTAGCCAGGCGTGGTGGTACACACCTGTAATCCCAGCTACTTGGGAGGCTGAAGCAGGAGAATCGCTTGAACCCAGGAGCCAGAGGTTGCAGTGAGCCAAGATCATGCCACTGCACTCTAGCCTGGGCTCCAGAGCAAGACTCTGTCTCAAAAAAAAAAAAAAAAAATCTCTTTTGCATCTGTGCTTATATGCCCTTTGAAAATTCCTAATCTTGTAGAACTTCATTTTCTCCTCCTTTTTCCTTAATCAAGCTCTGACAGAATTTATCTACTTAATTGGTATATTTTTAAAAAACAGCTTTTAGATTTATTGATTATAATTTTTGGGAGGGTTACATTTCATTAATTTCAACTTCCATCTTTATTAATTTCCTCTTCTTTCTTTGTTTGTTGCTCCTCTAAGTCTTCAACATGAGTCCTAGTTGCCGTTGTTTTTAGTTTTTTAAAGTTAATAATGAAGGTGATTAGGCATTTTCTCCTGAATACAGTTTTTTTCTTTTCCATTGGTTTTGGTAGTAATTGTTCCTTCCTTGCTTTCTGGATAGTTTGTAATTTCATTTTTTATTTCTTCTTTGAACTAATACTGTAACTAATGGGATTCTGAGTTTGTGTTTGTAAAATTCCCAGTTAAAACTTTTAAAGTAATTGTTTATTATTTATTTCTATTTTTATTTGATTATAATCTGAGAACGAGGCCTAGAAGATTTCTACTTAAAAAATTTTGTTAAATCCTTGTGATAAATGACATGATATATTTTGGATTGATCAGCTAGGATCTATGATTAAATTAGGATGCTTTAGGCTGCAAGTAACAGGATACCTGATTAAAGTGCTTGAATGAAGGAACTGATTTTTCCCACTTTCCAAACAGGCTGGGGCAAGCAGTCCTAGGATTAGTTCAGTGTGCGAAAGATTATTAAAATGTACATTTTGGTGTTGCTATACTTTTCTCTTTTTATATTTTTTTATGATGGGATTTTCAAACACATACATGAATAGAGAAAAAAGGACAGTGAAGCTCATGTGCCCATTACCCACTTTCAATAACAGTATGCTTTCAGACATTCTTGTTTCATATATTCCTCCAACTTTTTTTTTGTCATTGTTAGAGTATTTAAAGCAAATTTCCGGCATTATATTATTCACCTGTAAATTTGGTCAAATGATATTAAACTATCAATACTTGACAATATTTTAATCTATAAAACAACAATTTCATGTTGTTCAATCTAATGTTTGACTATATACAGAAAACAGAAACTCTATATATCCATCAATATGTATTCCAAATCCCACACAGATCTATGTGCAAATGTCAAAGTGCATCACACAACCTGTCTGTCATGCTTTTTCCTGGAGGCCTGTCTTCCAGTCTGGGTCTGGGTTTGCTACACAACTGTCACTCTGGTGTTGCTCTTCGCTGCTTTCCTGTAGAGCAGGCTCCTGTGTCCTTAATCATATGTTTTAATCATTCTTGATTTATTCTCTTATTTTGCAGAAACATAATTCTCTATAAGCTTCCGAAGGAAAGGTGCATGAGAGGCAAAAAGTTTGCATCTCTGCATGCCTTCATTTACCCTTGTGCTTGACTGATTGACTTACAAAATTCTATGCCAAAAATAATCTCACACTAAGAATTTTGAAGGCATAGTTCCATAACTTACAGTGTTGCTGTTGAGAGGTTTGATGTCATTCGAATACAAAGGATTGGGAGTTATACCTGTTTATTCCCTCAGAAAGTTTGTCAGATATTCCACTTATCTCTCTTCTCCATTTTCACAACCATCTGCCTTTGTGCATGTTTTAATTTTGCTGTAAATGCACTTGGAGGAGAATGTTTTTTCTTTGACAATTTCCTTCCCTATCTCTTTTGGACCCTCTTCTTTTAGAACTTCTGTATGGACCTGATCCTCTATTTTTTTTTTTTTTTATTACAGACTGGATTTTACCCTGTTGGCCAGTCTGGTCTTGAACCCCTGGCCTCAAGTGATCCGCCTGCCATGGCCTCCCAAAGTGCTGGGATTACAGGTGTGAGCCACCATGCCCGGCCCCTGATTTTAAACTTTTCTCACCTAGTTTCCATTTGTTATTATGTGGGAAATTAGCTCAACTTTGTCTTCCAACCTTTCTATTATTTTTGTTTGTTTCTGCTGCTCTATCTTAATTGTTTCTCTTTCATAGCATCTCATTCTTGTTGTTGTTTTCCCCAAATCTCTCTGAGGATATTATGTGTATCTTTCTTTTCAAAGTATTCTTCTGATTTTTGCATTGTCTCTTTTTTTTTTTTTGAGACAGAGTCTTGCTCTGTTGCCCAGGCTAGAGTGCAGTGGCATGATCTCGCCTCACTGCAACCTCCACCTCCCAGGTTCAAGCAGTTCTCCTGCCTCAGCCTCCTGAGTAGCAGGGATTACAGGCATCCACCACCACACCCAGCTAATTTTTGTATTTTTAGTAGAGATGGAGGTTTCACCATGTTGGCCAGGCTGGTCTCAAACTCCTGACCTCAGGTGATCTGCCAGCCTCAGCCTCCCAAAGTGCTGGGATTATAGGTGTGAGCCACCGTGCCTGGCTGCTTTTTGCATTGTTTCTATTTCTTCTAAGTTACTTTTCTTTTCTTTCTCTTCTTCTTTCCATTTTTCTCCTGTTTGCTTGTTTTGCTTATCTTTTATATTGCCGGCTTTCCTTACAATCATATTTTCAGTAACTTAGTCATACATAAATCAAAACAGCCAACAATAAGCAGGACTTAAGGAAATTTTCCAATATGTAGACTTATGGGCTTGAGGAATGGTGGTGACTGGGTGGGGAACTGGCATTTTTGTTAGTGAATCTCCAAATGTCAGATCTATGCGTTCTGTCTTCTGCAGTGGTGTCTCCAAATCCTGAGTCTTCTGTGAGGTCCATGGGGGTAAGCTGACTTGCTTCTCATTATTTCTGTAGGCACTTAGTCTGTAACATCCTTTGGTTTACTGTATAGTTACTCCTTCTCCACTTGCTTTCCTTCTTTCTTTTTGTTTTTAGGCAGGATCTTGCTCTGTTGCCCAGGCTGGAGTGCGGTGGCTCAGTCATAGCTCACTGCAGCCTTGATCTCCTGGGCTCAAGTGATCCTCTTACCTCAGCCTCCCGAGTAGCTAGGACTGCAGGTGTGCACCACCATACCTAGCTAATTTTTTAATTTTTTGTAGAGACAGGGTCCTACTATGTTGTCTATGCTGGTCTTCAACTCCTGGCCTCAAGTGATCCTTCTGCCTCGGCTTCCCAAAGTGTTGGGATTACAGGCGTGAGTTACCACACCTGGCCCCTCTGTTTTCCTACTAATTATTTGTTGAAACCTCTTGTTTAGGTTATAGTTTTGTACCAGCTAGGAATATTTTCAGCTATAAGTTAACAGAAAACTGGACTTAAAAATGGATATAAAAAAAGGGTTCATTTTTCTCAGTAATAAGAAGTTTGGAGGCAGATGGTTACTGGCCTTAGTTCAGTAGCTCAATAATGTCTGGACCAATGTCTCTGTGGTTGTCTTGGCCTTTTCCTCATGGTCAAAAAAGGAAAAGTGCAGCTGCACATGATATCCACAGTTAAGGCAGGAACGAGTAAAGGATTGTGTTGCTTTTCCTGACCCACCCCAAACAGATATCTACTTGTGTTCCATTGGCTCAAATAGGGTCATATGGTTACTCCTTGCTACAAGGGAGACTGAGAAATTGGCTTGGTTTTTTGATGCCCTGAAAAAAAAATTCTCTTGGCCAGGAAGAAGGGGATGGGGATGGGTGTATACTAGGTAGTCAATGAACAATCTGTTACATCTTTCATATTTTGATGCTATCATTTTAATGGGGCTTCAGGTGAAAGAAGATAGACATGCCATGTGTAATTGCATGGTGAAAATTAAGCGAGAAAATCCATATGAAGCACTTAGTGCAGTGCCTGGCATGTAGTAATAATCAATAAATATTTGCTACTATGTTATGACCCATATGCTCCACTTTGTACATGTTGTCTCGTGGCAGTTGGAATGATCAGGTGGAGATGCCACTAGGCTCCTAGATAAATGGGTCATCCCTGCAGAGAAATTGGGCTAGAGAAATTAATTTGGTTGTCATCAGTATGTGGATAGTGTTTGAAGCCACATACATGGATGGGATTATCCAGGGAGAAGTTGTGTAATGACAAGCAAGCAGGAAGAAGACACTGGAGAATGTAAATTAAGCTTAACCAACATTATAAGTTGTGATGTTACATGTTTAGGTTTTAAAAAATGAATTTATTCCTCTAGTGCAATATATTAAGGTACTGAATTATCAAGAAATTGAATCACAATAAGAGATGTTGCAAAAATAGTTGCAAAGTCAGACTCAGTGTGGCACATTTGTAGCTATATATTAGGTTGGTGCAAGAGTAATGGCAAAAACCGCAATTACTTTTGCACCAACCTAATAGTGCCAGTCCAGGAACGGTGGCTCACACCTGTAATCCCAACACTTTGAGGGGTGAGGTGGGTGGATTGCTTGAGCTCAAGAATTCGTGACCAGCCTGGGCAACATGATGAAACCCCATCAGTACAAAAAACACAAAAATTAGCTGGGCATGGGCCTTACTTTCTTATAGCTATTTTTAAAAAGAGAAAAATTTTTTAAAATGCAATGACAGTAAGTTGCAGAAATCTGAATTAAATTGCCTTTAAAAAAACCACATTTGTTTCTTCCCAGGCCATGAAAATGTGGAATACAACAGGGACCATCATTTAGAGATGGCCTGGCTGTGATTATAGCAGCCCTGCTCTGTCTTTACTAACAAGCCAGCAGCATGTAAGAACACACTGTGGATGTGTGTGTTTTCTTCTTCTGTGTTTTATTTTCTCAAAAAGAATGACTGATGACTTTCTTTTGCAAATTGTACTATATTATTCCAATTGCAGTGGTAAGTTCTGCCAACATTTTTTGATGCATAAGGACTGTTTTGAATCTATTGTTTTATTATGTCTTTTTTTTTGCAAAATTAAGAATATTTTCTGTTTCTTAGTAATCATGTTAAATTAATGTACAGTGTTATGACACTGAGCATAAGCCTTTGAATAAGTCCTCAGAAAATATATTTTCCATAAAGACTCAATGGTAGTTTTGTAAAATAAAACACTTGTATTTGGAGATAGCCAAATTCTAAAATTAAAATTACATCTTGATTGCTACATATTTTTTAAACCGTATGTTATGTATCAGTCCTCTGCACTTCAAAGGATTATTAAAGGACTGGTATATGTATATAAGAGGATGATGAAATGGTTACATGGCCTGGAAAACTATGTCATAATACAAGGAATGCTTGAAGGCATTGGGGAATTTAGCTGGAGAAAAAATACTTGAAATCATGATAGCTTCCTTCAAGTATTTGAAGGGCTGATACATAGGAAAGGGTAAATGTTCTCTCTTTTTCCAGAAGGCAATAATCTTGATTGGAGCCATGGGTGAATTTGCTGAATTTGCTTATTTCAGCTGACCCTGACAACAAGTTTTCCTGTAAAGTCATTAAATGTATATAATGGTGGAATTTTATCAATACCTAGGAGTAGTCTAGATCAGGGATTGGCAACCCACGGCCTGTTTTGCAAGTTTAGTAAATGAAGTTTTATTGGAGCACAGCCACACCCATTTATTTATGTTTTGGCTATGACTGCTTTTGTGGTACATGGGCAGAGTGGAGTTGTTACAACAAAGACTGGATGGCCTCAAAGCCTGAACTATTTACCATCTGGCCTTCTACAGAAAAGGGTTTGCTGCTCACTGTATAACAGCTGTCAGACAAGCCGAGGGTGTTGTAGGTCTAACTCATCAAATGGTATGTTAGACTAGATGTCCTCTGAGGTCCTGTCCAGCTAAGATTCTGTGTTTCTTTTTTGTTTGTTTGTTTGTTTTTTAAGACAGAGTTTCGCCTTGTGGCCCAGGCTGGAGTGCAGTGCCCTGATACTCGGCTCATTGTAGTCTCTGCCTCCTGGGTTCAAGCAGTTCTCCTGCCTCAGCCTCCTGAGTAGCTGAGATTACAGGCGTGGGCCACCATACGCAGCTAATTTTTGTATTTTTAGTAGAGATGGGGTTTCACCATGTTGTCCACGCTGGTCTCCAATTCCTGACCTGGGGTGATCGGCCCATCTCGGCCTCCCAAAGTGCTGGGATTGCGGGTGTGAGCCACGGCGCTTGGCTAGATTCTGCGTTTCTTTCTTTTTTTTTTTTTTTTTTGTGAGACGGAGTCTTGCTCTGTCGCCCAGGCTAGAGGGCAGTGGTGCAATCTTGGCTGACTGCAAGCTCCGCCTCCCGGGTTCATACCATTCTCCTGCCTCAGCCTCCCGAGTAGCTGGGACTACAGGCGCCCACTACCACGCCCGGCTAATTTTTTGTATTTTTAGTAGAGACGGGGTTTCACTGTTTTAGCCAGGATGGTCTCGATCTCCTGACCTCGTGATCCGCCCACCTCGGCCTCCCAAAGTGCTGGGATTACAGGGGTGAGCCACCGCGCCCGGCAGATTCTGTGTTTCTATACAGAGCTGATGATTGCGCATGTACTTAAAATGTGTTCATAGTTCAAGAGTTAGAATTAGAATAGAGATACTCACTAATAGAGTTGTGTTTACCTCTTCCATAGATATTAATACTTGACATTTGTGTGAAATATGAAATTTGAACACCTTTCTGCCTTAACTATGAATTGACATTTTTTTGAGTTTCCAGTTGTGACAATGGTAAATTGAAATGCAACAATGGATTTTGTGAACAATTAGGTGGTGTCAGATTCAAAGTTATTTAATATTTTCAAAAATAACTTTTCTCCAGCAGACCATTAGTGGCATGAATGTCTGTGCAACCAGAGTGGCTAGCTTTTCCTTGCTTTTTCATCTGAGTATTTCAAGGTACTTTGCTAATATTTTTATACTTTATTCATCAAGTTCCTTTTTACACAAATAGACAGGGTTATTAAGAAAGGTTCCATTGGATGTTCTATTGAAACATAGAAGGTATTTTTTTAGGGGAACAAAATTCACTGAGGAGCTGTAATTTTGGAAAAAGAATAGTTTAGTCTAATTGATATAAATTACTCTAATGGAAAACTAGGAACATGAAAAATATCTACAGTAGAGTTGGAATTCTAACACCAGGCTTTAGACCTCAAATACTAAATCATTTATTTTCCTTTAGAACATAACCGATCTATATTAAAATGACTTAAGGGTATAGTTTTTACTTTAAAGTTCATATTTTATATATGTGCATTTAGTAAGGTAATCATATTTAATAAAAGAAATGCATAATGCAGTACTAATTACTTTTTATCTTTTTTTCTTTAATCAGCTTTCTCAGGTAGCAACTAATTACTTAAAAAAATTAATAGACTTTCTTTTTTAGAGCAGCTTTAGGTTTGCAGAAAAATTGAGTGGAAACTACAGAGAGTTTCCATATATTTCCTCACACCCAATTCCCTAGGTCCCTCAGTTTCCCCCATTATTAACATCTTGCATTATGTAGTATATTTGTTACAATTGATGAGCCAATATTGATATATTATTAATAACTAAGCTGATAGGTTACATTAGGGTTGACTCTTTTTTTTTTTTTTTTTTTTTGAGGCAGAGTTTTGCTCTGTTCCCAGGCTGCTGTGTAATGGCATGGTCATAGCTCACTATAACCTTGGACTCCTGGGCTCAAGTGATACTCCTGCCTCAGCCTCCTGAGTAGCTGGGACTAAAAACACGTACATGATGCTCAGCTAATTTTTTTATTCTTTATTTTTTGTAGAGATGGGATCTCGCTATGTTTCCCGGGCTGGTCTCAAAGTCCTGGGCTCAAGCAGTCTTCTCACCTCAGCTTCCCAAAGTGCTGGGATTACTGGCATGAGCCACTGTGCCTGTCCAGAGTTCACTTGTGATGTTGTACATTCTACTGGTTTTGATAAATGTATGATGGCATGTGTCTACCATTATAGTATCACAGAGAATTGTTCCACTACACTAAAAATCCCATGTGCTCTGCTTATTCATCCCTCCTTCTCTCCCTCTAGCCCCTGACAACCACTGATGTCTTTACTGTCTCCCTAGTTTTGCTTTGCCCAGAATGTTATATAGATGGAATAATATAGTATATATTTTCACATTGGCTTCATTCACTTAGATACATGTCTTTAAGGTTCCTTCATGTATTTTTATGGCTTGACATTTCATTTCTTCTTATTGCTGAATACTATTTTATTGTTTGGGTGTGCCACAAGTTGTTTATATATTCACTTATTGAGAGACACCTTGGTTGCTTCCAAATTTGTTATTTTATTAATTTTTTTAGAGATAGGGTCTTTCTGTGTTGCCCAGGCTGGTCTCAAAACCTGGCCTTAAGTGAGCCTCCCACCTCAGCCTTTCAAGTAGCTGGTATTACAGGCTCAAGCCACCATGCTCAGCTGGTTTCTTCCAAGTTTTGTCAATTATGAGACTGATTACTTTTTTAAAAATGTATTTTTTCAAAATTATAATCATATATAATTATAGGGTACACAGTTTTCCCCCTATGTTTTCTTATAGTATGTTTTTAAAATCAGTTTCAGGTCTTGTGTTTAAGTCTTTAATCCATTTCGAGTTGTGTTTTGTATATGGTGTGACATAAGGGTCAAATCTCACTCTTCTGCATGTGGATGTCCAGTTTTCCCATTATTCTTTATTGAAGAGACTGTCTTTGCCCCATCGTGTGTTCTTGGAACCTTTGGAAAAAAAAAAATCAGTTGACTGTAAATATGTGGGTTTATTTCTGGGCTCTCTATCCTGTTCCATTGGATGATGTTTCTATTTTTATGTCAGTACCATGCTGTTTTAATTACTACAGCTTTGTAATATAGTTTGAAGTCAGGTAGAATGTTGCCTCCAGCTTTGTTCTTTTTGCTCAAATTGCCTGGGCTACTTAGGGTTTTTTTTTTTTTTTCATGTGTGTGTGGTTCTATATAAATTTCAAAATAACTTTTTCTATTTCTGTGAAAAATGTCATTGAAATGTTAATAGGGATTGCATTGAAGCTGAAGGTCATTTTGGGTAGTGTGGACTTTTTTTTTTTTCTTTTTTTTTTTGAGACAGAGTCTCGCTCTGTCACCCAGGCTGGAGTGCAGTGGCGTGATCTCGGCTCACTGCAAGCTCTGCCTCCTGGGTTCACACCATTCTCCTGCCTCAGCCTCTCGAGTGCCTGGGACTACAGGTGCCTGCCACCACACCCGGCTAATTTTTTGCATTTTTTAGTAGAGATGAGGTTTCACTGAGTTAGCCAGAATGGTCTCAATCTCCTGACCTCGTGATCTGCCTGCCTCGGCCTCCCAAAGTGCTGGGATTATAGGCATGAGCCACCGCACCTGGCCCGTAGTTGGACTTTTTAACAATATTAATTCTTCCAATCCATGAACGTGGAATATCCTTATATTTATTTATGTCTTCTTCAATTTCTTTAATCAATGTTATATTTTTCAGTGTACAGAGCTTTCATCTCATTGGTTAAACTTATTCTCCTAAGGTTTTTTTTTTTGATGGCTGTTGTAAATGAGACTGTTTTCTATATTTCTTTAGATAGTCTGTTGCTAGTGTATAGGAATGCTACTGATTTTTGCGTGTTGACTTTGTATTCTTCAACTTTACTATTTATCACTTCTAACAGTTTTTTGGTAGAGTCTTTATGGTTTTTGTCATCAGCAAACAGTGACAATTTTAAGTTTTTCCTTTCCTATTTGAATGCCTTTTACTTCTTTCTCTTACATAATTGCTCCACAAGGACATCCAGTACTACATTAAATAGAAATGATGAGAGTGGGCATCCTGGTCTTGTTCCTGATCTTAGAGAAAAAGTTTTCCATTTTTCACCATTGTGTGTAATGTTTGCTGTGGGCTTTTCATATATGGCCTTTATTATGTTGATATACATTTCTTCTATACTAATTTATTAGTGAAAGGATGTTGAATTTTATCAGATGCCTTTTCTGCATCTAATGTGGTGATCATATAGTATTTGTCCTTCATTCTGTTAATATGGTGTTCTCCATTTATAGATTTGCATGTGTTGAATCATCTTTGTATCCCTGGGATAAATTCCACTTGATCATGGTGAATGATCCTTTTAATGTGCTGTTGAATTTGGCTTATTCGTATTTTGTTGAGGATTTTTGCATCTATGTTCATCAGGGATATTGGCCTGTAATTTTCTTTTCTCATAATGTTCTTGTCTGGCTTTGGTATCAAGGTAATGCTAACCTCATAAAAAGAGTTCAAAAGTATTACATCCTCTTCGATTTTTTGGAAGAGTTCAAAAAGGATTGATATTAGTTTAAATGTTTGGCAGAATTCATCAGTAACACTTCCAGTCTTGGGCTTTTCTTTGATGGGAAAGTTTGTATTATTGATTTAGTCTTTTTGAATTACCAATTCAATTATTATTGGTCTGTTCAGATTTTCTATATCTTCTTGATTTAGTATTGGTAGGTTATATGTGGTAGGATAAATTCTAGGAATATATCCATTTCTTCTAGATTATTCAATTTATTGGCATATGGTTGTTTGTTCGTACTAATCTTTATGATTCTTTGTATTCTGTGGTATAAATCACAGTGTCTCCTCTTTTATTTCTCATTTTATTTATTTGAATCTTTTCACTTTTTTTTCTAGGTTAACCTAACTGTAGGTTTGTCGATTTTGTTTATCTTTTCAAGAAACCACTGCTGGTTTCATTGATTTTTCTTCTATTGTTTTTCTAGTCTCTATTTTATTTATTTTTGCCCTGATCTTTGTCATTTTTTTCCTTCTGCTACATTTAGGCTTTTTCTTTTTCTGCTTCCTTGAGGTATAACATAATATTATTTGTGATATTTATTCTTTTCTGATAGACTGCAGGGGTCCCCAACCCTTGTGACCTGTTAGGAACTGGACCACACAGCAGGAGGTGAGTGGCAGTACCACCTGAGCTCCACTTCCTGCCAGATCAGTGGCAGCATTAGAGTCTTATAGCAGAGCGAACCCTATTGTGAACTGCGCATGCGAGGGATACAGGTTGTTCACTCTTCATGAGAATCTAACTAATGCCTGATGATCTGAGGTGGAACAGTTTCATCCTGAAACCCTACCTGCTTCCTTCCTGTCTTCCACCAAACTGGTCCCTGGTGCATAGAGCCATTTATTGCTATAAATTTCCCTCTTAGAATTGCTTTTGCTGCATCCCATAAGTTTTGGTATGTGTTGTGTTTTCATTTTTGTCTCAAGATATTTTTAAATTTCGCTTTTGATTTCTTCTTTGACTCATTGGTTGTTTAGTAACATGTTAATTTCCACATATTTGTGAATTTTCCAAGATTTCTCCTGTTACTGAGTCCTAGTTTCATAGCATTATTATCAGAGAAGATACTTGAAATTATTTCACTTCTCTTAAATTTGTCCAGACTAGTTTTGTGGCCTAACATATATAATAAAGGTATATATTTTTCATTTATTAAACAATTATATATTTGATACCTTTTATATATGCCAGGCACTGTTTTTGGTACCTGACCTAGAGAAAGTTCCATGTGCTCTTGAGAAGAATCTGTATTCTGTTGCTGTTGGATGGAAAATTCTACATATGTCTGTTAGGTCCATTTGGTCTAAAGTGTAGCTCAAGTTCAATATTTGCTTATTAATTTTGTTTATTTTTTATGTAATCTTAAAGTTTACCTACAATATAAAAACTTTAGCATGAAATATATATATATTTTATTTAAGTTCCAGGATACATGTGCAGAATGTGCAGGTTTGTTACATAGGTAAACGTGTGCCATGGTGGTTTGCTGTACCTATCAACCTATCACCTAGGTATTAAGCCCCGCATGCATTAGCTATTTATCCTGATGCTCTCCCTCCCCTGCTCCCCAACAAGCCCCAGTGTGTGTTGTTCCTCTCCCTGTGTTCATGTGTTCTTATTATTCAGCTCCCACTTACAAGTGAGAACATGCAGTGTTTGGTTTTCTGTTCCTGTGTTAGTGTGCTGAGGATAATGGCTTCCAGGTCCATCCACGTCCCTGCAAAGGACATGAGTTCATTTCTTTTTATGGCTGCATAGTATTCCATAGTGTAGACGAGCATGAAATATTTTCATTTTCTTATTTATGTATTCATTTTTATTTTTTGAGATGGAATCTTGCTCTGTCATCCAGGCTGTAGTGCAGGGGTATGATCTCGGCTCACTGCAACCTCCACCTCCCGGGTTCAAGCAATTCTTCCTGCCTCAGCCTCCCAAGTAGTTGGGATTACAGGCACCTGCCACCCATGCCTACCTAATTTTTGTAGTGTTAGTAGAAATGCGGTTTCACCATGTTGGCTAGGCTGGTCTTGAACTCCTGACCTCAGGTGATCCACCCGCCTCGGCCTCCCAAAGTGCTGGGATTTACAGGCATGACCCACTGTGCCTGGTCTGAGCATGAAATATTTTAAATAAATATTTTTTAAAAAGGTATCTCAATTTTCCAAAAACTTGAAATCTATTTTAGTTTACCAGTACAAAATAAATGTGATTTAAAAAAAAAATTTACACAAGATTTACATGGTTGTCCTAAAATTTAAATGATGTGGATTTATGTGGAGTAAAAGATGTAAGTTCTTTCTGTCCTCTTAATACCATAGTCCTATACATTTTTTCCTATGCATGTAACATGTATATATATTGAAAATACATGTAATATAATCCCTTATTATTTTAAAAAAACCTATACATTCCCATGTAGTTACATTTATCTCTGTCATTTGTGAAGATGGGATCATGCCACACATATTATTCTGCAACTTAAAAAAATTTCACTGTATTGTATATTGTGGATATCTTTTGATGGCAGTGAGTGTTCTTTTAAATCACTGCAGAATATTCAGATTTATAGACAAATTATAATTTATTTAATCATTCATCTATTACTGGGCATTCAGCTTTCTGCAGTTTTTTTGCTATTATGAATCTCGTTGCAGTGAGTATCCTTGTATACATAATATGTGTATCTTTTTCATTTATTAAACAATTATATATTTGATACCTTTTATATATGCCAGGCACTGTTTTAGGTACTAGAATTCAGCAGTGACCAAGAAATAAGGTTTAATTTCTTGTGTGGGAAGACCCACAATAAAGAAACAATAAACAAGATACAAGATACTTTCAAATAGTAGTAAGTGCCGTGAAGGCAATAAATAAGGTCTTGCAGAAGAGAGTGGTGGTTTTCCAATTCTAGATGGGGTAATCAGGGAAAGGCTTTCCATGGAGGTGACTTCTAAGCTAAGAGATGCATGGTGAAGAGGAGGCTGTCAGTGCAGAGGGTCTGGGAAGAGCTTTCTGTGCAGAGGCAACAGCAAACAGCCATGCACCAGTGCAGGTAGTGGGATCATCTGCCTGGTGCAGGCATTATGGGCACATTGTATATAGGGAATTTGAAAACAACAGGAAAACCAACTAAAAGTTGGCCTGCTTTTCTTTCTTTCTTTTATTATTATTATTATTTTTTTGAGATGGAGGCTCACTCCAGCGCCCAGGCTGGAGTGCAATGACAGGATCTCTGTTCGCTGCAACCTCTGCCTCCCAGGTTCAAGCAATTCTCCTGCTTCAGCCTCCCAAGTAGCTGGAATTACAGGCACCCACCACCACGCCCAGTTAACTTTGTTTTTTTTTTTTTTTTGTATTTTTAGTAGAGACAAGGTTTCACCACATTGGCCAGCCTGGTCACGAATTCCTGACCTCGGGTGATCCACCTGCCTCAGCCTTCCAAAGTGCTGGGATTAAAGGCATGAGCCACCGTGCCCGGCCTGCTTTTCTTATTTTTTTTCCTCTTTTTGCCCTTATTTTATTTTTGTAGAGACGGGGTCTCACTGTGTTGCCCAGCCTGTTGTCGAACTTCTGGTTTCAAGCAATCCTCCAGCCTTGACCTCTCAAAGCACTGGGATGACAGGCATGAGCCACTGCACCCAGCACGGTCTGCTTTTGATTATCACCATGCACCAGCAATTCTAACCAATAAAATACTGTGCCTTATTTCCCTCCCGCTCCATGCCACTGACATGAGATATGTGCTATTCCCCATATTTTTGAAGTGTTGATTCCTGGATATGGGTCAAAGGCTGTCTGCAATTTAAATTTAAACTTTGGATTCACTTTTAATTATAAAAATTATCAAGTGTTTTTCAAAACATACTGAGTAAACTAAGGCCTCGTGGCTGAGGAAGTTTTGCTCTCTTCTGTGCTTTTGTAAGTAAAAAAATTGTATTGATTTAAGTAATTTAAGTGAATCAAGCCAATTACAAAATATTAAGAAATGGAAATTAAATAAAATCACCCATAAACCTACCGTTTGAAAACAAATTTGGACAATATTTTGATGCATAATGCAAGTTTGTATTTCTCTTTCTCTTTTTTGGGGCAAGGGTCAGCTAACTAAACATTTGGTTTGATATTCTTCAGAGTTAGGTTGTAACTCTCTATATATACATAGTTGTATATATACTCTCTCTATATAGTATATAGGCTTACTACTATAAAACCATGTGTTATAGGTTTACTACTATAAAACCACTCCTGGTTGGCCCTTCGTCTGTGGCAGGTACTTTTGACTGGGCTGCTAAAGTCAAGCTCCCTGGGCTTTAAAAAAAAAAAAATCCTCAAAAATCAGTCAATACTGCCTGAGATCACCTGTTTTAACTCCAATAAGGTTCTAGAGCAAGCATCTCATTCGGTCACGTGAAGGTGGCATACCTGGGTGGTGGTGGAACTCAGTTGCAGAACTGGGCTTCAAAAATATTCATAAGTCAGTGCTTATATTGGATTATGACTTTTTAGGATGCTTTTTTTTTTTTTTTTAATGAGACAGGGTCTGACTATGTTGCACAGGCTGGTCTTGAACTCCTGGGCTCAAGCAATCCACCTGCCTCGGCCTCCAAAAGTCCTGAGATTACAGGCATGAGCCACCGCACCCAGCCAGGATATTTTTGAATAGTTAAAGTATTTTATCATGATAATGTTTTCATTCAGTAAATGTTTATTATGTGTATTTCGACGTCCCTCTGCTAGGTGCTAAGGGGCATAAGATGATTAAAGGGGTTGTGAAAAGTCCAGTCTAACTGGGGTGAGAGAGGTAGGCAGGTAAATTAGCACAGGTTGGAAGCACAGGGGTAGAGTTTGGGAATGAAGCTCTGGGGCAGCACAGTGGGAAGAGTGCTCCTCCTGCCTTGGGGAACAGGACAGGCCTTGCCTCTCCTTCTGGCTTCCTCTGTCACTATTCATCTCGCAGGCTTTTCTGTCCTCTGCCACAAGTGCTCTTCCTCCCTGAGGACTTTTGCAGAAGTTCTTTCCTCTGCCTGGAATGGATGCTTCCTTCTTGTCTCCACGCCTTGCTGATTGCTCCCCACTCTTTCATTCCCCACTTGCTGTGTTGTAGCCCCTCACTGTGTGCTCTGCTTCCTGACATCATTTAGCACGGCTGCTGTGAAAGGATGACTTGCTGGATATTCCCCACCTCCCCCTCAAGAGAATGCTTTCAGCTGTAAGTAACAGAAAACTGATAAACAAGTGGCTCGACAAATGGTGGTTTATTCTCAAATATATAGGGGACTGGAGGTCAGTAGCCACTGGTGCTTGTTGAGCTGTCATCAGTGTCAGGATCGTGTCTGTAGGATTCTCTTGTCCTTTCCCTCATGGTTATAAGATGGCTGTCCCAGCTTCAAGTGCACCCACACTCAAGGCTGGGGGAAGGGATGGCTCTGGGTCTTTTCCTTTTTATCTGGAAAGCAAACTCTTTCCCAGAAGCTGGCAGCACACTTCTATGTGTGTGCTATTGTCCATCCCTGGCAGTAATCAGCTTTTTCAGCCACTCATAAGGATGAAAGGGAGAGGGGGGAGAGGTATTAAGACTAGTGTTGTGTTTGCCATTCAACAATGCCATCTACACTTCTCAAGACTGTAAGCTCCTTAAAGGCAGGGATTGTCTGTCCTTTTCTTCTTTGAATTCCCAGTGCCTTGCACAGTACCTGGCACATAGAGTGAATGGTGACAAGCATGTCAGAAAGAGAAGGTGGAATAAGGACCTTTCAGGAGAAGAGAATGTCAGATACGAAGGCATTGAGCTGAAAGAGCCTTCATTGTGTTTTTGGGAACATGTGACTGGAACATAGGCAGATGACAGACTACTGGAAACTGAAAAGCTCTGCATATCATGTGAATTTGTCCTTCTGTCAGCAATGGGGAGTCGTTGAAAAGTTTCAGGCCAGGGAGTGACACAATAGTATTTGTGGGTTAGATTACTGTGTTGAAAATATGGGCTAAGAACTGGAAGAAGGGAGATTGGAATCAAGGAGATTAATTAACCATATCATACTGTGGTTTCATCAAAGAGAGTAAGAATAATTTGGAAGATTGGAAAATATAATTTTAAAATAACCTAGAACAATGATCTCAAAGTAGGACCTTGGATCAGTAGCATCAGCATTACCTGGCACCTTGTTAGAAACGTAAATTCTTGGGGTCCACATTGAGCCTACTGAATCCGGAGCCCAGGGTAAGTTCCAGCAGTGTGAGTTCATAAGCCCTCCAGGTGACTGTGATCCACATGAAAGCTTCAGAGCCACTAAACTAGAGCAATGGATGCTTAAGGGTGAAAGACAGCTTGGAGATCACCCAATCTGATACAGCCAATCTGCATATCAGAATCACCTGGGGAGCTTTTACATGGCAACTAAATTGCCCACACCTCCTACTCCACACAGCAGAACAACTAAATCATGATCTTGGGGGCTGGGACCCGTGCATCAAATTATTTCCAATGATCTCAAGTGTTTCCAATGAGCAGCCAGGTCTGAGTACCATTGGTCTTATCTAACCCCTATTGATGGGAAAACTCAGGATTCAAAGAGGAGTTACTCAAGGGCGTATAGCAAGCTCAGGTAAGAACTGGGTCCTTGAATCAATTTCATAAGCTGTCATCTCCATGAATGCCTTAAACACTATCCCAACTTTTTAATTTTTAAATTATATTAAAAACTTTTGTGGCTACATAGTAGGTATACATGTTCTATCCTAACTTTTTAATGATTTGCCTGAAGATAATCATTCACGGTGACAAATACAACTGCCAAATTTTTAGAAGAAAAATAGGTTACAGACATTATGAAAAAGTCAGTTCTCTTTTACATGAACAGTATTACACACTTTAAAAAGTTATCCTTTTTGTAAATATTTTGTAAGAATACGTATTTTTAACAATAATGAAAAGAATATAGATACAATAGGGTAGAGAGTGCTTTGTTATTTGTGTGTATAAGTAATAACCCTTTTTTCAAACTCTAGATGGAGCTCTTTGGTTTTTATATATTCTTTTATTTATAATTTGGTAAGTCTTTGTTTTAAAAGAAGCAGCTATTTTGGGATTTTTTTAAAAACATTAAAAATTTTATAATAAGTATTCTCAACATTTCTCAGCTCTCCTTTTCTTGTTGTTTCACAACCATATAGATTCTTACTTTTTTTTGTTATTGTTCAATTGCTGGACCAAATCCAAATTCAGGCCTCAGAGAGTCATTTCTCAAATGCATCTTAAAGTTGTATTTTATCTCACAGTATTTAACGAATGGGATAAGTTTCCCATGTTTATTGTTTGTAATAGGTCTCAAAGTTGTAATAGAATTTGTGTAAGATGGACCTCCCTTTATGAATAATGCCAGGAGAGAAAGTCTCTGAGGATATTATAGCTGTTGCTATAGTAATTCCTTCAGCTATTTTTACCCCACTGTGTACAAAGGAGTGTTAACAGCTACCTTCTTGTAACATAAATGAAACATTTTGCTGCTGCTTCTTTTTCTTTTCCGTTTTACTAGCTCAGTATTCTCTCTTCTATTGGAAGTGCACTTGGAGCAAAATTCCCAAAATATGAGGCCTGTTGTTTTTAATGGTATAAGCCTGTGGTGTGGTTCCTAGGCCAGCAGCAGCACCATGGATATCACCTGGAAGTTTGTTAGAAATGCAGATTCTCGGCTCCCACCCTAGACGTACTGAATCAGAAACCCTGGGGATGGGGCCCAACAATCTGTTTTGAAAGGCTGTTTTGAAAGGATAAAAATCCTGTACTCACCGGAACCTACATAAAAAAATTTCCTCCTGTACAGGCCAGGCATGGTGGCTCACCCCCATAATCCCAGCACTTTTGGAGGCCAGAGGGGGAAGATTGTTTGAGCCCAGGAGTTGGAGACCAGCCTGGGCAACATAGGGAGATGCCCATCTCAACAACAACAAAAACAACAACAACAAAAAATCAGAAAGTTAGCCGGGCGTTGTGATGCACACCTGTGGTCCCAGCTGCTTAGGAGACTAAGGTGGGAGGATTGCTTGAGCCTGAGAAGTCAAGGCTGCGGTGAATCGTGATCACCGCACCCCAGTCTGGAGCCAGAGTGAGACCCTGTCTCAGAAAAGAAAAAGAAAAATTACTCTGTACAGTCACTTTTGCTCGTTTTGGATTTGTCCAGTGCTTTTCAAATCACCCAGGGCTTTTGTTAAAAGGAATAATTTTCATTCAGTAAGTTTGAGGTGGAGCCTGATATTCTGCCTCTAACAAACTCCCAAACAGTATGGATTTTGCTTGTCCCCGGATCACATTTTGAGTGGTGAGGCCAAATAGCACATAGTAAGGCCATAACCATGCCTGCATGTGAGTTATCTGTGATTTATGTGTATATGCTTTTGATTTAGTATACCTAAAGTCAGTTTTTCCTTTTCAATCACAGTGGGAAGAGACAATTTATAGAATGTAATGCTTTCTTGTCTAATTGTAAGTGACTCAATCATATTAAATGCTACAAGAGGGTATTGTTTGCCAGGATCTGTCTCTGAGACCCTCTGTTATAATCAGCAGTGGACACCCTTGAAAATTACATTATTTAAAAAACTGAGACTCATTCATAGCATTATGAAGTCAGAGAGAAAGTCCTGAAGTTTGAAGAAGTTTTCAGACAAAATAATTTCAGACAAAAAGAAGTGGTTCATAAATGTTTGTTATCGGCTGGGGGCGGTGGCTCACGCCCGTAATCCCAGCACTTTGGGAGGCCTAGGGGGGTGGCTCACCCAAGGGCAGGAGTTTGAGACCAGCCTGGCCAATGTGGTGAAACCCCGCCACTACTAAAAATACAAAAAATTAGCCAGGTGTGTTGGTGGATGCCTGTAATGTCAGCTACTAGGGAGGCTGAGGCAGGAGAATCGCTTGAACCCAGGAGACAGAGGTCGCAGTGGGCCGAGATTGCACCATTGCACTCCAGCCTGGCCACCAAGAGCAAAACTCTGTCTCAAAAAAAAAAAGTTATCATTCACTTATTATTTACTGAGCATCTGCCGTGGGGAGCATTGTGCTAGGCACTTTAGGAAATTTTTTTAAAAAGGATAAAGTCCTTGACCTTGAGGAGATAACAGTCTAGCTGAGGCAATAAAACTTATGCCTGTGAAAGTTAATTACCAAAATAGGGAGTATTCTGTCAAATGGTAAAGAAGCGTGGTAGAATTTCGGAAGACCAAAGGATAGCTAATGGCTGGTAAGGCTGAAAGAGGGATCTGATTAGGGCTTTGGAGCATGTATAGAACTTAGACATTCAGAGGAGAGGGAAGGTGGGGGAATGCTCCATGGAAGAGAGATGGCATGGGTCAGGGTGAAGCTTCTAGGAGTGAATCATGGATGCACACAGGAACTGGGGAGAAGTTCAGATGACATGAATCTTAACTTCTTGTCTAGGAGCCAGATAGGTGAGGATTTAACTGCCAGGCTTTTGAGTTTTGACTTAGTCCCTTGTGCACCAAGGAATCATTGAAGAATGCTTTCAGCTGGGGGCAGGGTGACCCAATCATAATGATGATTTAGGAGGAGTCATTAATGGAATATTCAGGATGAATTCAAATGACAGACTGGAGGCTGAAACACTTGTTGGTAGGCACCGGCACTGGGTACATAGGGAAGAGAGAAGACTGCAGGAAATACAGTAAGGAAGAGAACTGGCAAAGGGACAATATAAACTGAAAATATAAACAGATTAATGAGAAGTTAAGAAAAATTAATTCATATGAATGGAAACCAGGGGTGTTTGGGACCACATTTGTCCTTTTGAGGTGCCTCTTGTGGCAAACAGCGTTTTTTTGTTTTGTTATGTTTTTGTTTTTAGTTCTGGGATACATGTGCAGAACGTGCAGGTTTCTTAGATAGGTATACATGTGCCATGGTGGTTTGCTGCACCTATCAACTTATCATCTAGTTTTTAAGCCCCACAGCCATTAGGTATTTGTCCTAATGCTCTCCCTCCTCTTGCCCCTCACCCCCGTGACAGGCCTGGGTGTGTGATGTTCCCCTCCCTGTGTCATGTGTTCTCATTGTTCAGCTCCCGCTTATGAGTGAGAACTTGGGATGTTTAGTTTTCTGTTCCTGTGTTAGTTTGCTGAGAATGATGGCTTCCAGCTTCATCCATGTCCCTGCAAAGGACATGAACTCATTCCTTTTTATGGCTGTATAGTATTCAATGGTGTATATGTGCTATATTTTTTTTTATCCAGTCTCTTATTGATGGGCATTTGGGTTGGTTCCATGTCTTTGCTATTGCAAGTAGTGAAACAGCCTTATTTTCTAACTAACCATCTTGGAGACACTGTATAGACTAGTTGATTTCAGTGGCATTACCTTGCTAACGATTTGAAGTTGATATATTATTTCACTCACATTTACCTTTTTGGTTTTGTATCTCCTTTTAGGGTCCTCTGCCTTATTTCCTGCAATCATGAATATGTTTTGAATACTGCTAGTCACAAATTCCAAAGCTGGCCATTCATTGTTAGTTAGTACTTTCAGAACAATTGTCTTAAAATTTTAGATCTAGAAGGGACCTGAGAGGTCATCTGGTCTGTCTGTCTGTCTGTCTCTCTCTTTCTCTGTGTGTGTGTCTGTCTCTCTCTGTCTCTCTCTCTTTCACTCTCTCTCTCTCTCTCTCTCACACACACACACACACACACACACACACACACACACATTAGAGACAACCAAAGTCTTCTAAGACTTGAGGCAAAGGAAAGTACACTTGAAGGCAATACTATATGATGCCCCATCCATGTTAAGATGGTTCACAGAGCTGATCTGACCTGATCATTGGTGCCTTAGACTGGAGAGGAGACTGGGTGCCAGGAGAGCAAACCAGTCTTCCTGTTAGTTTCTTCCCTACCCCTGCCCCAAGGGAAAGTCAGTGCATCTTGGACTCTGGATGAAGGAATCTTCTGGCGGAAATCTAAGGAGTTTATATATATCTATTTTAAATCAATGATTACCGGCCATTTTACAGAGGGTTATCTCTCTAAAAGTCCTAGAAACCCATGTAAGCATATTGAATCAGAGCTATTCAGCCTGACTTGTTGCAGAAAACATACTGCCTTAATCCACCAAAACACACACATGTGACACTGCATTCTAAAAGTTTGAAGTTTTACATTCAGTTTAAACAACCATCCAGCAATATCAGACCCTGGTCCATTGGCTTAGTGGTGCCTCATTCTTAATGCTCTTATCTAGGTGCAGCCTCAATTACTGCCTGGTTAGTCAGTCAAGGAAACCAAAGTGTGTGCGCTCCACTTGACCATGGTGTTGTCAGAGAGCACCCAGAGGGCCATGTAGTCTTTGATACAGCATGAGGTGATGCATTTGATTATTACCTGTGTCCTCTGGGCAAGCATTTATTCATTCCACAAATATTATAAAGTATCTGCTATATGTCAGGCAGAGTGTTGGGAACTGTGGATACAAAGATGAGTAATACAGTCTCTGCCCTCAAGGACTTGAGGAAAGATGGATGGGTAGACACAGAAGAATGTGTATACAGAATGAAGTAAGACATGGAGGATTTGATCCAGAAAACTCTTGAGACTGAATAAAGGATTTTAACTTTTGTACAAACTGAGATCCTCCTGTTTGCCCTGTCAATGCCAAGGCGACCTACATTCAGATACTGTGACTTTAAAAAAATTGCTCATTATCATGTCCACATCTCCAGTTTGGCTGACACATCTGTCCTTGTGAAATATGCCAAGCACAGGATAAGATAATCTCTGAATTTGGACCCAGTCAAGTGCTTGAGTTCGATGCCAAGATGGTTAGGCTACCTTGCTACTCACCTTGAAGATTTCTCATAATGATGGAAACTTACTTCAAGATTCTATAGCAATTTGGCTTTTGTATCCCCACCTTCCAAGCCCCCCACCTCCATTTCTTAGTCTCACATTTGCCACCCCAGTTCGCTGGCAATGCTCATCTCACAAGGCTAACAGATGCAGCTCACAAGCCAGGAGGGCAGCAGGCAGGCCCTCTTGATAAAGGACTCTTAAAATTTATTTTAATTTTTCTTTTTTTGTGTGAGGTATTTTCCAGTGAAAACCAGAAAACCTGCTGGACAAATTCTGAAAAAGCTGTAACTTTTTTTTTTTTTTAATGCTTCAGGCAATTCCATTTGATCTGGCCATCACCAAAGCTACTGGTAATCCATAGGACCCTTCCTCATGACGGCATCTATCGACCTGTGACCTTTTGCCTCCAGCTCTTACTGAACAAAAAAAGCACCCAGTGTATCACCACTCATTTCCTCAGCAGTCTGCTATATTTAGTTTGTCAAAGTGTTTTTGGATCTTGATTCAGTTATCTAACATGTTCATTGTTTCTCCTAGCTCATCAACTGAGAAATTTGATAAGGATCATTTCTATATCATTGTCCAAATAATTGAGGACAGCTTTGAACAGCACAGGGCCCAGTAGCACAGTCTAGACAACACTCTCCTCTGATACATTTATAATCATATCTGAAAAGATATAATGGTGGCAATCTTTTGGACACTGTATTACAAAAAATCTCAAATCCAGAGAAAAGACAGAGAATAGCGTAATACCCACATTTAGATTTCACAGTTGTAGTATTTTTCTATATTTGTATCACAAATGTTATATAGATACAGATTTTTTTTTCTGATTTGGATAAATTTGCTGTAAGAGACATTTGGGGGAGGAACTACTGAGGCATTTGAATATGGCCTGGGTATGAAAGAACGTTAAGGAATTAGTATTATATTTGTTATGTGTGATATCATCATGGTTATGTAGGAAAGTGTCTTTATTTTTTATAGCTGTATACTGAAGTATTTGGGTGAAATGTTATGATATCCATAATTTTATTTAAATACTTTGGGCTTTTATAAACAATAATTCAGAGGGAAGAGAGTTGTGTAGGAGATATCTAAAGAGGTTCAGAGAGAATGGCTAATTGTTTATCAGTCTGTGATGGAATTGTTTTGAGTTTGGAATATTTTGATAAGTTCTAAATAATAAGCCAGTTTTAAAAAATTACCACATAATATGAAAGACAGAAGTCTTCATCCTGTTCTTGGGCCCAGTGCCACCCCAGAGCCTCATTCCATCCCATTTCTCCATCCCAATTATTACTGTCATTTTTTATAAAAATTGCTTCTATATTTTGATGTACATTTCTCAAAACTGTTTTGTCAAAATATTCACTTTTTCCATTGTCTTCAGACAAAACCACTGTGTCAAATCTGCTGTGTCCAGGCCAGGCACAGTGGCTCACACCTGTAATCCCAGCACTTTGGTAGGTTGAGGTGAGCAGATCACTTGAGGTCAGGAGTTCAAGACCAGCCTGGCCAACATGGTGAAACCACGTCTCTACTAAAAAAATAAAAAAATCACCCAGGCGTGGTGGTACATGCCTGTAATCCCAGCTACTTGGGAGGCTGAGGGAGGAGAATCACTGAAACCGGGAAGCAGAGGTTGCAGTGAGCAGAGATCACGACATTGCACTCCAGCCTGGGCCACAGAAGCAGACTCCGTCTCAAAACCAAACAAAATAAAATAGAATAGAATAAAATAAAATAATAAAATAATCTGCTACATCCAAATGTCCAATAAAGGAAAAAAGCCACATGAACCGTGAGTTAGAAACCATAAAAAGTAATTGGATATTACCAAGAGAAGTGTTACTAATATAATTTCAGATACATTACGGGGATAATATTTAGACAGGTGTAGTAGAGCCATTATTGTTATATATCAGCTGAGTTATTTTAAAATAGATATAGTAATCATTGAATTAAAGAAACCCAATGAATTTTAAAAAGAGAAAGAGCAGTGAAAATGAACATACAGTATCTCTTGGGAAAATGTAAAATGGATGATAAAACAGGAAGACTGTAGAGGGTGTATTATAGATAACACATTAATTGTAATTGTATTAGAAATAGAATTTTAAGCATTGCCATTTTCTGGATAGCTGAGGATGACAAAGTCAAAATTTTTAGTGCATGCTTTCACTTAAATGGCCTATAAAATAGACAACTGAGGTGAAACACTGGTAAGATGAGCCAAAGCTTTATTTTTGGCGTCATTTTCCTTTAAACCTGTTGGGATTTGTAAAGCTTGGTTTTCCTGTCCAAAGAACCAATCAGGAGTGTTACAGAAGAATTTTTCTACCTAAATAATTTTGAACGCTATTCTTTCTAAAGTATGTTAGACTTATCGCTTACCTTTTTCCCCACAGAATGGAAGCTATTTAGCAGAGGTTGGCCTTTTTCTGATGACTCCAGTAGATAGTTTCAGCAGTGAATCTTCCAGGGCTAATTAGCATGTGTGGTGCCATTGGAGTTGCATGCTTGCGTTCTTGGGTCCTGGTGTGTTGTTCCTCTTTGTTAGGTCTGTCTGATTTTGATCTGTTTCTTTGATGCTTGGAGCACACCCATGAGAGCCTCCCCTATCCCCCTTTGACTTCAGTTTCAAATTTATGGACATTACTGAAATAAATACACACATGCTCACCTTCGTTTGGATCCTACATCAAAAAATGTGATAAACAATCCTCAGCCTCTAGAATTTTTTTTTTTAAGAGAGAATAGGTCTTGCTATGTTGGCCATGATGGCCTCATGCAACCCTCCTGCCTTGGGTTCCCAAAGTGCTGAGATTACAGGCATGATCCACTTCACCTGGCCAACCTCTAGGAATTTGATGTAAGTCTAGCTACTACCTACCAGCCATATCCATGTACTCTAGACAACATTTTTGACAAACAGTGCACAGGAAAGGCCCATGAAACTTACGGTTTTTTTTCCATCGAGAAAAATATTGCCTTCTATTTCTATAAGTTAATTTTATTTTTCAATAATTCTAATAATTAATGAAATAATACCTGGATGCTAAGAGTCAAACAGTGCTAAAAATATTTAAAAACCAGCAACTACTGCCTCTTCAACCCATCCCATCCCACTCCTCAACAATAGTTTTAGCGATTTTTTTGAGTATTCCTCCTAATTTCAGATTAACTGGTATCTCTTAAATCATTAACTTTAGATATTATCTGGTGACTTTTTACCGTGATAGACAAATCTATTGATGTCCTATTATGATAGATGAAGATGTGACTCTTAAACTAGTCTTTCCTTCCCTCATTTCCTCATTATGCTTTTATATGACTTTTGGTTAATGCATCAGCAGTCAGTTTTTATATTTTTAGAACTATGTAAGTTGTGTCCTAAGGTGCCCTCAAGGAGGAATCTGGCTCCAGTTGTTCATTTCTTCTTTTTATTTTGAGACAGACTCTCACTCTGTTGCCCAGGCTGGTGTGCAGTGGCGCGATCTTGGCTCACTGCAACCTCCACCTCTTGAGTTGAAGTGGTTCTCCTGCCTCAGCCTCCCGAGTAGCTGGGATTACAGGTGTGTGTCACCATGCCTGGCTCATTTTTGTATTATTAGTAGAGACGGGGTTTCACCATGTTGGCCAGCCTGGTCTCGAACTCACAGCCTCAAGCAGTCTGCCTGCCTCCGCCTCCCAAAGTGCTGGGATTACAGGCATGAGCCACCACGCCTGGCCAGTTCATTTCTTCTTTTAGCGTTTTGTGACACTTGGTGATACTTGGTTGCCAATACCAGGTGATAGAAAAACTTTACCTCCAAATCCTGTTGCAGAAATTTTTCTTAAAACAGTTTTTTTTTTTTTTTAAAATCACAGAATAGACACAGTCTCTTAGGCGGTTGGAAGTATATTCACATCTCCAGCTAGATGGGAAAATCTTGTGGGCAGGGATTGTAATATGACTTTGGGATTGTAATATGACTTCGTAAAGAACAGGGATTTTTAAAAGGAAAGGTTAAGATTTGGATAGGCAAAAGGAAGGAGGATATGCTTTATACTTTTGGTCTCTTGACCTTATCTGAAGGCCTGGAACTCCTGTAATGAAGTAGTTACACAGTCAAAGGTGGGAGGAGGGTCTGTTAGCATCCATCTGCAGGTCTCAGTAATTCTCCACTGCCTGACACAATCACCTCCTCACTGCCCCTGTGAGGTGCAGCGCCATCCAAGTCAATCACAGGGAAATGCCAGGGCTCACTTTGTTTATTTACTGGAGTGGCTGGTTGTACTGGGAGGCTATCAAGACTATCGGGAGGGCTCGGCATTTCATACTCTTTGGGCTGCCTTCTGTGTGTATGTGACAGATCCTGGGCCGGGATCTCTGAGCCAGAGCTCCTCTCAAGGTTAACCTTGTACATCCCCCTCCCCATATGTGATCAGCAGGGGACAGGCTGGAGTGCGCAAGCCGGAGTGCACATTCCCAAAGGTTCACGCTGGCCTTCCTTCGTGTCTGCTGTCCAGCCCCAAATACGACCCTTTTAATCTCATAAAACTACTCAGAAGGGCTTCAAACATAAAGAAATACAGTCCACAGCTTTCCTCCCCATACTGAAGATAGCGAATGGAATATGGGAATGTTATCGGGGGGCGAGCTGTTACCCATCCACTAAGAGCCCTAGTTCCTGATGGCCAAATGCATATCTTCTCTATTAAGCAAATTTATCTGCCAAAAAGCTGTGTTATGCCAAAAAGTTATGTCCACAAATTTAGGACACTATCTTGTGTCGTTTGTGGTTGTATAAGAATCACAATGTGGCGTTGGTTGCTAAATACATTATTAACCTGTTTGAGAGCAACTCTGTTGTTTTCTTTGCTCATGAAGGTCAATTTTCACCAGTAGAAGCATTACAAATTTAACTTGAGGATCTTAGTTTTTTTTTCCTGTAAGAGCTTTTTTCACCCCTTTCATTAGTAATTCTAAAAATTTTGAACTGGAAATTTTAATAATAGAGTAAGTAAATCTAAGCTTCTTTGGAAGTTGTACTTGTCAGTTCTATTTTTCGGTGTCTTAGGAAACAAGTTAAAAACGGCTTTTTAGTTCTTAATACATTTCTAATTACAGTTCTTTCTCCTCTTTAAGGGGCTTGCTTTTCTTTAAAAAGGTGCCGTTTTCTTTCCCTGTACTAATTGGAATGTTGGTTTTAAAAATTGATATTCTTGGGTTGGGTGTGGCGGTTCACACCTGTAATCCTACCACTTTAGGAGGTTGAGGGAGGAGGATCTCTTGAGCCTAGCAGTGCAAGATCAGCCTAGTCAACATAGGGATACCCCATCTCTACAAAAATAAAAAATACAATTAGCCAAGGATGGTGGGATGTGTCTGTAGTCTCAGCTACTCAGGAGGCTGAGGCAGGAAGGATCCCTTGAACCCAGGAGTTTGAGGCTGCAGTGAGCTATAATTGTGCCACTGCACTTCAACCTGGGTAACAGAGCGAGACCCTGTCTCTAGAAAAATAAAAATTATATTCCTTCTAACCATGGTCATTAAAAAAATATGTATATAAATATACACATGTATATATATTTGCTTGCAAAGAGACAAAAGTCATTACTTAAGGCAAAGCTTTTAAAATTGAAGATGTTTCATATGATCATGTGCTTTGTTTATGAACACATTTGTACCAACTGAAGTGTTGGCCTTGGTTGAATTTCCTTCTTTTCTCCAAATCATCAAAACTGATGAAATGTCAATCATGTTGACCAATTTTTCACAACAATGTGTGTAACCCATGGCAGTGAAGGGTGTGAAGACAAATTTAGCTTCCACACCTGGAGAGGGAGCAGTATGTGGATGAGTAGAATAAATTGAACTCTACTAATCTCTTTTTTCTTTTATTTATTTATTATTATACTTTAAGTTCTAGGGTACATGAGCACAATGTGCAGGTTTGTTACATATGTATACATGTGCCATGTTGGTTAGCTGCCCACCACCCACTGACAGGCCCCTGTGTGTGATGTTCCCTGCCCTGTGTCCATGTGTTCTTACTGTTCCATTCCCACCTATGAGTGAGAACATGTGGTGTTTGGTTTTCTGTTCCTGTGATAGTTTGCTGAGAATAATGTTTCCCAGCTTCATCCATGTCCCCGCAGAGAACATGAACTCATCCTTTCTTATGGCTGCATAGTATTCCATGGTGTATATGTGCCACATTTTCTTAATCCACTCTATCATTGATGGACATTTGGGTTGGTTCTAAGTCTTTGCTATTGTGAATAGTGCCGCAATAAACATATGTGTGCATGTGTCTTTATAGCAGCATGTTTTATAATCCTTTGGTTATATACCCAGTAATGGGATCGTTATGTCAAATGGTATTTCTACTTCCAGGTCCTTGAGGAATTGCCACACTGTCTTCCACAATGGTTGAACTAATTTACACTCCCACCAACGTGTAAAAGCATTCCTATTTCTCCACATCCTCTCCAGCATCTGTTGTTTCCTGACTTCTTAATGATCGCCATTCTAACTGGTGTGAGATGGTATCTCATTGTGGTTTTGATTTGCATTTCTCTGATGACCAGTGATGATGAGCATTTTTTCATGTGTCTGTTGGCTGCATAAATGTCTTCTTTTGAGAAGTGTCTGTTTATATCCTTTGCCCACTTTTTGATGGGGTTGTTTTTTTCTTGTAAATTTGTTTGAGTTCTTTGTAGATTCTGGATATTAGCCCTTTGTCAGATGGGTAGATTGCAAAAATTTTCTCCCGTTCTGTAGGTTGCCTTTTCACTCTGATGGTAGTTTCTTTTGATGTGCAGCTCTTTAGTTTAATTAGATCCCATTTGTCTATTTCGGCTTTTGTTGCCATTGCTTTTGGTGTTTTAGTCATGAAGTCCTTGCCCATGCCTATGTCCTGAATGGTATTGTCTAGGTTTTTTTCTAGGGTTTTATGGTTTTAGGTCTAACATTTAAGTCTTTAGTCCATCTTGAATTAATTTTTGTATAAGGTGTAAGGAAGGGATCCAGTTTCAGCTTTCTACATATGGCTAGCCAGTTTTTCCAGCACCATTTATTAAATAGAGAATCCTTTCCCCATTGCTTGTTTCTGTCAGGTTTGTCAAAGATCAGATGGTTGTAGGTGTTATTTCTGAGGCCTCTGTTCTGTTCCATTGGTATATATCTCTGTTTTGGTACCAGTACCATGCTGTTTTGGTTACTGCAGCCTTGTAGTGTAGTTTGAAGTCAGGTAGTGTGATGCCTCCAGCTTTGTTCTTTTGGCTTAGGATTGTCTTGGCAATGCGGACTCTTTTTTGGTTCCATATGAACTTTAAAGTAGTTTTTTCCAATGCTGTGAAGAAAGTCATTGGTAGCTTGATGGAGATGGCATTGAATCTATAAATTACCTTGGGCAGTATGGCTATTTTCACAATATTGATTCTTCCTATCCATGAGCATGGAATGTTCTTCCATTTGTTTGTGTCCTCTTTTATTTTGTTGAGCAGTGATTTGTAGTTCTCCTTGAAGAGGTCCTTCACATCCCTTGTAAGTTGGATTCCTAGGTATTTTATTCTCTTTGAAGCAATTGTGAATGGGAGTTCACTCATGATTTGACTGTTTGTTATTGGTGTAGAGGAATGCTTGTGATTTTTGCACATTGATTTTGTATCCTGAGACTTTGCTGAAGTTGCTTATCAGCTTAAGGAGATTTTGGGCTGAGACGATGGGGTTTTCTAAATATATAATCATGTCATCTGCAAATAGGGACAATTTGACTTCCTCTTTTCCTAATTGGATACCCTTTATTTCTTTTTCTTGCCTGATTGCCCTGGCCAGAACTTCCGACCCTATGTTGAATAGGAGTGGTGAGAGAGGGCATCCTTGTCTTGTGCTGGTTTTCAAAGGGAATGCTTCCAGTTTTTGCCCATTCAGTATGATATTGGCTGTGGGTTTGTTACAAATAGCTCTTATTATTTTGAGATATTTTCCATCAATACCTAGTTTATTGAGAGTTTTTAGCATGAAGGGCTGTTGAATTTTGTCAAAGGCCTTTTCTGCATCTATTGAGATAATCATGTGGTTTTTGTCTTTGGTTCTGTTTATGTGATGGATTACATTTATTGATTTGTGTATGTTGAACCAGCCAGCCTTGCATCCCAGGGATGAAGCCTACTTGATCGTGGTGGATAAGATTTTTGATGTGCTGCTGGATTCTCTTTGCCAGTATTTTATTGAGGATTTTCACATCGGTGTTCATCAAGGATATTGGTCTAAAATTCTCTTTTTTTGTTGTGTCTCTGCCAGGCTTTGGTATCAGGATGATGCTGGCCTCATGAAATGAGTTAGGGAGGATTCCCTCTTTTTCTATTGATTAGAATAGTTTCAGAAGGAATGGTACCAGCTCTTCTTTGTACCTCTGGTAGAATTTGGCTGTGAATCCGTCTGGTCCTGGAGTTTTTTTTGGTTGGTAGGCTATGAATTATTGCTTCAATTTCAGAGCCTGTTACTGGTCTTTTCAGAGATTCAACATCTTCCTGGTTTAGTCTTGGGAGGGTGTATGTGTCGAGGAATTTATCCATTTCTTCTATATTTTCTAGTTTATTTGCATAGAGGTGTTTTTAGTATTCTCTGATGGTAGTTTGTATTTCTGTGGGATCGGTGGTGATATCCCCTTTATCATTTGTTATTGCGTCTATTTGATTCTTCTCTCTTTCCTTCTTTATTAGTCTTGCTAGCGGTCTATCAATTTTGTTGATCTTTTCAAAAAACAAGCTCCTGGATTCATTGATTTTTTTGAAGCATTTTTTGTATCTCTATCTCCTTCAGTTCTGCTCTGATCTTAGTTATTTCTTGCCTTCTCCTAGTTTTTGAATTTGTTAGCTCTTGCTTCTCTAGTTCTTTTAATTGTGATCTCCCAAAGTGCTGGGATTACAGGCATGAGCCACCGTGCCTGGCCTGTTTTTGCTTTTTTACTGTAAATTTACTGATTATCAAACTAATACATACTGTGGTAGAAACTGCCAGTTATTTCCCAGCATGCATCTGTCCCCTTTTTTCTTTAGTAATAGAAACCCTGAACTTGCGCTGTACACATGGTCCCTACTATGGTCTGAATGTTTGTATCCCTCCAAAATCATATGTTGAAATCCGTTCCCCAGTGTGATGGTATTAGGGAGTGGGGCCTTTTGGTAGATGATCAGATCATAAGGGCAGAGCTCTCACAAATGGGGTTAGCACCCTTATAATAGGCCTTGGAGAGCTCTCACACCCCCTTTACCATGTGAGGATACATTGAAGGCACCATCCATGAGGAACAGGCCCTTATCAGGCACTGAATCTATTGGTGCCTCAATCTTGGAATTCCTGGCACCCAGAATTGTGAGCAATATGTTTCTGTTGTTTATATAAAGTACCCAGTCTAAGGTATTTTGTTTAGTAGCCCAAACTGACTAAGACATCCCCCTAGCATAAGGACCGTATTTCTTAGCCTGTTTGAAGCTTGTATGGCCACCAATGAGATGTGAATGAAAATAATGCATGCATTGTCTCGGTTATGCCCTTAAAGGGAAAGGGTGTGCCCTCCACTATTTTCTTTCCCCTTTCTTGCCAGAATGTGAAGACAGGAATTGGAGCAGCCATCTTGAACTGTGAGATGGAAGCCATACATTGAAGGTGGCAGAGCAACCAAATAGAACGACCAAGTGTCTCTGATGGTTGTTGAGCTGTCATACCAGCTGTGGACTGCTGTCTGAACTTTTGTAGGACAGAGGAATACACTATTTAAGTCTGTTGTAACACCTGAATTGCTCTGTATTCTAATATAATACTTGTTTTAGAACACTTGGAACAACAGAAAATTAGTTTTGTTAAGGCAGGAAAAATCTTATGTGTAATTCTATCACCCAGAGTCAGTCATGTGTTAACTGACATCTTAGTGGATGTTGTAGCATGCTTCCCTCAGCCTCATCCCCACCTCTACCTTCACGATGACATGCTTAGTTGCTCAGTGCCTGGAGTGTTAGCTGCTAATGGTTCTATCCAGGAATTGACCTTGGCCTCAGGGGGGCAGCCTGCATCCAAGAATCTGTTGTTGAGAGGGTACCAAAGTCTAGTCTTCTTGCTTTATTCAGTTTGGACAACTCTGAAGGGCCATCCTAGCTCTAGAGCTCGATGTAGAAGTGGCCAAGGTCTCTGTTGCAACTGCATTACAGTTCACCTCTCCCTCTGTCAATCCAGCTTCCCTCTCCTTTCACAGGCACTCTTCCCAAGGGCACTTCACAACAAACCCGCATGCAAATCTCAGAATCTTTGTGCTAGGGAACCTGACCTATGACATATACAGATTTAGAGATTTGGGATTATAATACTTTGTTTTTCACTAAATATTTTGCTGGGTAGTCTCCATTTGCCTTTCCAGACACATTCTCCTGCCCTCCATCCACCTCTGTTCTGGGAGGCTGACCACGATGGGATACATTAATGAGCTCCTTTGCCCTCTACCTTCCAGTTGAATGCTGCCAGTGGAAGGCACTGATAGGAGATCAGATGGTGGGAGGACAGAGACTGGGATATCCCTCGTCACCAGGCTGTGTGTTGGAAGAGGCATCATTCTTCTACTAAATCCACAGCTCATGGTGTGAGGTCTTCTCCTAGAGCTACAGGTGTTAGTGTTTTGCTGGTAGTTACTTCCTCTGGCCCTTTCATGCCTAGGAATGGAAATAGCTCCCTAGTGCTGCCAGCCCTGGGGTGCTTCATCAGCTCCCTGGTTTCTTATCCTTGCCCACACCTTGCAATTAGTCAGTCTTCTCAATCACTCCGTTTGAGTATGCCATCTATTTCCTGGCAGGACCAGGACTGATACCTACTATTTTTTTTTTTTTTTTCTGGAAACGGAGTCTCACTCTGTCACCCAGGCTGGAGTGTAGTGGCACGATCTCGGCTCACTGCAACCTGTGCCTCCCAGGTTCAAGTGATGTTTGTGTCTCAGCCTCCCAAGTAGCTGGGACTACAGGCACGCACCACCATGCCCAGATAATTTTTTGTATTTTTAGTAGAGACAGGGTTTTACCATGTTGGCCAGGCTGGTCTCGAACTCCTGACCTCAGATGATTCGCCCCCACTCGGCCTCCCAGAGTGCTGGGATTACAGGTGTGAGCCACCGTGTCCGGCCTCCTGTTTCTTTTCTTTCTTTCTTTATTTTTTTTTTTTTTTTTGAGATGGAGTCTCGCCCTGTTACCCAGGCTAGAGTGCAGTGGCGCCATCTCGGCTCACTGCAAACTCTACCTCCCAGATTCAAGCAATTCTCCTGCCTTAGCCTCCAGAGTAGCTGGGATTAAAGGTGCTTGCCATCACATCCGGCTAATTTTTTATATTTTTGCTAGAGACATGGTTTCATCATGTTGGCCAGGCTGGTCTTGAGCCTTCTACTTCTTAATGATTCTTCTAAAACATGATTTTTATTGGCCATGTATAATTTCATCATGTAGACTTAAAAGGATTTCTTTAATTCCCTATTGTTATATATACACTTTTTATATTGATTTTTATCACAATACATCAAAGCATTTATTATGCCATTGAAAACTTCCAATAAACACATTTTTAAAGGACTGTTATATTATGGCTGGACCGTGAACCTTGAGTTGTTTATCCAGTAGTGCTAAGAGATTTGTTCTGATCCACCTGATTTCTTTTGTGCAGTGTTTATAGTGACTAAAGAAACGTATTTTCAAGATGATTGGGCTGGCTATACTCTGTAGCTGCCACAGAAGAAAGCAAGGCTATGCCCCAATCCCACCACATTAAGATCCCCAGTTCAGGGCTCTTCATTAAAACAGCTAAACAAACTGGTGTAAACAGTACTTTTACTTGAATTTAACATCTTTTATGTTTTCTGGGCCAGACTTTGTGTGGATATTGGATAATAGGCTTGGTGGCCCTTTTATATCCCTTGTGTACTTGTAATTCTAGGAAAAATACAAAGCATTTAGTGGGAAGGATTTGTAAGAGAATACAGTTTGATCACCATGTAACTTGAGTAAAAATAGCACCATAATTGAAAACACTAAGAGTAGGGTTTTAAGGAAAGAGAGTAAGATTGGAACAAAGTAACCATGAACTTTTCAGTTCTGAGCTGCGAGTTCTGTTCATTATTCAGTGACCCTTTGTGAGATCTTGTCTTAGTCCATTCACGCTACTATAACAAAATACCATAGACTGGGTGACTTGTAAACAACAAAAATTTACTTCTCATGGATCTGGAGGCTGGGATATCCAAGATCAAGGTGCCAGCAGATTCAGTGTCTGGTTGGGGCTTCCTTCTTGGTTCATAGACAGCTGTCTTCTTGCTGTGTCCTCACATGGTGCAAAGGGTGAGGGAGCTCTCTAGGGTCTATTTAATAAGCACATTAAGGGAATGCCTTAATGCGCTTATTAAATGAAGTTTTTTGAGAAAAAACTCAAAGTGCTTTCTAAATTTATCTCACTCAACCACAATCAGTGCAGACCTGTGACCAAATGTAGGTGGTGTGAGGGGTGGGTGGGTGGGTGGGGGAGGAGCATCTCCCCACCACCAAGCAAGCAATTAGTTTTGTAGCAGATACCAACTGGATATCCTCCAATTCAGTTCTGACACTATCTACTTGGAGATAGCATCAGATCGTTACCGGAAAGGGGTCCTGATCCAGACCCTAAGAGAGGGTTCTTGGAAATAATTCAGGGCAAGTCGGCGGAGTAAAGTGAAAGCAAGCTTATTAGGAAAGTAAAGGAATGAAAGAATGGCTACTTCAGAGATAGAGCAGCCCCAAGGGCTGCTGGTTGCCCACTTTTTATGGTTATTTCTTGATTATATGCTAAACAAGGGGTGGATTATTCATGCCTCCCTTTTTTAGACCATATAGGGTAACTTCCTGATGTTGCCATGGCATTTGTAAACTGTCATGGTGCTGGTGGGAGTGCAGCAATGAGGATGACCAGAGGTCACTCTCATCACCATCTTGGTTTTGGTGGGTTTTGGCTGGCTTCTTGACTGCAGCCTGTTTTATCAGCAAGGTCTTTATGACCTGTATCTTGTGCTGACCTCCTGTCTCATCCTGTGACTTAGAATGTCTTAACTGTCGGGGAATGCAGCCCAGTAGTTTTGAGGCTTATTTTACCCAGCTCCTATTCAAGATGGAATTTTTCTAGTTGAAATGCCTCTGACAAGATCCCACAGATTGGGGGCTCAGTCCCCAAGGTTCCCTCTTAAGCCCTAGAAATCAGTAGCAAGTCTCGGCCTCTGGAACTTCTGACCAACTGACTGGCTTCAAGTGGGGGTTCCCATGACCCCTCCTTGAATTCAATTAATTTTCTAGGGTAGCTCATAGAACTTGGAAACTTACATTTACCAGTTTATTATAAAGGATATTACCAAGGATGCAGATTTAGAGATGCATAGTGCATGCAGCTTCCATGCTGTCCTGGGCGTACCACCCTCCAGAAGTCTCCAGGTGCTTAGCTATCTGGAAGTTCTCCAAACCCTGTTTATTTATTTCTATTTTTATTTTTAATTTTTTTTAATGGAGGCTTCATTCAGTAGCCATGATTGATTAATCATTGGCCATTGGAGATCAGCTTAACCTTTAGCCCCCCTCCTTTCCCTGGAGGTTAGCGGGTGGGGCTGAATATCTTAAACCTGTTATCATGCCTTGGTCTTTCCAGTGACCAGCCTCCATCCTGAAGCTACCACCTGGGGGTTGCCAGGCATCAGTCAATCATTAGCATATGAAAAGACATCACTTCGGAGATTCTGAGGATTTTAGGAGTTCTATGCCAGAAATCTGTGATCAAAGACCAAATATATATTTGTTGGTTTTCTTTCTTTTTGAGACAGAGTCTTGCTGTGTCGCCCAGGCTAAAGTGTGGTGGCATGATCATGGCTCACTGCAGTTTCAACCTCCTGGGCTCAAACAATCCTCCCACCTCAGCCTCCTGAGTAGCTGGGACCACAGGCACACACCACCATGCCAGGCTAATTTTTGTATTTTTTTGTAGAGATGGGATTTTGCCATGTTGCCCAGGTCTGTCTCGAACTCCTGAGCTCAAGCAGTCGCCTGCCTCAGCCTCCGAAAATTCTGAGATTTCAGGCGTGAACCACTGCGCCCAGCCCAAATATATATTTGTTAATATCACAGACATTCATCCCATTCATGAAGGCTCAGCCCTCACAACCTAATCACCTTTTAAAGGACCCACCTCCAGATACTCTCACATTGGGCATTGGATTTCAAGATAGGAATTTTAGAGGGACATAAACATTCAGACCATAGCAGATCTCTTTACTTAGGTTAACCTTGTTTTAGTATTACAAAAAGCACTTCAGTGTGTTCATTCATTGTATTCAAAACATATTTATCAAGAAACTACTATGTTCAAAACACTAGGATATGGCTGTGAACATCTAGAAAAATTACCCACTCTCATACCATTAACATTTCTCAAGGGAGTCGGATAACTAACAAATAAACAAGATTATTGTGAATTGTGACAAGTCCTAGAAGGAAATAAACAGGATGATGAAAGACAGTAAGTGGGGCAGGACACTTTAGACTGGATGGTCAGGGATAATACAAACCTCATTTTATGTGTTATGGAAGGTAGTGTGTTTGAATGGAGTGAGAGAAAACTAGAACTGAAGTCCAGCTTTATCACCTTGTATAAGTTTCTTAACCTTGCTGAACACCATGACAGGCTGAAAATATAACAAGAACATAATGATAATAATCCCTACTACTTATAGTAGTAGCAGAATTAAACCAGAGAAAACTCCTGGCATTGTAAGCATGACTTTCTGCCAGGCCCCACATAAATATTAATTTCCTGTTAACTTTCCTAAAATTACATATAATCTGAATTCTGTAATACCCATTTCCAATGATATAATTTTAAGAAACTGTTCTATACATCTTCAAATCAATTTAATTCATCAAATATTTATTAAGCACTTACTATGTGCCAGTCTCTGGTGACCTGATGGTGAATAGAATAAACAGTATCCCTGCCTGGTCAGGGTTTAATTATTGTTCTTATTTGGCTGAGACTCACAAAGCCATTTCTGTCCACTGGTTCTCCTGACTAGTAGTAATGAATTTTTACCCCACTGCTATGCACATTTTATGTTAAACTTTTTTTTGTTGTAAAATAAAATAAACATTTAAAAAGGTTCATAAAACATAGGCCATAAATCTTAAAATCTGATGGACCCTCTCTTACAAAACCCTATATACTTATTTATGTGTCAGTACAAACGTCTACCATTCTGCCACTAAAAATAACAAAGAAAACAGAAAAATAGAAGATAATTTTTTTTTTTTTTTTTTTTTTTTTTGGTTGAGACGGAGTTTTGCTTTTTCACCCAGGCTGGAGTATGGTGGCACAATCTCAGCTCACTGTAACCTCAGCCTTCGGGTTTCAAGTGATTCTCCTGCCTCAGCCTCCCGAGTAGCTGGGATTACAGGCGCCCGCCACCACGTCAGTCTAATTTTTGTATTTTTAGTAGAGACAGAGTTTCGTCATGTTGGCCAGGCTGGTCTCAAACTCCTGCCCTCATGATCCACCCGCCTCAGCCTCCCAAAGTGCTGGGATTACAGGGAAGATAAATTTTGTTGTTGTTGTTGACAGAGTCTCACTCTGTTGCCCGGGCGGGAATACGGTTGCACAATCATGGTTCACTGAAGCCTTGACCTTCCAGGCTCAAGCACTTCTCTCACCTTAGCCTTCTGGCTAGCTGGGACTACAGGCATGCGTCACCACGCCCAGCTATTTTTTCTATTTTTTTTGTAGAGGTAGAGTCTGTTGCCCAGGCTGGTCTTGAACTCCTGGGCTCAAGCAGTCCTCCTGCCTTGGCCTCCCAAAGTCCTGGAATTACAGGTGTGAGTGACCATTCCTGGTAGAAGATAAAATCTGTGACCACCGTTTGGTGTCTGGACAGCCTTGTCTCTTGGGCCTGGAGGGGTAAAGCAGAGTCAGTCACGCAAAGTCACATAACTGGCAGAGACTCCTTGAATTTAGAACAGTTTGTTTAACCAAGTGGAAGTTGTTTTTTTTTCTTTTTCTTGGCTTATTATTTGCCTATAGCGGCAGTGCCCATCTTGGGGCAGATCCAGGTTTCACAAAACTTACCAGGGAGACCTGGCCCCATAGCTCTGGAAATACTTCATATGGAAAGGATAAAGGATATCTATGTTAAACCAACATCAACATGATAATGATGAAATGCTAAAGGCAAATATAACTCAAGCTAGGAACAACTTACAGATATTTGCCATCACCACCATTTAACATAAACGGCCCACGATCCTTATTTCCAAATCTTGAGTTTTAAGTCAAGTTAATAAGCTGTTAAAGGAAATATGTTCTGTATGTTCTATATCTCCGCCTTGATAACTAAACCTTTCATGACTTATAAATCAAACATACAAATCAAAATTGTAAAGCTATGGTTTCCATATGACTATAAGTTAACAAAATATAAAAAATGATTGAATTTAATAATTGTTATACATGTCTGGGTGTTCTGATGATGTGGTAGCATTTTTAGATGAGTAATAAGATAATGAGTTGTAATTTATTCTATAAAATTTATTTTCCTTGCTTTCATTTCAGCAAAATCATTAAGTTTATTATAATCAAGATATTCATATCAGGCACATGGCTTATGCCTGTAATCTCAGCACTTTAGGAGGCTGAGGCAGAAGGATCACTTGAGCCCAGAATGTTCAGGCTACAGTGAGCTGTGATTGCACCACTGCACTTCAGCCTGGGCGACAGAGCGAGACCCGGTCTCAAAAAAAAAAAGAAAAAAAGATTAACTTCATTTTTTTCTATTCACAGTAATGACCTCAAATATTTTAAAAATGTAATTGTATTAAAATGTGCCTAATTTGAACATATTTTCATAAAAGTAAATTATAGCAATTGCAAAAATGTGAAATATTAAATTATATTTTTCAAAAATGTCATTTATCTTCTAAGATATCTCAACTTGTCTATTGTAAGATGAACTACCAATTATAATTTATGAATGTATTTAATCTGAACATTTAAACTTTAATCTATTGAAAATCTTATAATTTAATCTTATATTTTCATGAAAATAAAATTATTCTTAATTTTAGTGCTAAGTGATCATCTAGTTATCAAGGTAAAGAATTGGTATCACACTTGGAGCATGTTATAGCTACATGTACAGATGTTCACATTTAAGAGTAATGCGAGTTATTTCTCTAGAATCACAAATTGGAAACCAAAGAGAAGCAAGATGATAGATGCTCAACACTTCCAGAAAGATACTTCCTTATGCAAGAATCTTTTGCATTCGTTTAGTCTAAGAGAAAGGATTTGACAAGGTAATTTGTCAATTCTTTCACCTAAGCATTCCTACTTAGATCCTCCCAGTAGTTGGAAGCAGGGTCTGTCTCCAAGGCCACGGTAATACAACATTTAGAAACAGTAATTTTTTATTTTGAGAACTCAGGGCCAGACATACAAAGAAACATTTCTCAGGGACCTGAGTGGTATTAGCAAGAGAATGGATATTTAGCATTGTGGGTTGCATTTGCCAGTTCTAAGCGCCACATTCGGAGTGACAGAGGCACTTACACATATTCCTTAGTAAGTTAATTTTTTTATATTTTTGTTCATGGGGACCTTATACAGTGTGAGCCCCAAGCAGCAGACCTCTTGCTTAGCCAAGGGCATCCTGGCCAGGACTTCCAGTTATATAAACCAGTAAATGTTTTCATGCTTAAGCTAGTTTAAACTAAAAAAAGAGAAAGAAAAAAATCCTAAATCATACAAGTAGGTAGAAAATATAACAGAAAATAAGATACCATTCATGGTAGAACTCTAAATAAAAATATCTAGAATTAAATAAACATAGGTGATAAATACAAATATGATAAATATAATTAAATAAACGAATGTGGTAAATAGATTATGTGCAGAATATATGGGAAGACAATTTACTAGCCCTTGCTGAAATACATGTTAGAAAAGCAGAAAACTTGAATAAATGGGAAGGGGTGCTATGTTTTAGAAGAAAAGACTCCATGTTATAACAATATCAATTCATTTCAAATTAACTAATGCATTTAAGCAATTTTTTTTTTTTTTTTTGGAGACAAGAGTTTCACTCTGTCACCCAGGCTGGAGTGCAGTGGCACCTTCTCGGTTCACTGAAACCTCTGCCTCCCGGGTTCAAGCAGTTCTCTGCCTCAGCCTCCCGAGTAGCTGGGATTACAGGTGCCCACCACCACGCCTGGCTTATTTTTTGTATTTTTAGTAGAGACGGGGTTTCACCATCTTGGCCAGGCTGATCTTGAACTCCTTAAGCAATTCTAATTATAATGAAAATTGTGATTGTCTCCCCAACATCCATTCTATGCCAGGTCTATGGGTGCCCCTGATTAATCCAAGCAAATAATCTAAATCCTTTCCTTAGTCGTGATTGATAAGAGAATGGGCAGGTGACAGGATTCAGATTAATGACACACAAAAAATGGTTTGCTGGTAGCTTTTACTCTTCTGCCAGATGTGAATGAGGATGCAATGATCCAGGCTGCTCCTGGCAGCCATTCTATGCCCATGAGGAGATCTAGCTGCAGGGTGAGCTTGACACAGTGGATGGCAGAGCTGGAAGATAGGAGATGAAAATACATGTGTTATTCAGTGGTATTGAGGGCCATTGTTTTGGGAAACCCTGAAATTTGGTTATCAATGCCAACAAATCTCTATTGTTTAAGCCTCTTGGAATTGAGCTTTTGGTTATTTACCGCCTAAAGCATAGGGATTTTTTTAAAAAGAAACAACAAAAATTTAGAATGAGGAATTAAAAATCCTACAGTGATTTTAGCAGTCTAATTTAATACAGATATTGGCCAGTTAGGTTAATGAAATAGAATAGAAAGTCTAGATAGATAAATATGCATTTATTTGGTGAACAATGCTGAGAACATTGATAGTTATTTGGAAAAATAATAAATTCATTTCCTCCTACAAAACCAATCATATGCAGATTAAAGGATTAAACTATTAAAGAGCTGGAAGAATATACAGACACCAAGTCTTAGAGTTAGTGAGGGCCTAATAAGCTGAAAGTCAAATAAAATATGAAGGTGTAGGATCGTCTTGAAGTATTTAAAACATTATATGCCAAGGAATACTATAAGCAAAAGGTAAATTGTTAAAATACAGTTGAAATATATGTATTATAAATATAATATTAAATATTTGAAATATAAAACACTGCAAAAAACATCCAAATATAAAAAAAGTTCAGGTAGCTCACAAGAGAAGAAAAAACATTGATCTGCAAATGCATGCGAAATGTTTAATATCCCTAGTAGTTAACAAAATTGAATATAAAGAGAGAACTTTTTTAAACCATTAAATTGGCAAAGATTAAAAAGAATGCTAGCACAACATTGTGAATGACTAAATGTCATTGAGTAATTGTTCGCTTTAAAATGTTGAATTTTATGTTACATATGAAATTCACCTCAACTTTTAGAAAAACAAGAGGAGAAAAAAAGAATATAATGGAGTAGCCAGAGTGGGAAGTATATAGAGAAATAGCTTCTCTCAGGCACTGCAGTTTGTATTGTAAATTGGTATGTAAATTTTGCAAGACTAATTAACAGTATGTAGATGAAGCCTTGAAAATGTTTATATTCTTTCCTTTCTTCCTATAATTACACGTATAGAAATATGTACCTAGGAAATAATCAGATATTAGATTTATATATAAATAGCATTTTGTTGTTGTTGTTGTTGTTATCGTTTTCAGAGATGGAGTTTCGCTCTTGTTGCCCAGGCTGGAGTACAATGGCGTGGTCTCAGCTCACTGCAACCTCTGCCTCCCAGGTTCAAGTGATTCTTCTGCCTCAGCCTCCCGAGTAGCTGGGATTACAGGTGCCCGTCACCATGCCTGGCTAATTTTTGTATTTTTAGTAGAGACGGGGCTTCACCATGTTGGCCAGGCTGGTCTCAAATTCCTGACCTCAGGTGATCCACCTGCCTCAGCCTCCCCAAGTGTTGGCATTACAGGTGTGAGCCACCGTACCCGGCCAATAGTGTTATTTTTAAACTGTGAAAATTATAATTCGTGTTCAGTCATAGCATAGTAGTTAAATAAATTACAATATACTATATAGTAAAATACTGTTCATTAATTAAAAAAAAATTATGTAACCAAGTAATCTTTTTGAGTTACTGCACCATGGAAGGAAGAGGACAAAGGCACATTGTCCAGCTTTAAGTTTCAAATTAGAATTTTTTTTTTCATCCATAGGAAAATAATAGTCTTAAAAGCTAGCCTTGCCTCTAATTTCCAAGAATTCTTCACACGTCAGGAAGAAAATTTGGCAGCCTGAATGTGTACGTTTACTATAAGCCAAGACGTAAGGGCACATGCAATCTGGGGCAGGTAGCTTCCCCCTTCTGAAGGACAGAAGGAAGGAAGAAAGGCTTTTAGGGGAGCTGTTACAGAGAGCAGCAGGGGTTCAGATTGCAGTGTGTCTCTCTTGCCCTCCCAGAGTTACAAACCTCAGGGATGTCATTGGCGTGATCCATGGTGGCAGGCCTTGGGGAACCCAAGAACCCAGGAGTGGTCTGTACTTCCTTGGTGTAGTCCGCACATCTTGGGAGTGGCAGGGTAGTGTTGCCGGAGGGAGATGTCTACGTGGATGGCCTGAGACTACGTCCAGGGATTCACAGCTTGTGTGTGTGATGCAGAACCAGGGGCTGCTTGCGAAAGGGCTGAGTGAACAGGTAACAGAAAGAGATGTAGGGAAGGATAAGAAGGTCACAGACCAGAGCAAATAGCAAGGTCCAGGGACATACATCAGGGCTGCCATGTGCCTATGAAGTCTTGGCAGAATCAGCCATTGCACAGCAGGCAGCACTGCATGGTGCCTGGTAAGCACTGGGCACAAGGGGCTTCTCAGTAGAGGCTGGTGAGGATCCAGGGAGCCACACCCAGAGAAGAGGCCTTCCACTGCTATCAGCATAAGCCAAGCTCTCCTTTGCACTCTTCTAGGTCTGAGGGTGTCCTCCAGAATTCATGTGTTGGAAACTGAATCCCTAGTGCCAGTGTTGGGAGGTGGGGCCTAATGGGAGGAGTTTAGGTGGGATCCTCACTGATGGATAATGCCGCTATGAAAAGGGTGTGTGGGAATGGGCTCTACGTTTCTTTTCCTCTTCTGCCATGTGAGAACACAACATTTCTACCCACTGGAGAACACAGCCTTCAAGGTGCTGCCTTAGAAGCAGAGAGACCGGGCACAAACCTGTCGTAGCCCTGATCTTGGACTTCGCAGCCTCCAGAACTGTGAGAGAAATTAAATTTCTCCTCTTTATAAATTATCCAATCTCAGGTATTCTGTTATAGCAGCAGAAAAGAGACACACCCAGGTGTCATCCTGGGGGAAAAGGAGTGGGAAGGGAGCTTTTTGGAAGGGAGAAAATACAGTTCTAATAGAGAGTGTGAACCTTAAATGATAGCATATTTACTTAAAACACACTCTTTAAAACCTTTAAAAATATCCAGGAACTAATACATGGAGAAAAGAATTTAGGATACATACACAGAAACTCAATAAAGTTAAATATTTTTTCCATATCTCAGTTCGTATAACTTGATTTCCTTGAAATCATATTTTTTAAAATGTTTAAGGAAATTAGAAGATGCTCACTATTATATTGTTAAAAGAGCAAGCAGTAGATATAATATTCGAACTTTCTAAAATGATAGTAGTTATTAATATTATACACACAAACACATAAACACATTTTTAAACCTTTGACAAATACTTCTAAATATTAACAAGGATTATTTCTGGGTATAGAATTTTTTATGTAGTACTTTTCGTATTATAAGATGAACATACATTTCTTCTTATAATCAGAAATTGTTGTTTAAAGAAACAAACCATACAGCCTTGCTACTCACAAGTATGGTCCATGGCCAGCAACCATGGGAGCGTGTTAGAAATGTGGATTCTCAGGCCCCACCCCAGACCTCCCAAATCAGTGTCTTCATTTTAACAAGATCCCCAGGATTGTGTGCTTGCCAGCAGCACTGGCGTAGGCTTCACACTCCCGTTCCCAGCCTACTGATGTCCATACCTGACGCTCTGCTTTCTCCTGTTTCTGCAGACAAACAGCCCCTCCGCTCGTACTCTGGATCCTAGCCCACCTGCCTACCCAAGGACTTTCTCCTGCACCTGTCACCTCTCTCTTCTCCTGGATCATTCCCATTGGCAAACAAACATGCTGTGATATCTCTTTCACAATTTTTTAAACCAAATTTTATTTTATATGTTTAAAATACACAACATGATGTTCTAAGATACATGTGGATAGTAAAATGGTTACTATAGTGAAGCAAATTAACATACCCATCATCTCACAGTTGACCATTTTGTGTGTGTGATCAGAGCAGCTATAATCTACTCATTTAGCAAAAATCCCAAATATAACATGCTATTATTAACTGTAGTCATGTTGTCCATTAGGTCTCTAGACCTGTTCATCCTAATATCTACTACTTTTTGTCCTCTGATCTACATTTCCCTGTTTCCTCCCCCTCACCCTCCACCTAACCACTGCCTTATTCTCTAACTTTGTATATTTGACTTTTTAAGATTTCACATAGTAAGTGATATCATGTAAAAATTTTCTGTGTCTGGATTATTTTACTTAGCATAATGTCCTCCAGGTTCATCCATGTTGTGGCAAATGGCAGGACCTCCTCTTTTTTAAAGGCCAAATTACATATTCTATAGTATTCTATAGATCCTATATTCTCTCTATAATTCTATTATATTTAATATGTATATCTGTGTTTTTTTTCCATCCTTCTGTCAACGGACATTCAGATTGTTTCTCTATCTTGGCTATTGTGAATAACGCTGCAATGAGCATGAGAGTGCAGATATCTTTACAAGGTGGCAAATTCATTTCCTCTGGGTGTATACCCAGAAGAGAGATTGCTGGGTCATATGACAGTACTACTTTTAACTTATTTAGAAGCCTCCCTACTGTTTTACATAATGGCTGCACCAATCTTCATCCCCACCAACAGTGTACAAGGGTTCTCTTTTCTCCACATCCTTGCCAATACTTGTTATCTCTTTTTAATTATGGCCAGCCTAATGGGTGTGAGATGGTATCTCACAGCAGCTTTGACTTGTGTTTCCCCAATGATTAGTGATATTGAGCATCTTTTCGTATACCTGTTGGACATTTTTACGTTTTGTTTTTTGAGAAATGTCCATTTAGGTCCCTTTGCCTATTTTAAAAATCAAGTTATATGTTTTCTTGCTATTGAGTTGTATGAGTTCTTTATAAATTTTGAATATTAATCCTTTATCAGATACAGGGTTTGCAAATACTTTTTTCCAATCCATAATTTGCCTTTTCATTTTGTTGATTGTTTCCTTTGCTGTGCAGAAGCTTTTTAGTGTGATGTAGTCCTATTTATTTATTTTTGCTTTTGTAGCCTGAGCTTTTGGTGTGATATCCAGTCTCATCCTTTAAAACAAACAAAACAAAACCCCAATCCACTTTCCAGACCTCTGTCTTCTTCACATATTGTCCCATTTTTTTCCTGCTCTTCATGTCTAGGAAAACTTGAAAGACTTGTCTCTCATTGTCTCCCCTTTCTCTCCTCCCTTTCTCTCTCACTAATCCACCGATACTGCTCTTGTTAAAGTCACTGATGACCTCCAAGTGTTAAGTCCAGTGGCCAATTATCTGTCTTCGTATCTCACTTTTACCTCTCAGCAACATCTTTTACCTCTCTCTTCTCCTTGGCTGCCAGGATACTCTACTGCCATGATCTTCTGCCTCTCTTACTGACAGCCCGCCCCTCCCAGTCTCCTTCCATGGTTCCTCCTCATCTCCTGTTTCTGGATAGGCTGGAGTCCCAGCGTATAGTGCTTTTCTCCCTCTACAGTTCCATGGCTTTCAGTCTCCTCTATAAATGGATATACCCCAGATGTTTATATCTAGACCTGAACTCCAGAGTCACATGTCAAGCTGCTTCACTTGAGTGTCTAACAGGCATATTAAACTTAGTGTGTTCAAAACCAAAGTCTTAATTTTCTCCCCCAACTCATTCCTTACCCAGTACTCCCTATATGAGCAAATGCCTATATGAGCAAAAGTCCCTTTCTTATAGTTGCTCAAGTCACAAGCTTGGTATAATCCATGAATTTTGTTTCTTTCTCTTCCATCTCTCAGCCATTACTAAATTCTGTTCTACTTGCAAAATATATCTGGAATCTAGATATCAATTTCTCATGCCCCCACTCCAGTGATCCCCTCCTCAGCCTGAGTCATCATCACTCTCTTCTGAGACTATTGCAGTAGCTGTAAGACTCAGCTCCCTGCTTTCCCCTGTGCCCCCAACAGTCTTTTCTCTGCACAACAGCCACCCTAACCCCCTTTCACTCAGAATAAAACCCAAAGTCCTTGCCATGCAGCAGTTCAAGGCCCCATGTAAACTGCCCCCTGCTCTCCGCCGTACCATCCTCTCTCTCTGATCTGATCTTTTATGCCCATCCACCTTGCTCCCTGTACTCCAGCCATGCTGGCCTCTCCTTGCTATTTCTTGATCTTGGCAAACAAACACACAAATGCTGCCTCAGGGTGGCACTTGCTCTTCCCGCTGACATGCAGTAGAACATAGTGGTAGTGGTTAAGAGCAAGACTCTTTGGAGCCAGACTCTCTGGGGTTCACTTTTCAGCTCTGCTCTTCACTAGCTGTGTGACCTTGCACAAGTTAATTAACCTTTCTGAGCCTCAGTTTTCTCATCTATAAAATGGGGATAATAAATGTACCTATATACAGTCCTTAAGAGAATTTAATGAATTTATGAGAAGCAGTTGGAATAGTCACTGGCACAGGAGTAAATGCTGTGTAACTATTAACCATTATTATTACTGGAGGTGTCCATATAACCCTCTCATTTCATTCAGAGCTCTGCTCAAATGTCCCCTTGTTGAAGATTTGTTTGAATACCCTCCCTCCCCCTCCATTATTCTCTGTCATCTTAACCTGCTTCATTTTTCTTCTTAGCATGGATCAATATGTAAGCATACGCTTGTTATTAGACAGATAATAAACATATGTAGACAGGTTTGCCTATTATCTGTCCACCCACAGGAATGTGGGCTCCACTGAGAAAATGCTCACAGTCCTGGTGTATGGCAGGCACCCAATACATATTTATTGAGTGAATTTCTGACCAGTAATGTTTCCTTCTTCAGTAATTGATAAATGTAATTAATGACATAAAATCTTAAATCTCTCAAAAATCTTGTTTCTACTTAAGGACTCCCAAATTTAAATCCAAGAACTAATACATGGAGAAAAAAATTTAGGATACATACACAGAAGACGTGTATATATGTGTGTATATACATACACACATATCAGTGTACGGAAGCCAGCTATTCTTTCTTGGGAAATATTTTTTTCTCCTGTATCTGAAAGTATGTCCTTCTTTTTATAGTGTTAGAATATTCTTTCTTTAATTAAATGCTCTAGATAGTAGAAGAGAGTTTTAAAATTTTCCCTAGTATCCCTATATTTATTACTGTTTTAAAATGTCCCTATTACACAGTACTTATTTTTAATTTTTTTAAATTTCACATATAAAATGTTGTCAACCTTATGGTGCTTTTCAAAATTAAAAATTACTAGTCTGTGAAATCCGAAAGTCTGAGCACTGTTTAAAATACAAATGAAGATAACATATCCAGTTTTATTGATATAAGTTTCTAATTCCAGCCAGAACCTGGGAAGTTGTGTCATTAGTCAAAAAACTTTGATGCCACTTTGTTCATTATATCTTACCTGTTATATTTAAAAAAAGAGGCTTGTAATATTTTTTAAATAGAAGATGAAATATGGGCTTTGTATTAGTCTGTTCTCACACTGCTATAAAGAACTGCCCGAGATTGGGTAATTTATAAAGAGAAGAGGTTTTATTGACTCACGGTTCTGCATGGCTAGGGAGGCCTGAGGAAACTTACAATCATGGTGGAAGGCACCCCTTCACAGGGCAGCAGGAGAGAGAATGAGTACCAGCAGGGGAAATGCCAGACACTTATAAAACCATCAGATCTCCTGAGAACTCACTATCTGGAGAACAGCATGGGGGAAACTACCCCCATGATTCAGTTACCTCCACCTGGTCCTACCCTTGACGTGGGGATTATTACAATTCAAGATGAGATTTGGGTAGAGACACAGAGCCAAACCATATCAGGCTTCAATTAGTAGTCCCTATGAAAATATTGCAAATGTGACTTAAACATGAAAACAAAATTGAGCAAAACCTTTCACATAATGCTACACTTGGTTCAAGTTGAAGTCCTGGTTTAAATTGTTTTAAGACTTATTGAAGTGTTAACTGTCCTTTTAAAGAGGAAAAGAGACCTCCATTCCCTGTTTGTCAAGTACCGTACTTTTTAGTTTTATTTTGTTCTAATAACAGAAGAAGAAGTGGTAACATTTGCTGAATACTTATGTATCTGTTACCACATTAATATCTTTATTATCTCATTTAATTCTTAAAACAAGTCTATAAAATGGAAATGATGATCAAACTTCGTTGATAGAAGGAAATGTAAGTTTAGGGAGAGTGAAATAACTCATTTAAACAGATACCACTTGTTAGATGGTAGTGCTGGGATGAGCTCCCAGAGCTGACTCTACCCTCCATCTGAATCAGGTGTGTATTTCTTGAATTGGCACACACTTAGTCGTGACAAGTACTCAAAAGATAAAATAAAAATTGTATTGAATGAATACAATTTAGCTTTATATTTGTTTTTTTCTTTCAGTTGTATTCTTGTTTTGCTCATAAGGCCAAATTTTCATTTAATAATATGTGAATTTATACTCATGATGAAAATCAATCTTATATTTTTAATCTATAATATAGGTGGGAATGTAGCCTGGAATGACTGACAGCTGTTATTATACAAATAGCACATGCTGGCAAAATGGCAGCAATTTTTGTGATCTGTAATTAGGATATTACTGTTGTCTTTATATCTGCAAATAAGTAGTAATGTATTAGAAAGTAATTGGCATAATGAGTTGGGAAAAAATAGAAACACTCTCATTTATGATTCATTTAAAACTTGCTTAAACATTATAGAGTAAAATATTCTGTTCATGTGATTTTATTTGTGCTGTGCTTAAAATATTAAAAATCAGATTTCCAAATAGGCATGATATATGAAGCCTTAGGACTGATCATCTTTCACCCCATCAACATTTTCTTTTTTTTCTTTTTGAGATGGAGTCTCCCTCTGTCACCCAGGCTGGAGTGCAATGGCACGATCTAGGCTCACTGCAACCTCTGTCTCCCAGGTTCAAGTGATTTCTCCTGCCTCAGCCTCCCAAGTAGCTGGTACCACAGGGGTGTGCCACCGCACCTGGCTAATTTTTGCATTTTTAGTAGAGATGGGGTTTCACCATGTTGGCCAGGCTGATCTTGAACTCCTGACCTCAAGTGATCCACCTGCCTTGGGCTCCTAAAGTGCTGGGATTACAGGCATGAGCCACCGCGCCCAGCCCCCATCAACATTTTCTTTTGGGAACACTGTGTAATGGATTTTAGTCAATTCTACAGGAAGTAAAACATCAATATTTGGAAGTGAAAAAAATTAACTGCATACTTTTATTGAGTTAAAGCTTTCCTTTAACTCAGCTTTTTCATCCAGGAGGCACGTTATTAAAATCTTGAGTGCACTCATTGATTATTTTTCTTTTATCAGGAAGTCCATAATGTTATATAATAATATATTATATGAACATATAGTACAAATTATATCTATTGAGTAATAAGTACCATCAACATCAAAGACTATGTTATTTTTCACCTTTAATTTTGTTCTTTTTTTCTCTTTAATATATTTACAAGTTCTGCAAACACTTTCTGTTGCTTTGTCATGTTATTATCAATTTGTTTGCAAGTGTCATGTTTGGTATTCCTAACTAGATATGAAAGCTATTTAGGTTAGGAATGAACTGTTTCCTTCTTTTATGAACCTTTATACCTTCTTACAATGCTATCCACATAGTAGGCTGTCACTTGACTGTATATTACTAGAAGTGTATATATTCAGAGTTGGTATCACTAGTGGAAACTCTAGAAGCTATTTTAGGATGTTGTGTTTTCTGATAATGAATATTCAAATGAAGGTAGGAATAGAGAGAACCATATGCATTGACTTATTTTTGGTACCTCCCCAAACTAGGTCAGAATAGAGACCTCAAAATTCAGTGGCTAAACTGCTTCACTCTTTTCTTTTTAGTCATATTTACAATGGCAGTTTTTGATCTTCACAGAACTTCATGTGCATCTGCCTACAGGGTGTTTCTCTTCTGTTGGCCTCATTAGCTCCTTTGGGAATGTGGTCACTGCTATAAAAGGGCCGATTGTTAGATTCTATGGTATAGAGGGCATTGCCAGTCACAAACCAATTTACCTAGCTTCATGGACCTCCGCAGATCTTCTCAGATCCTTAAACTTCTTTGTTGCTAGTGATAATTAACTGAGAGATGATATTAATATTTTAGATATATATCCTTTGACAGTCAGCTTCCTTTCACGACTATAGTTAATAGATTTAATCCCTTAAGTAAGTGTCACTGGAAGCCCAAGTAATACTAGCTGAAACAAAAGAGAGGGTGGTTTTTCTCTTACGTAAGAGAAGTACAGAGATACACAGTTCATGGCTCGCATGGCAGTTCCCTGCTTACAAGGATCCCAAACTCCATCCTCCAGGGCACCTCATGGTTGCCATGTGGCCCCCGCAGCCCCAGCTATCACATCCGCAGCCACGTTGCAAGAATGAAGACTGGCCAAAGGCAAAAAAAAAAAAACAAAACACTGTACTAACTGGGTCAATTGTCTTTAAAGCTTTTTCTTAGGAGCTGTTATTCAGTGACATGTGCTTCATTTAGTTGCAAGAGAGGATGGTTAAATAATTTTTTAGAGGGGTACATTGTCATCGTTTTGTTGTGGGTTTTTTTTTTTTTTTTTTTTTGAGACAGAGTTTTGTTCCATCGCCTAGGCTAGAGTGCAATGGCGCGATCTTGGCTCACTGCAATTTCTGCCTCCTGGGTTCCAGCAGTTCTTCTGCCTCAGCCTCCTGAGTAGCTGGGATTACAAGCGCCTGCCACCACACTCAGCTAATTTTTGTATTTTTAGTAGAGACAAGGTTTCAACATGTTGGTCAGGCTGGTCTCAAACTCCTGACCTCAGATGATCTACCCACCTTGGCCTCCCAAAGTGCTGGGATTACGGGCATGAGCCACCATGCCCGGCCCACATTGTCATCTTAATTAAAATTGGATTTTATTACTAAAGAGAAAGGGCTGAATGTGTATTAAATGGGCATCTAGAACTTCTGCCATACCTTGATATTTAACATATTTTATTTTTTCAGACAGGGCCTCACTCTGTCAGCCAGGCTCAAGGGCAGTAGCACAATCTTGGCTCACTGAAACCTCCGCTCACTGCAATCTCCACCTCCCAGGCTCAAGCCATCCTCCCACCTCAGCTTCCCGAGTAACTGGGACTACAGACTTAACCTATTTTAAGATTTGTCCTTTAAAAAAAAGATTTGTCCTTTTTCCCAAATGAGCCATGGATGTGTGCTTTATATGGCTTTGTTTCTGTGGTAAACATACACAGACCTCCAGCCAAGATTTAATTTTCTTCTTCTGATGTGATTATTTCAATTTTTTTTAAGATTTGGTGAATTACATTAAATAAATATTTATTAAGCTCCTCTCATCATCAGGATACTGTGCTAGATAGGGATTCTCAGCTTTGGTGCTATTGGCATTTGGGGCTGGATAATTCTTTGTTGTGAGGGGCTGTCCTGTGCATTAGGATGTTTAGCAGCTTCTCTGGCCTTCACCCTCTAGTTGCAACTAGCAACCCCCAGTCGTGGTCACCAAATTTGTCTCCATATATTGGTCACATCCCCAGTGGGGATGAAATCGCCCCCAGAGGACCATGGTGCTAGAAGATAGCCCCACATTTATGTGAATTGCCTGTTTGATTTCCTGTGAAAGTGTATCATGGTAGATTAAGTGTTGCTTGAACTGTTGCTTGCTGTTGGTATTACGAGCGAAGTAGTACTGGTGGAATTTTCATGTGTGCTGGACACCATGATGAGAACTGTCCACGTGTCACCTCATTTAATCCTCATAGCACAACACTGAGTTAAAACAGCACTGTGTTAGGAGAAGGTACTAACAAGATTAGGTAGTATTATAACCCCCCTTTACAGAGGAGCAAAATGAGGCTTAGAGATTATTTTAGCTGAGATCTCCCTGAGAGCAAGCCTGAGACAGTGAGTGGTTCGTTGGGAGGTGATTTCAGGAAGCAGAATGATGGAGAGGGGAGAATGAAACAGGGAAGGAAGAAAAGCTAATACAGGAGTTGATGTTGGGTTGAGAGCTACCTCAGGGGTCACCCAGGGCACTGTATATCTGAGGACTCTGAGGAACAGTGAACAATGCATCTCAGAATTAGTTCTCTCTCCCACTCCCTACAGGGGTTGCGGGGGAGGAAGCTGGAACTTCTCCACGTACTCCCATCTTCCCCAGGGGCATGAACCCCCTTTCCCTTTACCTATAAGAGTAGTGAGCAGTATACACAAAGATCCAGCTTTTGAGGAGCTTATAGTCTTGAGGAGAAAGCAATACATTAGTAAGCAACATAGTATCCAAAACCAATGCATGCTCTGAGAAGACAGAACGAAGGTTGTGTGACAGGAGTGCTTGGGGAACTCCTTAGATGGGGTGGCCAGGATGAGGGATGAGCTGAGACCCCAATGGCAAGGAGAAGCCAGTCATACAAAGATCTAGGGTAAAGGCATTCTAGGCAGAGGAACTGCATGGTGCAAAGGCCCCGAGGCAGGAACACATTTTCTTTGAGGAATAAGTAGAAGGCTAGTGGGGTGGAAGGCTGAGAGGAAGGGGATGTGTGGTGGAGGATTTGGTCAAAAGACTGGGGAGGGACAGTCAGGTCTTGGGTAAGAAACATATTTTATTGTGCGTACTTCTTCCTACACTGGAGGGTTTTAAGCAGGGTTCAAGTGATCTGCTTAGGATTTTATTTTATTTTATTTTATTATTTTATTTTATTTATGTATGTATTATATTGTATTGTATTGTATTGTATTGTATTGTATTGTATTGTATTGTATTGTATTGTATTGTATTGTATTGTATTGTATTGTATTGTATTGTATTTTAAGACAGTTTCACTTTTGTCACCCAGGCTGGAGTGCAGTGGCACGATCTTGGCTCACTGCAACCTTGGGCTCCCGGGTTCAAGTGATTCTCCTGCCTTAGCCTCCCAAGTATCTGGGATTACAGGCCTGCGCCACTGCACATGGCTAATTTTTTATTTTTACAGCATGGTTTCACCATGTTGGCCAGGTTGGTCTCAAACTCCTGACCTCAGGTGATCCACCTGCCTCGGCCTCCCAAAGTGCTGGGATTACACGTGTGTGTGCCACTGCGCCTGGGCAACTTATGATTTTAAAAAGAACACTCTGGCTGCTGTGGAGAAAGGAGTGTGGCAGGGGAAGAGAGGAAGCCAGGAACCAGTTAGGAAGGAGGCTATCATATGGTTCCCACAGGGCCAGCTACATAGTTTGTGGGGCCTCCAGCAAAATGAAAATGTGGGGGCTCTTGTTCAAAAAGCAGGGGGAAGAGAGTACTATTAAAGGTACTAAACTATAAAACTTTTTGTTTCACAGTCCATCAACTTGTCATGGTGTGTTTTTGTTTGTTTTGTTGTTTAATGTCATTCTAAGTAAAGAAAAATTAAAGCTTAAAATATTAGTATGAATTTTACCATTCATCTGTATATTGTGCAATGCTGGTTTTAAATGCAAATATAAGACATTTTTAGGGATAAAAGACTTATAAAAAATGAACAAAAACCAATAAATCAAAGAAAACATTTAGCTCATATCCAGAATCACTGATATTACCGAACTTACATTTCATAGTTCATACATGCATATGTACTTTGTTCTTACCAGAACTGTGGAAATGTGGCACAAAACAAGCTCAACTGTTTTATTTCACTTCTCGTTCCGTGCCCATTCTACCAACACTCTCTCCCCTCAGCTTCCTGGTAGATAAAAGATGGGCAAGGAAAAGGAGCTCTGGGTTGCCCTATGATTCCCTTTCCTTCTCTCGTCATTTTCAGCATGGGTGCTAGGTTAACACAGGGAAGTAACACAAATAAGAGAGGATATTATAGGGTTTCTTGGTCATTTAGGTTTCTCAGAACACCATTGCCTTTTTTCTGTGCTCACAGTCAATTCTGGTTCAAAAGGCAAGCATGGCCCATCAGCCCTGTGAACGGTCCTTGCTCGCTGAGTTGTAGATGTAACACTCTTACTTCATACTTGCTTCTAGGCTCACTAAGCTCCCATGCATTGTGGTAAGCTAAAATTCTGTGCTCATGGGACATCGTGAACACCATACCCACATGGGGTCTTGAGGAACCACAGACACACATGGCACCTGTCTCCTCTGCTCGTGCACACGTGTCATTGTCCCATCAGATTTCACTTGCCCAAGATCAAAGATTATTAAGATTTTCAGGATGGTGACAGCAGAGCATCAGACTAAGTCTGGGACCTAAGTGAGGGGCCCTGAACCACTGCACAGGCTACACACCCATGAGGCCTAGATCCTGGTGAGAGAAGACAGGATAGAGACTTGGCTGGTACAAGTGGAGAAAAACAAAGTGTTGAGTAAGTTTTGGGGTTAGATGGTATTACCAAGACTTGTTGTGGATTGGATCTGCTTTTGGATAGGGACAGAAGAGAAATCGAGGATGACTTACTTCTAGGCTTATTACTTAGGAAGATGGAAAAGACTATAGGAGAAATAATTTTTGAAGTGAGGGAAATACAGAGTTGTGAAGTTTGGATTTACCTTGGTTTAAGAACTATGGAGCTGCAGAGCCAGGATTTCAACCCAGGCAGCCTGACTTCAGAGTCAGTGCCTTTAACCACTGCACTGCACTGTTCTGTCATGCGGGACCCACGCTGATGGGTGCCTGGTGATCGTTGCAATGGTTCTGTATCTTACTATTCTCTGCCCTCTCTGGACGATCCACCAACTGTGTGCAGTGAGCATCCATGCAGAGGCATGCTTGAATTTAAACACAGTTTTGTATTGAAACCTAGTTAACAAATATTCCTTTAACTCACAAGCTTCTCTTTTGCATCTCAATTATATTTGTTTTTATAGAAAGGATATCTTTATACAGCTTTGCTCATTCACATGAAAAGGAAAGTGTGTTTTCAGTTGGAAGATGTGGAGTCAAAAAATCTGAAGCTGAGTTTGGTATCTCTCAATTGCTAGCTGTGTGTCCTTGGGCTAATTAATTGCTTTGATCTTTGGTTTCTTCATCTATAAAGTACAGATGGTTTTGTGTGGGTGTATGTGTTTATATGTGTGTGTACATATATACATGTGCATATATCTATATATATGCACATACTTGCCCTCATCATATACAAGGCTACTGTGAAGATTAAATGAGATTATAGAGGAAATCCAACTCAACAAGGCTTGAGTTGGATACCCATTGGCAGTCACTCCCTATTTCCCTCTACCCTCAAACCCTGGCAACCACTAATCTACTGTCTGTCTCCATGGATTTGCCTATTATGGACATTTCATATAAATGGTATCATGCAATATATGCCCTTTGGTGTCTGGCTTCTTTCACTGAGGATAATGTTTTCAAGGTTTATTCATGTAGTAGCATGTATCAGTGATACATTATATTTTATGGCCGAATAACATGAATATGCCACATTTTGTTGATCCATTCATCAGTTGATGGATATTTGGGCTCTTTCCACTTTTTGGCTATTACAAATAATGCTGCTATGAACATTCATGAACATACTTTTGTGTGTACATATGTTATTTGTTCTCTTGAGTGTATTCCTAGGAGTAGAATTGCTGGGTTATTTGGCAACTCTATGTTAACTTTTTGAGGAACTGCCAGGCTGTTTTCCAAAAGTGTCTGTTTCATTTTGCATTCCCACTGGCAGTGTATGAGTGTTCTAATTTCTCTACATCCTCACCAACACTTGTTATTTTGTCTTTTTTATTATAACTATTCTAGAGTGGTAAGTGGTATCTCATTATGGTTTTGATTTGTATTTCCCTGGCGGCTGATCATGTTAAAATCCTTTCATGTGCTTATCAGCCATTTGTATACACTCTTTAGGGAAATGTCTATCCAGATTCTTTGCCCATTAAAAAATTTGGGTTCTCTCTCTCTTTTTTTTTTTTTTTGAGACAGAGTCTCGCTCTGTCGCCCAGGCTGGAGTGCAGAGGCGCAATCTCGGCTCACTGCAAGCTCCGCCTCCTGGGTTCACGCCATTCTCCTGCCTCAGCTTCCCGAGTAGCAGGGACCATAGGCGCCCGCCACCACGCCCGACTAATTTTTTGTATTTTTAGTAGAGATGGGGTTTCACCATGTTAGCCAGGATGGTCTCAATCTCCTGACCTCGTGATCCACCTACCTTGGCCTCCCAAAGTGCTGAGATTACAGGCGTGAGCCACCACGCCTGGCTGGTTCTCTTTGTTTTAATTGTCGAATAGTAAGAGTTCTTTATATATTTTGAATACTAGAACCTTATCAGATATAGAATTTGCAAATATTTTCTCCCATTCTGTAGGCTGTTTTTTCACTTTCTTGGTCTTGTCTTTCGAAGCACAAAAGTTTTAAAATTGGATGATAGCCAGCTTCTTTTTCTTTCTTTCTCTTTCTTTCTTTCTTTCTTTCTTTCTTTGTTTCTTTCTTTCTCTTTCTTTCTTTCTTTCTTTCTTTCTTTCTTTCTTTCTTTCTTTCTCTCTCTCTCTCTCTCTTTTTTCTTTTCTTTTCTTTCTTCTTTTTTTGAGACAGTCTTACTCTGTCACCCAGGCTGGAGTACAGTGGCACAGTCTCAGTCACCGCAACCTCCACCTTCCAGGTTCAAGCAATTCTCCTGCCTCATCCTCCCAAGTAGCTTGGATTACAGGTGTGCGCCCCCACGCCTGGCTAATTTTGTATTTTTAGTAGAGACAGGGTTTCTCCATGTTGGTCAAGCTGGTCTTAAACTCCTGACCTGAGGTGATCCGCTTGCCTCGACCTCCCAAAGTGCTGGGATTACAGGCATGAGCCACTGTGCCTGGCCCACTTATTTTTCTTCTAAGTTTCTGCTTAAAGCCCTGACGTTTAGGTATTCGATTCATCTTGAGTTAACTTTTGCATACAGTGTAAGGTAGAGGTCCAATTTCATTGTTTTGCGATTGGCTATCCAGTTGTTCCAGTCACCCAGGCTGGTGCAGATCGTGCAGTGGCACGATCTCAGCTCACTCTCCGCCTCCCAGGTTCAAGCAGTTCTCCTGCCTTGGCATCCCAAGTAGCTGGGACTACAGGTGCGTGTCACCATGACCGGCTAATTTTTGTATTTTCAGTAGAGACGGAGTTTCACCATGCTGGCCAGGCTGGTCAAACTCCTGATCTCAGGTGATCTACCTGCCTCGGCCTCCCAAAGTGCTGGGATTACAGGCATGAGCCACTGTGCCTGGCTTTTTTTTTTTTTTTTTTCTGAGATGGAATCTTGCTCTGTCTCCCAGTCTGGAGTGCAATGGCTCGATCTCACCTCGCTGCAACCTCTGCCTCCCGGGTTCAAGCAATTCTCCTGCCTTAGCCTCCCAAGTAGCTGGGATTACTGGTGCCCACCAATACGCCTGGCTAATTTTTGTATTTTAAGTAGAGACAGGGTTTTGCCATGTTGGCCGGGTTGGTTTCGAACTCCTGACCTCAGGTGATCCATCTGCCTCAGTCTCCCAAAGTGCTGGGATTACAGGTGTGAGCCACGGCGCCTGGCTTTTTTTTTTTTTTTTTTTTTTTTTTTTTTTTTTTTTTTTTGAGATGAGTCTTGCTATGTTGCCCACGCTGGCCTTGAACTTTTGGGCTCAAGTGATCCTTCCAAGGAGCTAGGATTACAGGTGAACACCACTGTGCCTGGCTCAGACAGTCTTGATTACTGTAGTTTTATAGTAAGTTTTCAAATTGAAAAGAGTGAGTCCTCCAACTTTAGACTTCTTTTTAGATTGTTACGGCTATTCGTGTTGCCTTGCAAATCCATATGAATTTTAGGATCAGCTTGTTTATTTCTGCAAAAAAGGCTGTTGGAATTTTGATAGGTATTTTATTGACACTATAGATCAACTTTGGGAGTATTGCTATCTTAACAGTATTAAGTCTTCCACTTCATAAGCTTGGGATTGTCTTTTTATTTATTTAGATCTTTTTAAATTTCTTCCAACAATGTTTTGTAGTTTCAGTTTATAGTCTTGCACTTCTTTTGTTAAATTTATTCCTAAATATTTATTCTTCTTGAAGATACTGTAAATGGAATTATTTGCTTAATTTTATTTTAAGATTGTTTATTGATAATGTATAGGAAAACAATTTATTTTTGTATTTGATCCTGCACCCTGCATACTTGTTGAACCTGTTTACTACTTCTAACAGGTTTTTGGTGGAGTCCTCAGAATCATCTATATATAAGATCATGTCATATGCAAATAGAGATAGTTTTACTTCTTCCTTTCTAATATGAATGACTTTTATTTCTTTTTCTTGCCTAATTGCTCTGGCTAGAGTTCCAGTAATTGATGAATAGAAGTGGCAAGAGTAGACATTCTTGTCTTGTTATTGATTGTAGGGGAAAAATAATTTGTTCTTTTATAATCATGTTAGCTGTGGGTTTCTTGTAGATGCCCTTTCTCAAGTGGAGAAAGCTTCTATTACTAAATTGTTGAGTGGTTTTTCTCATGAAAGGGTGCTAGATTTTGTTAAGTGCTTTTTCTGCATCTGTTAAATTGGCCAGTTGGTTTGTTTTTCCTTTTTCTACTAATATGGTATATTACCTTGATTGCTTATCATATGTCAAAACTGGAATACTCTTCTAATACCCCCTTTTTTTTTTCAAAAAGGATAAGTGGTGATTTACTTTCTGAATGCTTATAAATATAAAATTTCTTCCAATCACCTTATAGATTATATTAAGCTTGTCCAACCCACGGCCCAGGATAGTTTTGAATGCAGTCCAGCACAAATTCACAAATTCATAAACTGTCTTAAAACATTATGAGGTTTTTGTTGTTGTTGTTGTTATTGTTGTTTTTAAGACGGAGTCTCGCTCTGTCACCCCGGCTGGAGTGCAGTGGCACGATCTCGGCTCACTGCGACCTCTGCCTCCCACGTTGAAGTGATTCACCTGTCTCAGCCTCCTGAGTAGCTGGGACTACAGGCATGTGCCACCATGCCCAGCTAAATTTTTTTTGTATTTTTAGTAGAGACGGAATTTCACCATATTGGCCAGGCTGGTCTCGAACTCCTGACCTCATGTTCCGCCCACCTCGGCCAAAGTGCTGGGATTACTGGCATGAGCCACTGCGCCCGGCCATGGGATTTTTTTTTTTTTATGATTTTTTTTTTCAGCTCATCAGCTGTCAGTAATATTAGTGTATTTTATGTGTGGCCCAACGCAATTTTTCTTCTTCCAGTGTGGCCCAGGGAAGCCAAAAGATTGGACACCCCTGGATTATATCTTGCCTGGACACAAGATTCTTGGAATGCAGTCCTTTTTTCTTAAAAGTTTATATACTTATTCTAGGTTCCAGTGTGGCATATGAAAGGTCCGATGCCAGTTGTCATTATTTTGCTTTTATAAGTAAATATCCTGTTCTTGCTGTCTTGAAGCCTAAAAGACTTGTTCTTTCTAGTTGGAGTTTAAAACTTCACCATAAAAATGTGAAGAATGTGTCTTTTATTTCCCTTATAACTGCCTGGCATTCGGTGAGCTCCTTTGATCTAAAAAACTCAATTCTTTCTTCACTTCAGGGTTTTCCTATTTGATTATTGCTTCTGCTCTTTTCTCTCTTGCTGGAAATGCTATTTGCTTATTAGGCCTCCTGAATCTGTCCTGTATGCCTGTTATATTTTCACCACTGATTGACATTTCATTATTTCTGCTTTGTGATGTGATAGTTCCTTTGCTTCATATTCCAGTTTACTAGTTTGGTTTTTAATACCAGCCATTCATTTTACATCCTTTTGGAACTTAAGCCCCAGAGTTCATGTTTCTCATAGGCACCTTCTCCTTGAGTTTTCGTAGTTATTCTCCTTGTGTATCCCCTTAAACATTCTTATTACATTTTTATTGTTTCTTCCATTAATTTGGCTTTTGTAAAAGTTGCCTATCTCTCCATTCTGGTTTCCCTCCTTTGAATTGCTAAGTCCCTTAAATGTCTACAAAGTTTCTTTGCTTTGTTAGGTCAGGGAGTATGTATTCTCAAGCACCTGCATAGGCATGGTGGGTAAAGTCTGTGAGGCCATGGTGGATATTGCCAGTAACCCATGGGAGCTGGTCTAAAAAATTCTGAGACAGCATCTGGGCCTAGAGAGGGAACCACCAGAAAAAGCAGTCAGCATCTGAGATGATGCCCGGAGAGAAGCAGATAGACCATCTGCAAGGAAGAGAAGGCTTGGTTTCTTAGAGGGTGACCTACTGTTTTCTGTTCTTGTCCTTGGTTTCTCACAAAACCTTTGCATATCCTCTTATGACATCAGTATACATTCTCCTCTCCCCGCCTACTCCTATTATACATCTACCCTTCACCTCTTTGAGATGGCTTGAGTTGATCTGTCTTCCCAGATGAGGCAGCAGTCACATCCTGTTGCTGTGAGGTATTTTCAGCTCTTCCACAAAGGGCCTAGATGGTAAAGACCCATCTCTTCAAAATTCTTTCTATAGTGACTTAGATTTACCTTCCCAAGTATCTCCTTTTTACCAATGTCTTCCAAATATTTTCATTCCTTTATAAATCCCTTTTCTGAAATACTCCTCCCCTCTACCCCTCTGAAGTTCAACTTTCTTCTCAGAGCCTTTAGTCTACACAGATTTACCAGAGTGTTTGCATAATTGGGTCAGGATATTCATCTGCAGCTAATTTTGCACTTTTAATGTGATACAAGCTTTGGTTTAGGGTTAATTTGTATCAATAATTATGAATAATGTACTTATCAAACATAAATTCCTTTTTTGAGTGTATATATTTCCTGGATATTTATGGCCATGTTCTCTTTAATAATTCCTATATTTATCATTCTAATTTACTTCTATTGCCTAGTCCAAGGATCATTCTGCCTAGTACTGATTCTGCCTAGTACTGATGCATTCTTTTGAGAAGGAATAAAGTTACTGCATTATTTTAATGTAAGCTTGCTTTTTGATGGGGCATGCACACTGCCTCCTCACCCTCTTATACCTGAAACTTTCCATATTTTTGTTAATTCCCCTGTCCTTGAAGACATTTGGATTTTAAGTTTGGGGCCTTGGGCTCAGTATATCGTTGTAATTTATTTGTTTGCAAATAATTTTCTTAAATATTCATAATGAATGACATTGTGCATTAGAGGCAGATACCATGAATTGTAATTTAGATCTGTTATTTACCACCATTGCTGGTCGTGCTTGGAAAACTACTTTGAATTATTCTCCTATCCACTTAAAATTTATTTTCAAGTCCTGTGATTCTAAAATGCTTTTATTCAGATTATGTTATCATATGTTCTTGTTTAATTAGGTTGCCTGTCACTTTGCTAAAGGTCTAATTAGAAACGATATCTCTATTGTGTTTGATTCAGAATGAATGTACTAAAAGGCACTTTGAAAATAAGATAATGTCCTCGATGATGATATCCTTTATTTATGCCAGGTGCCTATTAGTATTTTGTAAACTCTCCATTTCACTTTAGCTCAATCTAATCCTCTTTGTGATTTTTTTCCATAATTGTAGAGTAAATAAAATTCACCTACTGGCTCCAAAATGTAATTTAGAAATGCAAACTAAATGTTCCCCTGTAGGGGGTGCAATCTGTTTTAAACTCTCAATATGTGTAATGAAAGCTATAAACCATAGAGGGAACTTTCGTGGGTTCCATCCATATTGTTCGGGGCAGGCTTTTTGAGTGATTTGAAAACTTTGTAAATTTGATGGTAGCCAATGTTTTTCTCAAGTTATAAAATTTACATAATATTAGGATGAATGCAGTACATTTATTTTTTTGTTATGATTTGGGGCATTGTATTAGAGTTCTCTAGAGAAGCAGAACCAATTGTGTGTGTGTGTATATGTGTGCATGTACATGTATATATATGTATATATGTAGAGGGAAAGTATGTGTCTGTATATATGTTTATATAGATATCTATATATAGATATATAGGTATATATATGCCTATATCTCAAGTTATTATATGTACATATATACAACATGTATATGTGTGTGTGTGTGTGTGTGTGTGTGTGTGTGTATAAAGAGAATGTGAGGAAATGGCTCATGCAATTATGATGGTGGGCAAGTTGGAATTTGTAGGGAAGGCTGGCAGGCTAGAAATTCAAGTAAGAGTTGATATTGTAGTCTTGATTCTGAAGCCTGGAAATGGTTAGAACTTCTATGTTGTAGTCTGGAGGCAGAATTTCCTCTCTCAGAAGCCTCAGTCTTTGTTCTTTAAGTTCTTCAATTGGTTGGGTGACACCCACCCACATTATGGAGGGTAATTTGCTTTACTTAAATTCAACTGATTGTAAATGTTAATCATATCTACAAAATACTTTTACAGCAACTTCTAGACTAAAATTTGACCAAACAATTAAGCACCATAGTCTAGCCAAGTTGACACATAAAATGTAACATCACAGGCCTCTTGCATATGTTATTGTCAGTAAGCCAAATTAAAGATAATGGTAGCTAGCATTTTTACTAACTTGGATTCAATATTTAGTGCAACTCTGCAGTAATAAAGATGTGAATTATACTGTAGCACTCCAAAATTGAGTGAATAGGACATGAAACAAAAGCCATGAACCATGATTCTTATCAGTTTGGATTTTTTCCAGAACATTTTTTGAGTCGGTCTTCTGCAATGGTATTGTTCTAGTTTGTTCTTTGAAACTCAGCTTTCAAGTTCTGTGTGTGCATTCAATATTGGGCAATTTTGAACGCATACTTAGAAGAGCGGCCAAAATGTAGATTAGAGAGAGAAGGTCAAACAACTTCTCATCCTGTGCAATTTCTGCAATCCTAAGCCTGTTATAACACAGAGTGTTCCAGGACCTCCCACAGATCCATGAAATGTATTCTCTGGGTTATGGTCTGCATGTGATTTGCTGTTCCTTGATGTCAAGCTTGCTGTTCATCTGACCCTCAAGATCCAGTCAGAGTCTTCAGTCACACTCACCCTCTAATTTTTTTGTATGTGTGTCACCAAGTTTTTGTCTTCTGTAATTCAGTTCACACTAAAAAAAAAAAAACTTTTTATTTCCCCCCTATATCCCTAAAGTGGTTCTTCCTCTTTCCCTCCCCTCTTCTTCCCTCTGTCTCTCTGATTTCTCAGTTTGATCCTGATGTGAATAACATACTACCCTTAGTCTTACATTTCTAATTTTTACTTTCTGTGGGAAACTTCCATCTATGTTTTTCTTTTTTCTTTTTTAAATCCTTAGCATAGTAAATGGAGGTTTGTTGTGTGGGTGTGGGAGCCGGGGGTGCAGGGGGTGGGATGTTTCTTTTTAATTGTTAGAGCTTGATCTCTACATGACTTTCCATTAGCTTGGAATCATGTGACTCCCAGGGTTGGGCAGGAAATTAGCTTTTGTCCAGAAGAGCAGGATACAACAAAAATTATTTTCTTAGCTCCAAAGGCCTCTTTGCTGCAGAAGCCCAAATTGAAAGAGTGGCTTAGTGATTCACTTAAGTCATTAGACAGCCTGCTGATAAGAATTAGTTTAGATTTTGAAAAAAAAGGGAGACTTTTTTTTTTCAGGGCTAAGTATAGGTCTCAGTTATAGAGAAAAGTAAGAGGAAAAATTGTCATATGCATACAGTATTACATAATATTCTATGTCATAAATCAAATTTTATGGGAGTAGGCATTTGTTGCATTGTGTCCTCATACCCAATTGTGTGATTGTGTGTGTGTGTGCATATATGTTCATTGAGGCAATTTGTAATAGAAAGTTTATTGGATTTTACTTTGATTTCTCCTTTATTAAAGTATTGAGGAAATGACAAAAACAATTCTTTGCTTTTACTTTTTTTTTTTGGCAAGCTCCACTTTTAAAACTGTTTATTTTTACAGATGTATTTCATCAGTTCTTAAGAATGAAGCTAGGAATGTTTGCTGGCTTCTCAGTTAGTACCACCCAGAAACTGAAAAAAATCTGTTTTCTTAAAATATGACATTGGGGGGAAGTAGAGAAACTTTTCATTTTTGTGACCTATTGGATTTAAAAAAATATATTTAAATAATGCATTTTTAATATTGCTGTTTAATGTACTGCTTATCTTAATTCCATATTGCTTTCTGACTCTTGGTTGTTGTACTTATTATTTTATAGTTAATAATTGTAATGGAAGGGGGATAAAAGTTCATGTTTTATTTTCTCTGGAAAATTTGAATACCCTGTCCATCCTAGAATTGTTTCTTATTCAGAGAGCCTCCTCCAGGTAAGTCTCCAAGAATTTTGACACTTAATAATCAAGTGTGACTCTCTGATCAGTCAACAAGTACACTTCTTATAAGGTATGTCTTAAAATAACAATATTAAGACATTGTTTGGACTCATTTTCTTTGGACCAGACTAGAATAAGCTGAGTGAGAAAATGACCTGGAATGGTTCATTCCTTCATTTCGCAAACATTTATTACGCTTCTCAGTTGTAACAGGTGTTGGCACCGTCCTATCTCTTCAGAAACTGACAGTTCAGTTTGAGACAAAAAATGAAAGCATTTACAATTCAGTATAGAGACTGTTAAAAAAGGGGTTCCTTTTCCTGATTGCATCCCACCATTTCTGGCCATCTTCACTCTATTCCTGCCATGTTGAGCTTTGAAGTTGAGGAATAAAGCAGAAGCAAGGATGGAAAAAAACTTACTTTGCAATCAATAAATAAAATTTAAATCAAGGCCGGCGCAGTGGCTCACACCTGTAATCCCAGCACTGTGGGAGGCTGAGGCTGGCGGATCGCTTGAGGCCAGGAGTTCAAGACCAGCCTGGCCAACATGGCGAAACCCCGTCTCTACTAAAAATACAAAAATTAGCTGGGCATGGTGGCGGGCACTTGTAATCCCAGATATTCCGGAGGCTGAGGCAGGAGAATTGCTTGAACCTGGGAGGCAAAGGTTGCAGTGAGCTGAGATTGCGCCCCTGTACTCCAGCCTGGGTGACAAGAATGAGACTGTGTCTCAAAAAAAAAAAAAAAAAAAAAAAAAAATTAACAGAGAACCATGGTACTACATTCCTTTTCTCTTAAATCCTTGATAAAACTAATGTATATCATAAAGCAGAGTTCCCCAAGTTGAGAAATAGATCCCATCCTCTTTTAGAAAAATAAAATCCCTGGACTTCCAATGTTGACTGAAATTGCTTTTATTATGTTACTTACATTACTTATATTGTTTATTACATTACTTAATATATACAAACATATAATTTTTGTGCTTATAACTCTATACAAATAAAACTAAAACAATAAATATAAATAGAATTACAAAACCATTACATTCAAATGAGCGGTGTTATAATTCACTTCCAATATGTTTTAGTGGGATGGGTGACTCTGCTTTGTTGAAATAGTTGTTGATTTAGGGGATTATAGTAGAAAGATGTTGCCACAAGTCTAGTTCTATGGTTCATCTGTTTCTGTATTTGAATTTTGATAATACATATCTAACAAATACCTATTTGCACAAGTATTGTAAGTACTTATGAGTATTGTTTATTCAAAACAGTATTAATAATTTTCAGTCTCTAATTGGAAATTAGGCTCATTAAGTCTTTTTTTTTCAGTAAAACTCTGCCAGTGAATAGTCTTGGAATAGCAGATTAAAGATGTATCACTTGGTAACTCTTTAAAGCTCCATTACTTGAGAGTAAAGTTAGCCTGATTGACATCTTCATTAAATAGGCATCTGATGCAATTGCTGCTAGGCCCAGGAATAGAAAAAAAATTTTTTTGCATACTTATGACCATACTTATTTCCAATAAATTGATATGAGTTGGTATAAGCAAAGATGGCACTGGTCTCTTTCACCTCTCTGCTTATTTGGACCATAGGGCCTTCCTTCTGGCCGTACAGATTTCCCTGAAGTCAACTGATGTAAACTCAATTGTACATACAAACGACTGCACAAAGATCTCATGAAGTACTCAGTTGCATGGGGTCATCTGAAAGACGCAGACTATCTTTAAATTTCTTTTTATAGATTATCATAAAAATTAAAACAGAAATATTTTTTAAAACATCAATAATTTGAAGACCTTTAATAATAGATTCATAAATTTTTGTTTTAGAAATACTGTTAGAGTTTCCTGATGGCAAAAAATGAATAAATACTTTGGGCTCCAAAACCAAATTTCTATGCATTTAAACATGCAAATAGTTTTTCAATTCTAAAGCCACTTAAAGTATAGCATTACAGTGATATTTAACTAATATGAAATATGCATTTTATGTAAGTTTGATGTGTGTTTTATTTTAAGAGAAAAACCTAACTGCTGTTAGTTCTTGCTCTGCTAATCCCATCTACTTGGTATCCTGATCTACCTAGTTTGGTTTAAAGTATGATTGGGAAGCTCAGCTTTGGTGTCTTTTATATCCAGTCCTGGCTATGGTTAGTGTTGTCAGTTCTATGTTTGAGCATATAATTTTTATTTTATTTTACTTTGGAAACTATGATGTTCAAATCTTCATGTATTACTGGTTATATTTAATTTGAATATTTCAATATTAGAAGAAGTGATTTGTTTACCAAACTCTAGACTCACCAGTGTTTCAAATATCTAAATGATGTCTACCATTTCTTTGTCTATGTATTGCATTACAGTGCAACTTTAAGGCTCATTATTTCATCTTTAATTGACCAGCAGGGTAAGACATAATCAGTGCTTGAAAGTGCAAATAGAGCAAACTTGTATGCTTCATGATGCCAGGAACTCTGCTTTCTTTCTGTCTCTCTCTCTCTCTCTTTTTTTCTGACTTATTTCTAGCTAATTTATTTCGGGCAGGATTTCAACCAGGGGCTGATTGTAAGCTCCACTCACTGCCTGCCATAGTGCTTGGCACATAGTAGGTGTTCACTGTAGATGAATGAAGGGATAAACAAATGAAGAATGAATGACTGGTATACTAGTAGTGGTGATGGCGTGGCAGTGTTAGTTTTTTAGCAGAGGCAAATTTTGGATTTTTTTTAAAAATCTGAAGCTGGAGAGTTTTATCTCACTGATCTTCATATTGCCCAAGCTTTTATTTATTTTGGGGGATGCAAAGTCTTTTAGAAAATTTGCTAATTTCATTGACTAATACACACAGGGTGAGGATGATCTTTGGAAAATCAAGTGGATGGATTGCCTTTCACATTGTAGTAAATAATTGTCATAGATTACATATCAAATTGCACATAGAATTTCTGCTTTTCAATTTTAATTTGAGTTCACCTGTCATCCTGGGACCTCAGCTGTAATCTCCTTTTCCCTGCACGGCTGACTGAGAATGCATTTCCTTGTGCTTTACTAGGACTGGAAAAACCCAGTTATGATCATCTTAGTAGTGGTCTGTCTTCCAGGCTTTATTATCTGCTTCCCAACTCTCAGCATCAAAACAGGAGTTACCATATCCAATGAATACAAAGAAAATGGCTTAATTTCTGACACATAGCTTATTGAATGTGACCCAGGCAGCAAGGATGTGGTACAGAGGAGCTAATATGCATTCCTCATTAGTCAGCTCACCCATGTGGTCAGCAGATTCCTTTTCTAAAGTAGTTGTGTAATCTGCAGCAGCACAGTAGCCAAACACAGTTGATAAATTACGTTTATTTCATTTTGACAAAAAGAGTAAATATATTCTTGTACAAAAATATTCAAAAAGTTTAATGTAAAGAAGTAAATTTAAATCACCTGTAATCTCACCATCTAGAAATACACTCATTTAAATAGAAGCTGCCACTTTACTTTTTTTTTTTTTTTAAATGTCATGGCTGTTTTTTCTCCAACTTTTATTTTAGGTTCAGGGGATACATGTGCAGATTTGTTACATGGGTAAATTGCATGTCACAGTTGTTTGGTGTACACATTATTTCATTACTCAACTAATGAGCCTAGTACCTGATAGTTTTTCGATGGTCACCCTCCTCCCACCCTCCACCCTCAAGTGGTCGCTAGTGTCTGTTGTTCCCTTCTTTGTGTCCATGTGTACCCAGTGTTTAGCTCCCATTTTTAAGAGAGAACATTGGTATTTGGTTTTCTGTTTCTGCATTAATTCGCTTAGCATAATGGCCTCCAGTTCTATCCATGTTGCTGCAAAGGACATGATTTCACTCTTTTTTGTGGCTGTGTAGTATTCCATGGTGTATATGTACCACATTTTCTTTATCCATTCCACCATTAATGGGCATCTAGATGGATTCCATGTCTTTGCTCTTATGAATAGTACTGTGATAAACATATACGTGCACGTGTCTTTATGGTAGAATGATTTATATTCCTTTGGGTATAGACCCAGTAATGAGATTTCTGGGTCAAATAGCAGTTCTGTTTTAAGTTCTTTGAGAAATCTCCAAACTGCTTTCTAATTTATTCCCACCAGCAGTGTATAAGCATTCCCTTTTCTCTGCAACCTCGCCAGCATCTGTTATTTTTTGACTTTTTAATAGTAGCCATTCTGACTGGTATGAGGTGGTATCTCATTGTGGTTTTGATATGCATTTCTCTAATGATTAGTGATGTTGAGCATTTTTTCATGTGCTGTTGGCTCTGTGTATGCGTTCATTTGAGAACTATCTGTTGATGTCCTTTGCCCCCCACCCCACACCCCCTACTTTTTTTTGAGACAGGATATCACTCTATTGCCCAGGCAGGCTGGAGTGCAGTGGCATGAACGCTGCTCACTATAGCCTCAACCTCCCGGGCCCAAGCGATCCTCCTGCCTCAGCCTCCCAAGTAGCTAAGACCACAGGGGCATGCCACCACACCTGGTTATTTTTTTATTTTTATTTTTTTGTAGCGACAAGATCTCCCTGGTCTTGAACTCCTGGACTCAAGCAGTTCTACCACCTCAGCCTCCTGAAGTGCTGGGATTACAGGCATGAGCGCCCATGCCTAGCCATCTTTGCCCATTTTTTTAATGGGGTTGTTTGGTTTTTGCTTGTTAATTCGTTTAAGTTCCTTATAGATTCTGGATATTCGAGCTTTGTTGGATGCATAATTTGCAAATATTTTCTTCCATTCCATAGGTTGTCTGTTTACTCTGCTGATAGTTTATTTTGCTGTGCAGAAGCTCCTTAATTTAATTAGGTCCTACTTGTCAATTTTTGTTTTTGTTGCAATTGCTTTTGGAGTCTTTGTCATGAAATCTTTGCCAGGGCCTACGTCTAGAATCTCATTTCCCAGGTTTTCTTCTAGGGTTTTTATAGTTATACATTTCACGTTTAAGTCTTTAATCCATCTTGTGTTGCTTTTTTATATGGTGAAAGGAAGGAGTCCAGTTTCAATCTTCTGCATATGGCTAGCCAGTTATCTCAGCACCACTTATCGAATAGGGAGTCCTTTTCCCATTGCTTGTTATTGTCAACTTTGTCAAAGATCAGATGGCTGAACATGTGTGGCTTTATTTCTGGGTTCTCTAATCTGTTTCATTGGTCTATGTGTCTGTTTTTGTACCAGTATAGCACACTTTTGGTTACTGTAGCCTTGTAGTGTAGCTTGAAGTCAGGCAGTGTGATGTCTCTGGATTTGCTTTTTCTGTTTTTGTTTTCTGCTTAGGATTGCTTTGGCTATTCAAACATTTTGGTTCCATATGAATTTTAGAAGAGTTTTTTCTAATTCTGTGAAAAATGTCATTGGTAGTTTGATAGGAATGGCATCAAATCTGCAAATTGCTTAGGACAGTATGGCCATCTTAACAATATTGATTCTTCCTATCTGTGAGCATGGAATGTTTTTCCATTTGTTTGTATCATATCTGATGTTTTTCAGCAGTGTTTTGTAATTCTTGTTGTAGAGATCTTTCACCTTCCTAGTTAGCTATATTACTAGGTATTTTATTCTTTTTGTGGCTACTATGAATAGAACTGCAATTTTGGTTTGGCTCTCAGCTTGGATGTTACTGACACATAGAAATGCTACTGATTTTTGTATATTGATTTTGTATCCTGAAACTTCGAAGTTGTTTATCAGATCTAGGAACCTTTGGGCAGAGACTTTGGGGTTTTCTACGTATAGAATTACATTGTCTGCTAAGAGAGAAAGTTTGACTTCCTCTCCTCCTGTTTGGAATCCTTTTATTTCTTTTTCTTGCCTAATTGCTCTGGCTAGGACTTCTAGTACTATGTTGAATAGGAATGGTGAGAGAGGGCATCCTTGTCTTGTGCCAGTCTTCAAGGAGAATGCTTCCAGCTTTTGCCTATTGAGTATGATGTTGGCTGTGGGTTTGTTATAGATGGCTCTTATTATTTTGAAGTATGTTCCTTTGATGCCTGGTTTGTTGAGTGTCTTGGTTATTTTATCAAAAGAACTTAAAAATACATTTTATTTATTACCCAAGTAATACATGTTTACTTTTAGAAAAATCAGAAGATATAGATTAAATCAAAAGAAAAATACTTACTATGATACCATGATACCATCTTGTAGATAGCTGCTATTGTGGTTTGGGCATATATTCTTCCAGACTTGTAACTTCACAATAAATTGTGTAAATTTATAACAAGGTATATAATTTCTTATAAAACTGGAAGCATACTATGCATAGTTAGGTGTAATCATTTTTCTGACTCTCTTTCCATGTCAGTAAATATATTTCCCTGTAATCATTACTAATGGCTGCAAGACATTCCATTGTATTTATGTATAAAATAAATAAATGTATTTAATAAAGCTTATACTGATGAAAATTAGGTCATTTAAAAACTGTCTTTATATGGAGTTTGTGCCAAAAAACACAAACATTTTACATTTACATTTACATTTCTGTGAGTCCAATCTGTCAGTCTTGTTATGGTTTCTGCATTTGGGATCAGGCTGAGGAATTCCTCCCTGATACAAATATTTTTAAATTATTCAGCTCTGTTTTCATCTGTTTTAACACTAAAGACTTTAGCCAATGTAGAATTTTTCTTATGTGTTATGAGCCAGGAATCTAACTTTAATTTTTTCTAAAAAACTTTGTTAAATAATTCATCCCCCTGCTAATTTAAGATGCTGGTTTTGTCACAAGCAATAATCCATATAAATAATTAGGTCTGTCCCTAAACTTTTATATTTAGTTCTATGATCTATTTCTGTGCCAGATTTATACTGTTTTGATTATCGAGGGTTTATAATATGCTTCAGTTGATGTCTGGTTGAGCAAAACCCCTCTTTTTCTCAAAGTTTTTTGGCTTGTCTAACAGCTGATCATCTTCCAGATATGTCTAGAATAATTTGTCAAATTATACAAATATTTTACAACTTGACATTTTATTGGAATTATATTAAATATGAAGATTAATTTGGGGAGAGTGACATATTTATAATATTGTCCCATCAAATAATATAAAATATATCTCTATTGATGAATCTTTTTTTTTTAACTCCTAATCACGTTTACATTTTTTTTTTTTTGAGACAGAGTATCGCTATGTCACCTAGGCTGGAACGCAGTGGCGCAGTCTCAGCTCACTGCAACTTCAGCCTCCTGAGTTCAAGCGATTTTCATGCCTCAGTCTCCTGAGTAGCTGGGACTACAGACACACACCACCACACCTGGCTAATTTTTGTATTTTGGTAGAGATGGGGTTTTACCATGTTGGCCAGGCTAGTCTCAAACTCTTGGCCTCAAGTGATCCACCCGCCTTGGCCTTCCAAAGTGCTGGAATTACAAGCGTGAGCTACTGCACTGAGGTCTAATCACATTTTTAGCTTGTCATATAGCTACTGCACATTCTTGTTAAGTTTATTTTACAATATCTTATTCTTTGTTTCTATTGTAAGTGGAAGCCCTTTCTCACTTGCTCTGATGATTACTAGTGCAAATATATGTGAATCTGATTATATTTGTTTCATATCATACTTGTAAATCATTTATTTGTTCTAATATATTTTTATTTTATTTCCTTAGGTTTCCCGTAGAAACAGTAATTCCATTCTTTAGATCTCATTTTCCTTTCTTGACCCATTGCATAGATTCAAACCTGGTCTAGAAAAGTGCTGAAAAACTGTGGTGATATCAGGGCTTCCTTTCCTTATTCCCAACTTCAGAGAGGCTTTAGGTCATCACTGTCCAATAGAACTTTCTGTAATTACAGGAGTATTCTCCCAATGTCTAATACTTGTGGCCACTGAGCACTTGAACTGTGGCTGATGATACTGAAAAAATTAATTATTTTATTCAAGTAAAATAATATTATTTTGGACAGCACAGCTCTAGGTTTTTTGTTTGTTTGTTTGTTTTGAGACAGGGTCTTGCTCTGTCACCCAGGCTGGAGTTCAGTGGTGCAATCACAGCTCACTGTGGCCTCTACCTCCTGGGCTCAAGCGACTTTCCTACCTTAGCCTCCCGAGTAGCTAGGACCACAGGTGCACACCACTGTCCCTGGCTATTTTTTTTTTGTATTTTTTTGGTATAGATGGGGTTTCACCGTGTTGCCCAGGTTGGTCTTGAATTCCTGAGCTCAAGCGATCCCCCTGCCTCGGCTTCCCAAAGTACTGAGATTACAGGCGTGAGCCTGTATGTGCCTGGCCAGAGTTTCACTATTAATTATTTATTTCAGATGAATCTTTAACATGATAAAGTCAGCTTGGGGAAAAGATCATGGGTTAAAAAAAAGTAAGAGTATTACGTAGATAATTGTCAAACACATGCCTTTAGCAGGATGTGAAAGGGAGTAGAGAATAGCATGATAACTGGAGTGAGATGAGGGTTGAAAAAAGCTAGTTTTTTGTCTGCTTTGTTAAGATTAAGTATGGCTCCACATCCAACTCTTTATTTATCTTCCCCAAATATACCATCTCACTGTATTACCTTCTGGTAATATTGCTACCATTATGCTACTCCAAAACCTTGTTACCACTTTTTGAGTTCTCTTTCTCCCTTGTCCCCTAATAATGCAAACTCTCCCTCATTCTACCCCCATTCCCACAACCTGTATCTCACCCAGTTTTCAAGTTCCTTCACAAGTGTACCTTCTGCATGAAAAAACTTGTTCTTGATCTCCTCAGTGAAAAGTAGTCTTGTTCTTCATTAAAGGTAGAATTAATTTGTGTCTTTTTTATACCACTTAGTCCTGCACATTGTCTTCTTCCTATTTGTTAACATATCTATGAGACTGTACACTCTGAGGATCTCATCCTTGACTCCTTGACTGATTGACCTTTCTATCCTTGTTGGTCCCTCTGCTGGTGTGCTACATATATATTGTATACCTGTGCTTAGTAAATATTTCTTACATGAATCACAATTCAACTTGTATTAATCATTTATGTCTTGTATTCAATTGACAGCTTCTGGAGAACAGGGATCATATGTATTTATTTTTGTATCTTCTGTGTTACAGCATGATACTAAACATTGAAGAGTTGTTTGGTAATTATTTTAAAATTTTTATTCATAAAAGTCGTGTTAAGATGTTTTATTTAGGATTGCATTTTGCTTCATTTGGTGGAAATCCAATTAAAGTAACATAACCAAACAGGAAGGTTTTTGTGTTTTTTTCCTTTCAAATAACAAGAAGCCTAGAGGTAGTCAGTCTAGGGGTGGTATAGTGGTACTAGGTTCTCATCAGTGTCCCCAGTTTTTCTGTCCTTAACATGTAGCTTTTGTCCTTGAGATCACATGAGGCTTTTCCACCTCCAGGCATCCATATTTATGTTGTTTCTGTCCCTTTCTATTAGGAAAACAGTAGCTTTTCTGGAGGTCTCTACAAATAAACTTCTGCTCTTATCTCTTTAGTCAGAACTAGGGTCAAACGGGCATCTTCCAGGGAGTTTTGAAAGGTATTATTAACTGGGTGCTTTCCATCCACATTAAATTGGGATTTTTTTTTGGAAGGAAGAAAGAAAAAATAAATCTTGGATGGGAAATCTAGAGTCTATATCTTGGATATGGAATTTATACTTAAAGCCATTAGGATCTACAAGGGCATGATATGATACATGTGAAGATTTCAACAAATCAAGACAATTTTGTAATAAATTCCATATGCACAGCTGGACAGTAAGTGCTATCAAAGATTAGAGGTAGATGAGCTCCCTGAAAGATGGAGTTGACTAGAAAATCTTCAGTGTAAGAGGTGGGACTTGAGCAGACCCTTAAGAGATAGGTCAAATATTATACAGAGGCATTGAGTGCTTGTTTTGCAAGTGAGAAGCACTTTTTTTTTGTTTTTGAATCATTAGACCAGCTTAGCAAAAATTAATGCACTCATATTATAGGGCAATAGAAAATAAGATTGGAAAATAAGTTGAGACAACATAATGGAGGTCTTTGAATGCCACCGTGAAGAGTTTGGGTTTGAGGTTGTTCAAACAAGCAAATCTAATGCAGGTTTCTGAAAAGAGGAATAATATGAGGGAGTGGAATAGAAATGACATATATTAAAGTTTAAAAGAATCATTCACAGATTAGTTCATTCGAATTAATTAATCACTAATGTTATATCTCCTACCCTGTAGTTAAGTTCATAGCACTTTTTTTGTTTTGTTTTTGAGACGGAGTCTCGCTCTGTTGCCCAGGCTGGAGTGCAGTGAGGCGATCTCAGCTCACTGCAACCTCCACCTCCTGGGTTCAAGCAATTCTCCTGCCTCAGTCTCCCAAGTGGCTGGGATTACAGGTGTGCGCCACCACACCCAGCTAATTTTTATGTGTGTGTGTGTGTGTGTTTGTGTATGTGTGTGTGTATATATATGTGTATGTGTGTGTATATAGATGTGTGTGTGTGTGTGTGTGTGTGTATATATATATATATATATATATATTTTTTTTTTTTTTTTAGTAGAGATGGGTTTTTGCCATGTTGGGCAGGCTGGTCTCCAACTCCTGACCTCAGGTGCTCCACTCATCTCAGCCTCCCAAAGTGCGGGATTACAGGTGCAAGCCACCATGCCTGGCCAAGTTCAAAACACTTTTGAGCAAAGCAGTTGATTCTAAGGGGTCCAATACCTAAAACAGATATTTGATATTGTTACATTTGAGGCCCTGAGTTATAGAATAGTGAAGCTCTAGAAATAAAATTTTCTGTTAAACTTATTTTTTATATTGCCAAGGAATTCTTTGCTTCTGTTATCATTACAGCATATTTTAAATATTGTATCAGCATATTTTATCATATTAATACCCAACTGTAATCTTTCTTAATTAGCTTGCACTAAATGATTTATAAAATGATTGAAAACACTTGTGTGCTTTTGACTAAATGTGTTTTATTGTCTGTTATTTTCTCAACCTAGAATTTTAAGTCTATTGAAAAATACTTAAATTTCAATGCAGTTATGTTGACTGAATGTTTTATTTTCCTTTTTAAATCAATCTTAATATATTTTGTAGTTTCTTTTAAGTGAGGTGTGCTGGAGCATTTCCCAGATACAATTATGAATTTTTTAAAATGACAGATGTTTATTCAAATGTAAATCTCATCAAATAGTAAAGATTTTTATCTTCTATTTTAATAATATCAATTACTTCTGATGGTTTGACATAGTTTGAGTAGAGAAACAGTCTGATTCAATTGAAACACATAAAATATGCTTGATATAATTTCCTACATAATTATAAATGAACTTCTGAAGTCTGAGTTACCTCATTTAGTATTTGGAATATCAGAAATTTTCACTTCAGAACATTAAAATTAGTGCCTTGTGTCTTTAGACTCTCCTCCTTAATTACCACAAGATCTTTTCTTTCAGGGTCTTATTAATATGAATTTGACTCTATGTAAAAATGTAGATGTAGAAATAATTTATTGCAGTTTCTCCTAATCAGTTAAAATTTTAGCATTCATTGTTGGGTACTTTTTGATTACTGTTCAGCCCTATCCCACTGATGTTGGGTTTGGCCATAGGATTTGCTTTGGTCAGTGGAATGAATGTTAGTGATGTGATATAAAGCCTTAAATATGCTTGCATGGTTTGGCTTCAGTTTTTTTCACTGGTCATTTGTTATGAGAAGAGCTTTCCCTGGGCAGCTGCTGCCCCTTCACCTTGGGTTCCAGAATTAACACAAGTGAATCGAACCTGAGCCCAACCTATAGCCTGAACCAAGCCACCCAACCAAACCCAGCCTAGATCAGTCAAACTGTAGTCAACATACAGACTTGTGAGCATGAAAATAAATGTTTGTTATTGTAAGTCACTAAATTTGGGGTGCTTTATTATGTAGGATTGTTGTCGCAATAGCTGACTGATATGACCATTACTATTTCAAAAAGCACATCTATATATTTTCATTAAGAAAAAGTAAAATTATAGATGGCTAACCTATCAGTTCTCTATTAATTGAAAAGTAGTAACACTTAAAACACGAATTATAAAACACCAATTATTTGAGAGTTTTTCTTGGCTAGTGGCCATTACAAATTTTATTGAATAAAATTCTTTTTTTTTTTTTTTTTTTAAACACGGTCTCTCTCTGTTGCCCAGGCTAGAGTGCAGGGGCACAATCTTGGCTCAAAGTAACCTCTGCTTCCCAGGTTCAAGCGATTCTCCTGCCTCAGCCTCCTGAGTAGGTGGGATTACAGGTGTGTGCCACCACACCTGGCTAATTTTTGTATTTTTAGTAGAGACAAGGTTTTCACCATGTTGGCCAGGCTGGTCTCAAACTCCTGACCTCAGGTGATCCACTCGCCTCAGCCTCCCACAGTGCTGGGATTATAGACATAAGCCACCACACCCCGCCAGAATAAAATTCTTGTAATGGAACTTGAGGAATAAGTTGTTGAGGTACTTATTATTAGTTTTAAAATAAACCTGGCTGGCACTACAAGTAATCACAAAATGAAATGACATAGGAACCATGGCTGGCATTTGTTAAGGGCCTGGCCACACAAGTGTTTGGCATTCTTCTCTTCTCCTCACAGCAAATCTGTCAAATCTGTCAGGCAGTCAACACATATTTATTGAGCCCTTACCATATGCCAGGTATTGCAAAGTATGTATTACCCTATTTTTGTTGCATGAAGAAACTGAGGCTCAGAAAAGTTAAATGACTAGTTTAAGCCTCACAGCTAGGAAAGGGCTTGAGTTTTAGGACTTGACCCAAGTCCATCTGACTCCAAAAATCATGCTATTATCATCACTGTGTTATTTGTGTTTGGGTGGAACTAGGAGAAAAATAGAATTACAGGCCAGGCGTGGTGGCTCATGCCTGTAGTCCTAGCACTTTGGGAGGCCGAGGCAAGTGGATCACTTGCGGCCAGAAGTTCAAGAGCAGTCTGGTCAACATAGCAAAACCCCGTCTCTACTAAAAATACAAAAATTAGCCAGTTGTGGTGGCACATGCCTGTAAACCCAGCTACTCAGGAGGCTGAGGCATGAGCATTGCTTCAACCCAGGAGGCGGAGGTTGCAGTGAGCCAAGATTGGGCCACTGCACACCAGCCTGGGTGACAGAGCGAGACTCTGTCTCAAAAAAAAAAAAAAAAAAAATTACAAACTGATTTACCTAACATTTGTTGGTGTGTTATCTCTAGTCATTTGCTACATAACCCAGAGGTCACCCAGAATCACTTTAGCATTCAGAAATCTACATATAAATTAGCTCAGACCCAAATTGCTGTTTTTTAGCATGTGAAAGTCTGAAGCTGTCCGTACAATTTCTACTAATTCCCCGGCCTTACAGTCATGTGGTCCCCTTCATATGTCCTTGGAGGCCACCTTGATTTGCCATGTCAGTCTGAGTGTAAAGCTCAACCCTTTCCAGTTTCTACCAGACATACCTTCACCAAGCATTTTCTGAGTTTTGGTGAGGACCTCCATGCAAAACACGAGATCTCCACCATTCTTTCCCTCTCAACGTTGCCCCTTGATTGCAACACCATGCCCCTTTTCATATTCTTTACTCTCTGTTTTGCAGATTAGCTTTTCCCTTCTATTGAAGCCTTGATAGCCCAGATACCCAACAACTTTGGAGTCATGCCTCTACCCTCAAGCTGGAGTGTCAGTGAGTGCCTTCTTTGACTCTGTCTCATTACAAAGCAAAAATAGTGAGATTCTCTTGGGAAACAGCATCAGTTGGAATTAGTCTCATCAGTCAGACAGCCCCCATTTAGCTCAATTTTAATTTTTAAAATGGAATTTCATTGAATTTTCAACATTGACAATTTTGTTCAACTAACCTTAAATGGTGAGAACCGAAAGCATCTAATATAAGAGCTACTCTTTTCTTCTTAGATTAGAAATAAGATACTTTACATAACTAAGAAAAAGTCTATCTTTAGAATTTTAGTTACTTCCTACCTCTTTCCAAAAATGTGACTTATAAAAACTACAGAATAAATCTGGATATAAGCTTTTTCTGTAGTTTTTCCCAGACCACTTTTCCTATTAGCTATTCAGAGTGAATTTTAGGAGCTTGAAAACTTGATATGTTTATGAGCCCAGAATTTAGACACTGCTATAAATTTAAATTGTCTGAAGCACTTGATTCTACAACACTGTGTTGGAAATGGTTGAAGAACTGATTTCCACTTCTGGATAAGCCAAACTACTCTCTTATCTTGCAAATTTGCCACTAAAATCTTAATTCCTGTCAGAATTATTTTCAGTGGGAGAAATCTGAGTACAAATTGACCAAAAGAACTTTAGTTCTCACTCATTTCTAATATAATTTTAATTAGTTCATCTTTAATTTAGGAAATAATTTTTCTAGCAACTTGGCAGACATTGGTTTCTTGCCAGATACTACCTTATCTTGAGCTTGTGGGAAACTCATCTTTAATATTCCATGAGTATAGTAAAACTGTGTTTTTAACGTAACAAATATTGTTTTATTTATTAAATAAAACATTTATTTGGGGGTATATTCTTACCTAATTAAAGAGAATGAGTAAAAGATGAGGCAGACCCTGAATGTGAGATGCGTTTGAAAATGGGGTGTCTCAAGATTCTGTACCGGGACATTGGGGTTAGGCTTCTAAATACTGTTAGTCCAGTCTTATTACTAAGATTGCATAAAGAGCATTTTATTTTTGTGTGACCTAGATCAAATTATTTTGATGTAGGATTTTTCTTCTCAGTCACTTTCCAAGTCCCCAGCCAGCAATGCCCCACCCAGGCCTCATTCAGCCACACTGGCATGCCCCAGTTTTCCTGTGGTATAGCTTGTACCTGTGTTCAGCAGTTCCCGAACTCTTGTCCTGCACCCAAGAAGAATGAGGATGTGCTAAACATTGAAGGGTGAGGAAGGTGGAGAAGAATTTTATAGAGCTATGAAACAGTTTTCAGCAGAGAAAGGATGCGGGGGTTGTCCCCCTACCCAAAGGTGGGAATGTCCCCTGTGCAGCCAGGCATGGGGCCTTCTATGGACTCAGAATGGGGAGTGCGTGCTGATTGGTTTGTGTGTATGCAAAAAAGGTTAAAGCAAAGACACCACTCAAAGGTGGGCATGACAGTGTAGAAAACCAATTAGAAAAGGGTAGGTATATGTAAAATAGGTGAAGGGTGGGGATCAATCAAAGGAAAGCATGCCAAACAGGAAGACAAGTTCTTAATCCAGTCTGAGGATTTAACTTGTAGCTTGGCTTTCAGGCTTTAAACTTTCTTCGCCTTGGAGGTGGGGTTTCACCGGGTACCAGCCCGTCTGCCTAGGCATTTGGCTGCCTCCTTTCTGTATCAATTTGACCTTCCTAAACTTCTTATTCGTTATCTTTTAAATAAGTATTATGTCTGCCCTCCCTACCTTAAAACGTTGTAAGGTTTAGATGAAAGAAATATACATGAAAGTACTTTGTAACGTACAGTACCTACAGACATTAGTGATTATGTTTGTGGGGCAAAAAAAGTAGGCAGGATGGAAGAAAGGAAAGCAAGGTTGCTCTTAAATTCATTCCAGCAGTATGGCTGGAAATGAATAATCTTCAAATCCTGAGCAGTTGCAAGATAAGGAAAGGATTACCATTCTGGGGGCACAGCAATGACAGGGCCCTTTAACTGGCCACAGTGATTGCCAGTTCCAACCATTTCAGGTAATATTGTCTACAGTGTGCTGAGTGCCATGTTAGTTACTAGGGATACACACCATGACAAGAAACAGTCCTTCGCCCTCAAGAAATTCTCTATCTGGCTGTGGACAACACGGCTGTGTGTCTCTAGCAGGGGTGAGCCAGGATATGGCAGGCTGGGTGGAGCATGGTTGGAGCAGAAAAGGAGCTGGTTATTGTGACAGGGTCTGGCATGTTTTTTCCATCATTAAATGGAGTGATTTAAAAATAATACACCATATTTATATTTTTAAGTCACAGAGAAAAACAAGGGTGTTTTAAAATTTGGTTAATTACAAAATCCTGTAATAACACTTTTTTTTTCTTTTAATACATGGGGAGTGACAGCATCAGCATGATCTTCTTTACAGTTTTGTCATGTTTTAGGATTTTACTATGCTCATTTTAAGTTTCAGGGACATTATTGTCACGATGAAGTTCTACTCTGTTGCTTGTTGGTGTTCTAGTGGTGCAACACTAACTCTTTGGATGTCATTTTTAACTTCGTCTTTTGTATTCAAAAGTTGAATTGCTAGTGATCTTTATTTTGGTAGTTTTTAAAGGAAATAAGTGTATAATATATTATCCATACTAAATGAGAGGACCCACTGACAAGGATTACTTCCAATTAATGGTAATCATTTTGGGGTCTGGAATACCTTAAGTATTTTTTTTTTACTTGTTTCTTAGACAAATAATAAAATAAGCTTTTACTTTCTGAATATACAACAACAGGGATGGAGTGAGGGGAGACATTCCAGAAGATGCCAATAGTATAAGTTGCTAACCTAGGATTAATAACTCATTGCAGAAAATTCAGGAGATGACGGTCTAGTCTGGTACTGAATTAAATTATCTACGGTATTTAATGTTTTACTCTAGTAGATTTGCTGGTTTGGTGTCTACCTTAACTTAAATATTTAGAGAAAAATATGGAAAAGTTTGTGAGAAAATGAAGTCTTGTATAAACATCCTTGTCCTAATTGTTCACCTTTACTGCAGAAATCCCAGACTGGCACCAGTGTGGCCGAAGTTCACACTGTGTTACTATAAATTTACATGATGTAGTGGATGTCTTAAGAGGTGGAGGCAATCCCATATTCAAAATTGAAAACAAAAAAAATATTTAAATACCCAAGTGAGTAAAAATGGACTCTCCTGGATAAGTCTGGACCATCTTTCAAAGATATTGAGCGTCTGGAATTTTTATGTGCATTTCGAGGCTGCAGTTTCCTCTGACAGACAATCCATTGTTATTACTGGCTGTAGGCAGTCCTGAAAGGGCAGAGTCAGGAAAGACAAAGAATTTACAGTACAGAACTTTCAATAATGTGTTGATGTCAGGAAAAGAGTTGAGCCATTTCTGATAAGAAAGAAGTGTTAATGTTAAGCAGCTGTAAATGTACTTTCTGTGATCTACTCCTGCAAAGTAACAGCAGGGTATTTCTTAGGCTTGGGTCACAGGATGAATTTGAGTAATCAATCCTTAAGTGAAAGCAAAGAGAGAATACTGGAAGATGTGACAGAGGTCAGCCCTGGGAATGGAACATGTAGTCTTTTCCAATTTGATGTTCTTGTCCCAGGTTTAGATTTGGCAGCAGCTACCTCCCTCCTTTAAGTCCTCACCACCATTCCCTTACAACAAATCAACATTTATCAGTAACTGTGAAAGCACAGTATCAAAATTATTTCTAAATTAGAGTTTGAGAAATGATTTTGAAATTTATATAGCATTCCTAGTACTCAGGCCAACTCTTCATAGCAACACACTCATTTTGATTCTTAAAGAAATGTGATATATTTTTTCCTAAATAGATTTAAAATTTTAATCAACACATTTGGCTTATATGATGAAAAACTGCCTGAGGCTATGGAATTGGGTAAGAACTTGTTATTTTGGTGAAGGTGCATATATTCTGAAGACGTATCTGCAAGCCATTGGGTACAAATACTGAATGTGAGTAAAATTTGGAAGTTGACTGCTTCAGGGTTCCAAATTGGGCCATCAATATTAGGATATATATAATTTTAAATCCAGTCTTAAACCTGTGTATGTTCAGAAAATCTTTTGTCAAAGAGTGAGTAATAAGTTTCTATTTTTCCAAAAGCAGTTTAACTAAGTATTAGGTGTTCAGGGACCAGATTCTTATTCGAGTCTTATTTTTAAGAGTTTGAAGTCAATAACTTATTTTCTTTGTCCCTCATCTCTTTTATTCCACTTATAAAGTATGCACACTGGGCTGAACAAAGTGGCTCTCGCCTGTATCCCAGCACTTTGGGAGGTCAATGTGGGCAGATCACGAGGTCAGGAGATCGAGACCATCCTGACCAACATGGTGAAAGCCCGTCTCTACTAAAATACAAAAAATTATCCGGTTCATGGTGGCGCGTGCCTGTAGTCCCAGCTACTTGGGAGGCTGAGGCAGAGGAATCGCTTGAACCTGGAAGGCCGAGACTGCGCCACTGCACTCCACCCTGGCAACAGAGCAAGACTCCATTTCAAAAAAAAAAAAAATATGCACACTAATTCTGGCTCTCCTGCTTTTGAAGGTATCACACATATAATACTCTTTGTGATAAAGCCTTAAATTATCAGAGTGGTAATACTTTAAGGCTTTATTAATCCAAAGTAAGTTGTGATATTTTAAGGCTTTATCAATCCAAAGTATTGTTACAGATATGAATAGTGGTACCTACATTGCATAGAATAGGAACTGAATCATGTAAATCAATGCTACATCATTTGAAGTCTTGCAGGAATGGACAAGACCAGTACTCAAAGCTAACAATATTTTGGCCTGATTTTACATAACTTTCAAATCATCTTCTCAGAAAGCTAAACCCCAGCTGCTCTTCAAGATAAGCCATGATGACAGAGTAGCTATAAAAGTAGTGTCTCATAGATAAAGAGAAGTATGAACAGGTTCAGGCTGGCTGAATAATAGCCCTTTTCTCTTTGAAAGGAAATGGAAGGAATGTAGCTGTATTTGCAGGTAATGAATTTCAATCCCTTATTACTTTCTTTGGGACACATTTACTACACACTGCATTAGGAAGGAGGAATTTACATTTAAGTATGGAAGTGGATCAGAAATTAGTAGATATATAAGATCAGGCAGATCTTTATCATTGAGCAAAGGTCTAAAGATAGTAGTGCAGTCTGTAATTCTGTAAGTGGATATATTGGAACCATAACAACAGCAACAGCTAACATTTATTAAGTGCTCATTATTTATTAGATACAGTATTATGTATCATCTGTTATTCATGTGTAAGGCAGGTAGTGTCTTTATTCCCATTTTGGAGATGAAGAAATCAAGGTATACAGTAGTTAAGAAACTTACTTAAGGTCATACGATCTGTGCTAGCTTTCAGATTCAGGGAACTTGACTTCAGAAACCATACTCTTAACCAGTATGCCAAACCACCTTCTATGAATTTGAAACCACCTCCCATGAATTGATGAATTCATAATTCATCAGTTGGTGTTAATGGAAGTGGTGGAATATAGCCCTGAGGCCAAGTTCTAAATTGTTTAGGAAGTGACCCAAATACTGAGATAATCATAACAAAAAAAGAGGAGAGAAAAGAAAAAAAAGGAAGGAAGGGAGGGAGGGAGAGAAAGAAAAAGTCCATTCCAACAGGCACTGGGTATTGGATATTATGGGAGTCTCCCATAAAGTATAAGGGGCCCATAACCAGGGGACTGAGACTTCACAGTAAGGAACCCAGCCAGTAGAAACTGGGATACAGGGCAAGGAAACTTTCCAGTAACAGTGGACTGGAATAAAATCAGAGCAAAATCAGAGATAAAATAATTCAAAGTAGAGGCAGCATTTCTTGACAAAAGATTTCTTATGTTATCTCCCCTACTGAGGGCTGAAGTTGGCCCCAGAGTGAGATGCATAGTTATAAGTCAGGGTTAATGTAATAGATTCAGCTCAGAGGCAAACAGAAGCAAGGGCACCGAGCCAGGTAGGCCATTACAAAATGGCCCAACTGGGTTAGAGTTCCAGGCAAGAGACTTATTTTCCTAACTTTACTAACATTATTTCTCCATTGTGGCAGCTCCCGCTTCTGTGGGACATGGCATCATGTAGCAGTGACATTAGATACCCAAAGACTGTGGAACAGGGAGATGAAGTTTCATAACATAATTACAAAATTTAACAGCACCCTTTCACATATTTTATGGCCCAATCTATGTTGTTATTCTTTTATTATTTTTTAAGAAATGTAGTATGTTATGTAATATACTGATTGCAGAGTTCACGAAGCCATTTGGGAGATTACTGGGAGGAATAATTTGATATGAAATTATTATTTAATTATATCACTTTCTTATTCTGTCTTATACTAACTTTTGCAGAATGTATATTATTTGGAGAGCCTTGTTTGATATCCTTAACAGACAGAGTAAACATTCAAGATAGTACTTTTAGGAGAGTAGTTTGAATAGTTTTCATTTGCTAATTCCATCCTCTTTTTTCTGTGAAAGAGAAAAACAAAAACATTTTATTTTGTTTTCTTTCATGTAGTGTTTATCCATTGCCTCCATATTTTATAACAGCACCAAAGACTAGTTTTTCTGTTCTGTTTAAAGCTCATAGTTTCTTAGAACTAGTTGTAAATACTGTTAAGAGTCCCCCAAACAGTTTTTTAAGAACCTAATTTAGTTTCATTTGTACTAAGAAGCTGTTTTCTAGATGACTAACATCATATAGTGTTGTTTCCATCAAAAATATTAGTCTGGCATTTGTCATGTTCTGTCCACTAAATAGCTTTGTTATTATTGAGGTCTAAGCTCTGATTTTTTATCTTATCCAAATTCCTACCTTAGGGGTCTAGGGAGTCATGTCCTACAAACCATAAATTCTCATGAGATGGGTTTTATTTGACCCTATATATTGTGACTTACTTTTCAGTCTGACTCTGGCATAACATTATGAGACAAGGAAAAAATATTTAACCCCAAAATATATTTCCTTGTTATACCTTGAAATTGCCCTGCAAAGTTTCTTGTGGGAAAAATCCACATTCTATAGAGAATCCCCTTCCCCTTTTGTTTTCCTTCCTTTCTTTCCAGATACAGGAGTTAATCAACTAAGAGGTAGGCACCCTTTTAAGTCCCAAAAGAAACAATTTACAACCCCCGCTCTCTCTGAAGTCTGCTATCTGAGAGCTTCCTCTGCACAATAAAAGTTGGTCTCCACAATCCTTTACCTTTTTTTTGTTTCGTTTTTTGTTTTTTTGAGACGGAGTTTTGCTCTTGTTGCCCAAGCTGGAGTCCAATGGCGTGATCTCGACTCACCACAGCCTCCGCCTCTTGGGTTCAAGCAATTCTCCTGCCTCAGCCGCCCGAGTAGCTGGGCGCCACCACACCCGGCTATGCGCCTGGCCACACCCGGCTAATTTTGTATTTTTAGTAGAGACGGGGTTTCTCCATGTTGGTCAGGCTGGTCTTGAACTTCCAACCTCAGGTGATTTGCCCACCTCGGCCTCCCAAAGTGCTGGGATTACAGGCATGAGCCACTGTGCCTGCCTCAATCCTTTATCTTTAACCTGAACATTCCTTTCTGTCGATCCAAGTCTTTAGACAAACTCCACCAATTGTCAACCAGAAGATGTTGGAATTTATTTAAAGCCTGGAAGCCCCGCTTTGAGTTGTCCCACCTTTCTAAATCAAACCAATGTATTTCTTTCTTTTCTTTTTTTTTTTTTTTTTTGAGTCAAAGTCTTGCTCTTGTCCCCCAGGCTGGAGTGCAATGGCACAATCTCGGCTCACTGCAACCTCTGCCTCCCGGATTCAAGCGATTCTCTTGCCTCAGCCTCCCGAGTAGCTGGGATTACAGGCGCCTGCCACCACGCCCAGCTAATTTTTGTATTTTTAGTAGAGACGGGGTTTCACCATGTTGACCAGGCTGGTCTTAAACTCCTGACCTCAGGTGATCTGCCTGCCTCGGCCTCCCAAAGTGCTGGGATTACAAATGTGGAGCCACCGCGCCCGGCCAAACCAATGTGTTTCTTAAATGTATTTGATTAATGTCTCATGCCTTCCTAAAATACATGACAACAAGCTGTACCCTGACCACCTTGGGCACACGTTCTCAGGACCTCCTGAGAGCTGTGTCACAGGCTGTGGTCACTCATATTTGGCTCAGAATAAATCTCTTAAAATATTTTACAGAGTTTGACTCTTTTCGTCAATATTATGAAATGTGTCTGAGATACATATACAAAAGAAAAATACTAAGATATAGCATGCATCCAAGAAATGCAGTATCTTTCTGTTAACATAAATTATCTAAATTCATATAATTCATGTGCATTTCTGAGTCTCATCTCACATCAGACAGGCAGCCTGAGATGAAGAATGAGCACGGGCTCAGGTTGGGACCTGGTAAAAGCAGGCATCACCATTTAAGGAGCAGAGACCTCTGCTAGGTTGTTTCACCTCTCTGAGTTTGTTTCCTCATGTATCAGTTGGGAATGATATCGAATTTGTATCATCCTTATGAAAAAACAAATATATATGAAGTTGCAAATATAGGTTTTCAACAAAAGTTAACAGCTATCACTCATTGGCATCTAGACTTTAAGATGATTCCACTCAAGAGAGCGACATAATTCTAAATAAGAAAATGCTTTTGATGTAAGAGTCCATTTCCTGCCTCTCGGGCACGCCACCACAGCCTGAGGCTCCATTAGCTGTTGCTATCTGCAGTTAGTGATTTAGCTTGGAGCATATCGGGCGCTGTACTAAGTGATCTACATATGTTATTTCATTTAATAACAGCAATCCTTTCAGGAAATTTTGGTTTCTGACTTTCTACCATGACTTTGACCTATGTACATTTTCTTTTAGACTATGTATTCTTTTGACTTTTGTCTGCCTTATTCTAGCCATTGCTTTGCACAAATTATGGCACTTTATGTCATCAAACCATATTAGTTAGGAGGCTGTGGGATGCAAATAACAGAGAACCAGACTTGATCTGTCAAAAAATAAAGGGAATTTTTTTCATATACACAACTGGATAATTCTTCACCGGGTTCTATCTCTGTGATTCTTTTCACTCTGTCTTCCTCCATGGCTCTGCTTGTTGTATCAGAAATGGCTGCAGCAGTTCCTGACATGACATCTTTGTACTACACTCTCCAGAGGAATGGAGAGTTGCTGTTTTCCCAGAAAGAAGCTCTTGGCTTCCTTCGACAGGACCAGTGTAGGTCTTGTGCTACCTCTGACACCATCACTTAGACCAGGGGCTTGGGGTCATTGACTGGCTTATCCCTGCTCTTCCCTGAGTCAATCAACGGACAAGAGGAATGGTGTTACATTGCTTAGTTTAGACCTACACCCGAGGTTGTGGTCCATGTCACCCAAATCGCATGGGCATCATGGAGCAGGAGGTGAAATGGGTACAGGAAGGCCGTCTTGCCCCCAGTGTCAAAGGAAATGGGTATTAGTCCATTTTCACACTGTTATAAAGAGCTGCTTGAGACTGGGTAATTTATAAATTAAAGAGGTTTAATTGACTCACAGTTCTGCATGGCTGGGGAGGCCTCAGGAAACGTACAATCATGGCAGAAGGCAAAGGGAAAGCAAGGCATGTCTTACATGGCGGCAAGAGAGGGAGAGCAAAGGGGGAAGTGCCACACTTTTAAACCATCAGATCTCATGAGAACTCATTTACTATCACAGGAACAGCAAGGGGGAAATCCGCCCCCAAGATGCAGTCACCTCCCACCAGGCCCCTCCCTTGACATATAGGGATTACAATTCGAGATGAGATTTGGGTGGGGACACACAGCCAAGCCCTATCAGAATGGTTACAACATTTCACTTTTAATTATGACATGTTGCTAGAGGGTTTCTTTTAAAATTTTTTTATCAGTTTAAGGAAGTCATCTTCACAATTAAGTTTTTTTTTTTAATCATGAATGGAAGTTGACTTTCATCAAATGTTTTTTCTAAATCTGTTGAGATGATCATGTGGATTTTTTTCTTTATTCTATTAATGTGATAAGTTACACTCATTTTTAAAAACAACTTTAGCTATAATGGCATATAATAAACTGCACATATTTAAAGTATATAGTTTGATAGCTTTTGACATATGTGTATACCTGTGAAACTATCACCATAATCAAAATAATGAACATATGTATCATTCCCTTCCAAACTTTTTTTTTTTTTTTTTTTGAGACAGGGTCTCACACTGTGGCCCAAGCTGGAGTGCAGTGGCTCACTGCAACCTCTACTTCCCTGGGCTCATGTGATTCTCCAGCTTTAGCCTCCTATGTAGCTGGGACTACAGGCATGAGCCACCACACCTGGCTAACCTGGCTAATTTTTGCATTTTTTGTAGAAATGGGGTTTCACCATTTCCTCAGGTTGGTCTTGAACTCCTGAGCTCAAAGTGATCTGCCCACCTTGGCCTCCCAAAGTGCTGGGATTACAGGTGTGAGCCAACATGCCTGGCCCCAAACATTTTCTTATCCCTCCTGTAATCCCTGTCTCCAGCCCCTTCCCTCCTACCCCTGCTCCACACCTGATCTACTTTCTGTCACTACAGATTAGTTGCATTACTAATTGAAGTTTTGAAGGTTAAATTAACTTTCCATTTCTGAAATAAACCAGTTTGATCATTATGTATTAGCTCTCTCTCTTACATTAAGGGAACTTCAAAAAGGTCACGGGAAAATGGAATTAAAAGATAAAAAGAAAAAATATAAACTTTATTTTTCAACATAAGCTCTGTCAAGTTTAAGACACTTTTATAAGTGACAATGTCAGCCATTTAGTCCATCCCTAAAGAACTGAGGGTCCTGGGATTTAACCATGTCAGTGCAGTCTTTTTCACATTAGTAACTGAAGAAAAGTGGGTGCCCTTTAATGATTTATTAAGATTAGGGAACAAAAAGAAGTCAGAAGGAGCCAAATCAGGTCTGTAGGTGGTTGCCTAATGATTTTCCCGTTGAAACTCTGGCAAAATTGTCCTTGTTTGATGATAGGAATAAGAGGAGTATTGTCATGGTGGAGAAGGACCCCCTGTTGAAGCTTTCCTGGGCATTTTTGTGCTAAGCTTTTGGCTTTCTCAAAACACTCTCATTGTAAACGGATTTTATCATTCTTTGGCTCTCCAGAAAGTCAACAAGCAAAATGCTTTGAGCATTCTCAAAAACTGTTGCCATGACCTTTGCTCATCACTAATCCACTTTTGCTTTGATGGGCCACCTCTACATCTTGGTAGCCATTGCTTTGATTGTGCTTTGTCTTCATGATCATACTGGTAAAGCCATGATTCATCTCTTTACAATTCTTTGAAGAAATGCTTTGGGATCTTGATCCCACTTGTTTGCAACATCCATTGAATGCTCTGCTTTTGTCTGCAGCTGATACGAAGTGCAATGGTTTTGGCACCTACCAAGTGGAAAATTTGCTCAACTTTAATTTTTCAGTCAGAATTGTGTAAGCTGAACCAATTGAGATGTCTGTGGTGTTGGCTGTTATTTTTTCGGTTAATCATTGGCCCTCTTCAATTAAGGCATGAACAAGATTAATTTTTTCCTTAAAAATTGATGCAGATGGTCTGCCCACTGTGGGCTTCATCTTCAACATTGTCTCATCCCTTCTTAAAATGAGTTATCCATTTGTACACTACTGATTTCTTTGGGGGATTGACCCCACAAAGTTTTTGTAAAGCATCAGGGTTTAGCCATTCTTCCACCCAAGCTTCACCATAAATTTAATGTTCTTGTTTCAATTTTAGCAGAATTCATGTTCCTCTGATGGGGCTCTTTTCAAACTGATGTCTTATCCTTCTTAGTGCCTCAAACTAGATCCTGTTCAGACATTTTATGACAAGTTAGCATAAGTTTATTCTGATGCAAAAAACCCCTGAAATCTATGCATAGGTTTTTCAAAATACACATTTTCCATAAACTTTTTGAAGACCCCTATTATTTCTGTATTTGTTTAACCAACATTTTGCTTCTATGTTTATAAATGAGATTGGGGTGTAAGTTTTCTTTCTAGTAATGCCCTTCTCATACTTTAGTATCAAGGTTATGCTAGCCTTGTAAGATGAGCTGAGGATGGGGAGAATGTTTCCTATTCTCTGTTTTATTCTCTGGAAGAATTTATATAAGACAGGTTTTTTTTTTTAATTAAGTTTTGGTTTGAATCAACCAGTGAAACCTCCTAGACTCACAAGTTTTTTTTGTTCTGTTTTGTTTTGTTTTGAGATGGAGTCTCGCTCTGTCACCCAGGCTGGAGTCCAGTGGCGCAATCTCGGCTCACTGCAAGCTCCGCCTCCCGGGTTCACACCATTCTCCTGCCTCAGCCTCCAGAGTAGCTGGGACTATAGGCGCCCACCACCATGCCTGGCTAAATTTTTTTGTATTTTTAGTAGAGGCAGGGTTTCACCATGTTAGCCAGGATGGTCTCGATCTCCTAACCTCGTGATCTGCCTGCCTTGGCCTCCCAAAGTACTGGGATTACAGGCGTGAGCCACCGCGCCTGGCCAACCTATAGGGTTTTTTTTGGAAAGCTTTAAGTTATTAATTCAATTTTAAAATAAATAAGGGGTTGTTCACAGTTTTCTTCTTGTGCTGTTAGTTTTTATAAAAGGTATGTTTTCTTGACTTTTTAATTGACTGTATGCACGTAATATGCATGCAGCATGAGCAATGAGAGTGAGACCCTGTCTCAAAACCAACCAACCAACAACAACAATAAAACTCTATAAGCTCTGTAGTGACGTTTCCTCTTTTATTTCTGATATTGGTTATTTAAGCTTGCTTTCTGTATTTCTTCATTATTCTCCATGGGGGTTTATAAATTTATTCATCATTTGAAAGAACCAACTTTTACCCTTATTGATCTTCTCTATTGTATTTTTGTTTTCTGTTTTACTTGTTGCTGTTATCTTTTTATTTCCTTCCTTATATTTTCTTTAGATTTCTGGAATTTTTTTTGTTTGTTTTTTGTTTTTTGAGACAGGGTCTCACCATGTTGCCCAGGCTGGTCTCCAACTCCTGGGCTCAAGTGATCCTCCTTCCTTGGCCTCCCAAAGTGCTGGGATTACTAAATAGGTGTGAGCCACTGTGCCCAGCCTATTTTATTTAGATTTAAGTTGTTCTTTTCATAACTTTTTATCAAGGATGTTTAGCTTATTGCTTTTCAGCTTTTCTTCTTCTCTAATATATGAATTTGGGGGCCATAAACTTTACTCGTAGAATAGTTTTAATGGTGCACCTCATAAATTTTAAAGAACATTTACTTCAAAATGGGCTCTAATTTCCACTGTGACTTTTTTCTTTGGCCTATGGGTTATTAGAAAGTATATTTCTTAATTTATAAGCATTGTGAATTTTCTAGGTAAATTTTTGTTATTGATTTCTAGTCTAATTTCTTTATGGTAAAATAATTTGTTTTGTATAAATTCAATTCTTTGGAATTTGTGGCAATTTGCTTTCACATATGATTTTGATAATGATCTATGCATATTTGAAGCCAATGTGTATATTCTGATGTTTCAAGGTAGAGTATTGTATTTGTGACTATTAGGTCAAATACGTAAAAAGTATTGTTCAAATTTTACATATCGTTATAAATTATCTGATATACCTGAGAGAGGTATGTTCAGATTTCTCACTATGATTTTTAAATTTCTCTGTTTTGTCAATGTTGTTTAATATATAATTTTGAGCTATGTTACTAGGTGAATTAAAATGTAGAAGTATTATCTCTTAATAGAGAAGTTAAAGTTTTATCATTTTGAAATGCAGTTGTCCCTCCATATCCATAGGTTCCATATCTGTGGATTCAATTGGGGATCAAAAATATTTGGGAAAAAATTGCATCTGTACTGAACACATACAGACTTTTTGTCTTGTCATTATTCCCTAAACAATACAGTATGACAACTATTTATATAGCATGTATATTGTATTAGGTATTATAAGTAATCTAGAGATGATTTAAAACACATGGGAATACATTATATGCAAATACTATTCTGTCTTATGTCAGGGACTTGACTATCCATGGATTTTGGTATCCATAGGAGGTCTTGGAATCAATCCCACATGGATACCTGAAGGCCTTCTTTGTCTGATATAAATATAGCTTATATGCTATTGGCACATGTTTTCATTTTATATATACTTAAAATCTCCTAATGTATTATTATAACTATTGCTATATTTGGTTAAAAATTTAGGTTTATCCACGTTTGCCCTTTTCATTGTTCTTTATGCCTTCCTGCATCTTTGAGCTTCCATCTGGGAGCGGAATACACCCTTCAGTGTTGTCTTTAGGTTAGACTATCGATACAAATTCTCTACATGAAGTGAAAAATGTTTTTTTTCTCTACTTCATTATTGAGGAGTAATTTTACTGGTAGAGAATTTTAGGTTTATAGCTATATTCCTTCGGCACTTTGAAGATAATTCCATTTTATTCTGGCTTCTCTTGATTCTTTCAAGAAGTCAGCTGTCAGTCTGATACTTGCACCTTTGATGTTAATCTGTCTTTTCTCTCAGGTTTCTTTTAATATGTCTTCTATAACTTTTATTTTTAGCATTTTTTACTATGTTGTGCTTTTCTTTTTCCTTATCTTGGTTTAAGTTTGGAGATCTACTTGAATCTGTGCTTTTGGCCAATTTTTGCAAAGTCTCAGTCATTATCTTCTTGAATATGCCTCTTTCCCATTCTCTCTTCCCTCTCTTCTGGATACCTTCTATCTATCTAACTTTCTGGACATGCATGAATGGGCCCCGGCAACCTATCTGACCCCATCCCCTGCCGTACTCTCGTTACTCGCTTGTCTCTATCTTGCTGTTTTTCTAACATGCCAAGCATGCTTCTTACTCCTAGATTTTTAAAAATATTGCTTCCTTAGCCTGGAACACTGTTTTCAAGATATGTCTAAGACTCATTCCCTTACATGATTCAGGTCTCTGCTCAAATGTGGCCTTATCAGAGAGGCTTTCTCTGACATTTATTCAAAATTATCATCCAGACCTCTCCTCTCCCATATTGTTCTCTAACTCTTTACCTGGTTTTATGCTTCTTCATAGCACTTACTACAATATGACACATTATATATCCAATATTTATTTGCTTATTCTTTGTCTCTCTCCATTTGAATAGAAATTCTGAAGTTCTGTAAGAGGAGAGAGCTTTTTCCCACCCCCTCCTCACAGTTGTATCCCATCCCCTGGAATAGTGCCTGGATTAGAGTAAATGTTCAATAAATATTTGTAGGAGAATGAATGAATGATTAATAGATAGAAGATATAGGAAGAGTTCTCTACAGGAAGTAAAGAAAGTGGAGAAGGCAGAATAACAAACTAAGTAAGTCTTTTAATTTGTATGGTCTATATTTTAATCTTTCGAATGTAAAGATAGTATCATTGATCATATTTCTGTTCATCAATGTTACCTAAAATAGCAAAATGAAATATTAATATGTTTGAAGATATAGCTTTCATTAGTTTAAATTAACTATCTCATTTAGTTTAGGCATATGGTCCACAAATTTTTAAGAACATTTAATTTTAATTTAAAAAATTAAGCCTACCAAATAAGATGCATTATTTTCCAGTGACTTAATATGTATATTCAAGACTTTTTCAATTTTTTATAGTATAAAATTATTGTGATTGCACATGAAAATTTATTATTTAAGCAAAATATTATGAGTGCTTATAAGTACAAAGGCTAAAACTGATATCCCTACCAACCACAAAAAAATAGGCCAGGCAGCTGGGTACTGCCTAGCCTATTTTTTTGTGGTTGGCAGAGATATCTCTTTATTGTGTAGATATTTAAGGACTCATATAGACCCATCATTTTTTATGGGCAAAAATCCCAACTCTGGTCTTCTAAATGTCTTTTGTAAATTTATTTCCCTAAATAAATCATAAATCCACTTATAATACCTAGACCCACACAATGTGTATTCGTCATAGCTGCTCAAAAGGAATCCACAGTGTAGGTCAGAGCTACTTGATGAGAGAAAGTCTTGACTCTGCTAATAATGTTTTTACCTCACTGGCACCCACAGTATTTTGCCAGATTGCCTGAAGTCAGCATGCCTTCCTGATGGTCATGGACTGTTCTGCTTTTCCAGGAATGTCTCAAAGGGATCCTGCCTGAAAGGAAAGAGGCCATACTGTGATATTTCACTGCTTATAAAGAGACCAAGAATGGCCTCTGTCTTGTTCTTTTAGCTAGCTTCAAACAAACTTAGCCAGCTTAAAAACAGAAATGGAACTGATGAAGTCATCAACCTAGAGCCTCCCGCTACTGCCCATGTATTTTGTAGTCTAGAATGAAGCTAATAATCTCAAGAACTGCTTCCTAGAAAGGTTAAGGAGAAAAGCATGCCCCATCCCACTTCTCCTCCCATTTCCCACTCTTGAAATAGCATTGTTAGCATCTGATGTGAGCCAGAGGAGTATTTGAGGCTGTGCCATATGTCCTTGTTAGAAACACTGAGCTTATAATGACTAAGAAACTCCAGGGGGTTGTCTAAACCACCAAGGTTATAAAGGGCACAGCATCATCACAGCTGAACTAAAATTTAATATGATTCTTACTTTACCACCCATGGTGACCTAAGAAGGTGGTAAGGGGGACAAACTCTAAATAGAGGGCTCAGTTGTGGCTCACCAAGAAGCTAAATATGCTGTTTTCATGGTAGAATAGGGAAGAAGAAACTGGTAAATATTTCCAAATGTCATGTGTTTACATATGAATCTATTCACTTCTTTATTTTTAAAATTCTTCTGAGAAGTACTTTAGAAGTAATCCCTAAATTTAAAGTATTTATAACAAAAATTTTACATATTCTCACCAGTTTAGAGCATTACCCAGAAGGAATTGTGACTCCATGGTCCAGGGGATTAGAGTTAGTCATTAGGGGTGGGAATTTCTTCTCAGAACGAAGTTAGAGCTCTGTAACCATCTTATGTGACCAAGTAGATGTTTGAGAAAGATCTGGAATTAACGTAATGAAGGTGAGTAGCACTGAGAATGCCCATAGAGTCTGTAGCTTAGATGGGGGTGGGTGTCACCATGATCTTAGTGTTGCACTTTTTGGAAACTAGGTTTAGGTGAGGAATGAAGTCACAATCCCCTAAGAAGGGAATAATGAATAAACTAGTTATATCAGCTTATTACTTTAGAGTAGAAAACAGACCTCATGCAGGAATCATTCTGCATATGTGGTGAAGCCTTCTTGGTGAGCAGACAAACAAAAAAGAAAATTCACTTTTTCTAAAAAAATAGCACATCAGACCTTTGTAGCCTGGAGAACTCATTCTTCTCTACTTTAGAGGTGTTTCTTTTTCTAATAACTGGGAAGGGCTGTCTCTAACCGGAGCTCCTGTACCACCCCTAAAGATATCAATAATTTCTCATTCTCCAACTTTTAGTTTTCCCATTTTTATTGGTCCTCAAAACTTTGTCTTTGCGGCACTCCCTGCCTCATCATACTTGTGACAAGTTGAATTCCTAAGACTCAGGCTCGTATTACAAAGGATGCAATTTAGATGAGCAACTCCCTGGTGAGATGAGTGGCTCTCTGGCAAACGGGGTGGGGAACATAGAGAACTAAGAGTCAGGAAACTTGGGGCCTATATCTAGGGCATCTGTTACCTAACATTCTGACCCAGACTATGTTTTCCTTGCTTCAGTGGCTTAGGCTGCAAAATAAGGTCCCTTTCACCTTTGACACATAATCCAGATCTTGTACTTTACTTTAGTAATTTTAGAAAGAAGACATTTAGGCCGAGGAGATGAATGTCTGTTCTCATTGAGGTAATGAGGTTTTCTACCACTTTATTTTTCTTGGTAAAGTCTTTGCTTATAATCTGGCAGCCTTTATTTGTATTCCTTTTTCTTCCTTTGGCTGGCTGGAGAGCAAGTGCCATTGACATGGCCCAAAGAGTATCATCTTTTCAGCCTTGGAGCAAGGAGTCTCAGAGTAGAGCACCCCCACTCCCTCCCCAAATGCCTGTGAATGACAAGGCAGGAAAAACATTTTTTAATTAAGTCAATTCAGTTGTTACAAGTTGAATTAATCTCTAATTTAGGGATATCATGGGAAACTATTTATAATATATGCCAGCTGACCCTTATCCAAATTTCCATGGAAATAGCAATGTTATAACACAGGGTGTTCTTGGACTGCTCTAAAAATTCCAGCTGGTTTAAGTATGATATTGAACCGAAAAATGAAGCCTTCTACTAACAAATGTGTTGAAGTATGCACTCAGGTGCTCAGGAGGTATAGGCTTAGCTTGAAAAAATTCAAGGCATGATACCCTGGGCTTTCCCTCAAACCTCTTTAATTAAGACCTCTGATATTGTTGTGTTGTTTCTATCTGAAGTCAAATGGGAATTGCAGAAAGTTTTGCAGTTTTTTTTTTCTCCTCCATGAGGTAGAGATTCGTCTATGCCAGGAGAAGTGAAGATAGTCACGTCTTTCTCTTGAATGATGTAATAAAGTTTTGCAAGGGATAAACCATGTTTCACTTGTATCAGATTTATTTATCAAATGTGTTGCCATTAAGAGTATGAAAATATTTCAGCTGAGGCCAGGCGCAGTGGCTCACGCCTGTAATCCCAGCACTTTGGGAGGCCAAGGCAGGTGGATCACCTGAGGTCAGGAGTTCAGGACCAGCCTGGCCAACGTGGTGAAACCCTGCCTCTACTAAAAATACAAAAATTAGCTGGGCGTGGTGGCAGGCACCTATAATCCCATCTACTCCAGAGGCTAAGGCAGGGAGAATTACTTGAACCCAGGAGGCAGAGGTTGCAGTGAGCCAAGATCACGCCATTGCACTCCAGCCTAGGTGACACAGCAAGACACTGTATCAAAAAAGAAAAAAATTCAGCTGAAATAATAGCATATGGGAGAAATTAGCCATGTATTTATAATACGCGTAGTAAAAGTGCAGACGCTATGACTATATTGCATGCTTGGTGAAAGTAATGGCAGGTTTGCTATGTTCAAAACATTTGAATTAATCTGTTCAAACCATGCACAGCATTACAGAATTGACATTCCAGCACAGTGACTGCAGTCTGCAGCAGTTGCAGTTTTGTCATCTATACAACGTCAAACAAGATGCAAACCACCAGGCTTGGTAGATAGAATACCCTTTGAGAATTAAGTAATCCTGAGATGACTTTGCTCATCATTGATGTCCTGTGACGTCAACTGAAGGCTTGTCTTGCCCATTTCACCTTGTCATTGTGGTTATTGGTTTTCTCCATTAAAATGGAAAATTGGATTATATTTAGCAGAATGAACATATATTTGATGCTTTAGGTAAAATATATACAGTCATATGCCACATAATGACTTGATGTTTTAGGTAAAATATATACAGTCATATGCCACATAATTCAACATTTTGATCAACGATGAACTGCATATATAACAGTGGTCCCACAAGATTAAAATTAATATTTTTACTATACCTTTTTTATGTTTAGATACACAAATGTCATTGTGTTACAGTTGCCTACACTATTCAGTAACATGGCATACTATACACTCCATTGCACTCCATGTGCGCCATTGCACTCCAGTCTAGGCGACAGCCTAGGTTTGTAGCCTAGGAGCAAATAGGTTATACCACATATCCTAGGTGGGTAGTAAGCTATACCATCTAGATTCATGTAAGCACAGTCTATGATGTTCACACAACAGTGTAATCACCTAACGATGCATTTCTCAGAATGTATCCCAGTCATTAAATGATGCATGACCGTATGTATTATCTGAAGTTAGCACCCTTTAGCAAACTCCTGAATCATTAATTTGCAACCCTTTGGTTACATCTTTTTTCTTACCATTATAAGAATTTGCTTAATATGAATTTGTGGATTAAAGTGATTTAAAGTGCTCTCTATATCAGGGAGATTAGCCCTTTGTCTGTGATATGAGATGACAATATTTTTTCCCAAGTTTGACATTTTTCGTTTGAAAAATTTTTTTTGTCATGTAGATTGAAAATTTTTTTCCAGTACAATAACGCGTTTAACACTGGGGATACATTCTGAGAAATGCATCATTAGGCAATTTCTTTGTTGTGCAAATATTGTAGGGTAGACTTACACAAACCTAGATGGTAGAGCCTACTACACACCTAGGATGTGTGGTATAGCCTATTGCTCCTATTTTACAGACCTATATGGCACGTTATTGTACTTAATACTGTAAGCAATGGCAACACAATGGTAAGTATTTGTGTACCTAAACATAGAAAAGGCACAGTGAAAATATGGTATTATAATCCTATGGGACCATTGTCATACATAGTCCATCTTATTTATTTATTTATTTGTTCATTCATTCATTTATTTTTTGAGATGGAGTCTCGCTCTGTCGCCCAGGCTGGAGTGTAGTGGCGCAATCTCAGCTCATTGCGGCCTCTGCCTCCCAGGTTCAAGTGATTCTCCTGCCTCAGCCTCCTGAGTAATCCCCACAATCTCAGCTCACTGCAACCTCTGCCTCCCTGGTTCAAGCGATTCTCCTGCCTTAGCTTCCCAAGTACCTGGGATTACAGATGCATGCCACCACGGCTGGTTAATTTTTGTATCTTTTTTTTAGTAGAGATGGGGTTTTACCATGTTGGCCAGGCTTGTCTCGAACTCCTGGCCTCAAGTGATCTGCCTGCCTTGGCCTTCCAAAGTGCTGGAATTACTGGCAGGCCCATAGTCCATCACTGATGGAAACACTGTTATGCTGTGTGTGTGACTATAGTTGTTGCTGTTTTTTTTTTTTAATCCACAGCTGACCTGAAAGTCTTTTATGTCTCCAGATTTTAACAGAAAGCCTTCCCCACTCTGAGTTAGTAGAGATAGTTTCCTTTGTTTTCTTCTAGTATTTTAATTATTTCATTTTTAAAATTTAAATCTTTACTCCTTTAGAATTTACCTGGTATATAGTATGAGGCATGAATTCAACTTAATTTTATTAAAAACACCTCTCCAGTTTTCTCAAGACAATTGGAGTTGTTCGTCTTTTCCTCACTGATTTAACTTATGTATTTATGTATTTATTTATTTATTTAGAGATGGGGCCTCACTCTGTCACCCAGGCTGGAGTGCAGTGGTGCAATCTCAGTTCACTGCAACCTCCGCCTCCTGGGTTCAAGCAATTCTTGCGCCTTAGCCTCCCCAGTAGCTGGGCTTACAGGTGTGCACCACCACACCCGGCTAATTTTTATATTTTTAGTAGAGATGGAGTTTCACCATGTTGGCCAGGCTTGTCTCGAACTCCTGACCTCAAGTGATCTGCCTGCCTCAGCCTCCCAAAGTGCTGGGATTACAGCACTCCCAAAGTGCTGGGATTACAGTGGCATGAGCCACTGTGCCTGGCTTAGATACCCTGTGTATCATACACCAAATTCTGTATGCATTGAGATCTATTTCTGAATTTCCTGTTCTGTTTTCTTGATTTGTCTATTCCTGTGTCAGGAATACACCTTCAACTATTGTAGCTTTATATTATTTTATAATAAATGCTAGGAATTGTCCCCCTCATTTTATTCTCTTTTAGAGATTTCTTTGAAATCCTTGTTTTATTTTTTTCTGTATAATTTTCATTTTTGAATTGACACATAATAATTGTACATATTAATGGAGTACATAGTGATGTTTCAATATATACAATGCTTAGTGATCAGATCAGGATAATCAGCATATCCATAATCTCAAACATTTATAATTTCTTTGTATTGGAAAAATTCAATACCCTCTCTTCTAGCTATTTGAAAATATGTAATATTGTTAACTATAGTCACCCTATAGTGCTATAAAACAGAACTTATTCTTCCTGTACAGCTGTAATTTTGTGTCCTTTAACGTATCTCACCATCTTCCCCTTCCCCCATCTCCCTATCCTCTAGTAACTTCTTTTCTACTTTTTACTTCTAAGAGATTGGCTTTTTTTTTAGCTCGTGCATATGAATGAGAATATGAGGTGTTTAACTTTCTGTTCCTGGCTATTTTCACTTAACATAATGTTCTTCAGTCCCATCCATGTTGCAGGAATCACAGGATTTCATTCTTTTTTATGGCTGAATTGTGTTCCATTGGGTATATATACCACATTTCCTTGATTCATTTATCTATTGTTGGACATTTAAGTTGATTCCTTATCTTAGCTACTTTGAATGGTGCAGCAATAAACATGGGGGTGCAGATACCTCTTCAATGTACTGATTTCCTTTCCTTTGGATAAATGCTGAGTAGTGGGATTGTTGGTTCATATGGCAGTTCCATTTGCAGTTTTTTGAGGAATATTGTTCTCCATAGTGGTTTTGTTGGTTTACATTCCCACCAACAGTGTGTAAGTGTTTCCTTTTCTCTGCATCGTTGTTTTTTGTCTTTTTGATAATAGCTATCCTAACTGGGGTAAGATGATATCTCACTGTGGTTTTGATTGGCATTTCCTTCATGACTAGTGATGTTGAGCTTTTTTTTCCATGTATTTTTTTGGATAAATGTATGTCTCTTTTGAGAAATGTCTATTCAGATCATTTGCCCATTTTTTAATCAGATTTTTTTTTTTTTGCTGTTGCGATGTTTGATTTCCTTGTATATTCTGGATATTAATCCCCTAGTGGATGAATAGTTTGCACATATTTTCTCCATTCTACAGGTTGCCTTTTCACTCTGTTGTTTCTTTTGATGTGCGGAAGCTTTTCAGTTGGATATAATCTGTTCATTTTTGCTTTTGTTGCCTGTGCTTTTGAGGTCTTATTCATAAAATCTTGCCCCAGACCAATGTCCTGGAACTTTTCTCCTATGTTTTTCTCTAGGAGTTTTATAGTTTTAGGTATTACATTTAGGTCTTTAATCCACTTGAAGTTGATTTTTATGTAGAGTGAGAGATGGAGGTCTAGTTTCATTCTTCTGCATGTGGCTATTTAGTTTTCCCAGCACCATTTATTGAAAAGATTGTTCTTTCCCCCAATTAACGTTCTTGGCATCTTTGTCAAAAATGGGTTGCCTGTAGATAAATGGATTAATTTCTGGGTTCTCTATTCTGTTCTACTGATCTGTGTGTTATTTTTTAATGTATACTTTAGAATTTGTTTGTCTCATTCTCCCCCGACCCCTACCCTTCTCCAATTTTTGGCCTTGTTACTGTAGTTATAATTAATTGCTAAATTAGCTTAGGGAGAACAACTTTATGAGGTTGAGTCTTCCTATCTAACTAACTTGGTATGTCTTCCCCTTTGTACAAGTCTTTGTGTCTTCAGGAATGCCTTAAAATTTTATTAGTAAATATGGCACATTTCTAAAGCTTTTTCTTAAGTATTTCATCTTTTTCTGTTGCTATTGTAGATAGTCTTCCCCCATTTCATCTTCCAACTTTCTGTGTTTGTAATCTAAAATCTATTGATATAATAATTCTCTATCGTGCTGCCTAAGTTTTCTTGTTTACTTTTTCAATTGAATGTCATAGGGTTTTCTATATTCATCAGAAATTGTAGTAGTTTTATTATGTTCTCTAAATTTTTATACCTCTAGTTTCTTTCTCTTAGTAATTGTATTGTCTAATATCTAATATCTAGGATGTTAAGTAATGGTGGTGACAAATGAGCATCCTTCTTTGTTCCTGAATTGAGTGGGAATACCTCTAGTGTTGTCCTGCTAGGCATAATAGTTACTTTGGGATCAAGGTATATTTTATCAAGTTAAGAAGGTATCCACTTATTTCTACCATTGATTTCAACATATTTCTAAATCATAGTAAAGCCCCAGGGCTATGTACCTGCACCATGATAGGATAAAAGCTCTAAAAGGAAAGACACTTAAGACCCTCTAGTCTACCTTCCTCCCATCATGAGTATTAAATTCCAAGCACAGGAAGGTTGTAACTATTCCCTGCCCCAAAGTCCTAAAATTAGATTAGAAGACAATTTGGAACACTGTCTCTTAGGTCTTATAGCAGCGTTTTTTGGGGTATGTTAGGCTAACACTATTTCTCTATAACATTATTTCTCTTCCTTTGTGCTCTCTCCTTGAGATTTTTCCATTTTATCCTTCTCTTCTCATCTCACTTCTGGGACTTCACGTGTATTGCTTGGCTGTGCATTCTTCCTCCAGCCTGCCATTGCTGACAAGCCAAGTTTATCTTAGGAGAGTTCTAGACAGTGACATAATCCCTTCCCCACCCAAAAAGACTCTTTGCTATTTGCTCTTCCTGGACAAAGTACATTGTCTTCCAAATGCTGTTGGTTACATCTGGAATTAAAGCAGAAAGCTCATTGGAGCTGCTGAACACCTCAAAATATACTTCAGTTTTTACAGTGCCTTTAGCAAGGTGATTTTAGCCAACAGTGAAAGTATCATAGGCACTACTGTATCTTATATTCATTTGTAGGTGGTATTCAGATTTCAAAAGAAATTGTCATAATATTTATTATATTTAAATGGAAAACATAAACAATTACATATTAGTGCTATACTTCTGATTTTAGATTCACCTGTGTCATAACTTTAACATCAAAATTAGTAAATGTTTCATATGCTAAGAAAACTTATATGCAAATGGAAAAAATCTAAGCCAATTATTATTTTCATAATGTTCTACTGTGAAACAAAAGATAGTATTTCTGTCCATATGTAGTTATCAGACTCTGGAGTCAGATAGACTTGGGTTAGAATTCTGGATTTACCACCACCTGGCTGGGTGACTGGACAGAAGTAACATATTCTCAACTGAGTCTCACATTCCTCAGCTGCAGAATGGGGACAGAAATACTTTGTACAGTTATATGAGAATTAAGAAAATGCACACAAAGTGCTTAGCCAGTGGCTACCATGCCCTAAGACTTTAACAGATGATAACTATTACCATAGCCTATTGTTAATGGCTGTAATAAAGCCTGTTGTTTTTAACTTTTATTAACTTAAAGAATAAATGTTGCAGTTTGACTCAGTGTGGGACTATAATTGCAAAGCAACTCATTTATCCACACAGCCTCCTTTCTGAGAATTAGAACTAATGTACTTAGAAGGATTTGACTGAAGTTCTGCTCTGGATTTTCTTAGGAATTATTTGGGCAACCATGTCCATTAACACTTATCTAGAACCGCAAGGCTGAAAGTATGTTATTGTTTGATTAGGTTTTCATTAGCCAATTATTATTTATTGACCATATGATAGGTGGAATAGATAAGTATCACAAAAGACATACGATTCCTACTCTACACATTTAGAACTAAAAACAGAAGGGCATCTTTGATTTACTTAAAGGGTCCACTTTGTGCTAGATATAATACCATGCCCTAGGGATACATAGATGAAAAGATAGCCCCCTACTCTGAAGAAACTTATGGTCTAGTATGGTGTCTAGAATGGAACTTAGAAGCCACTTCTTATAGGAAGCCTTCCCTAAACTTCAGGTAGGGAAAATTTCCCTCTTATGTCATAGCCCCCAAGCTTACACTTAAGTTTGGCATTTGTCACACTGTAGATTGTCTGTCTCCTATGCTAGACTGTAGGCTGCTTGAGAACAGGGACTATGTCTTACTCATCACCGAAGAAAAGAAGATGACTAAAACATCATCTTGGCCCTTGAAGAACTTAAAATTGAGTGACAAATATAAACTACGAACATCTGTAAACAACTAAGCTCAAAATACATTTTTATGAATTATAAATTCTACAGAGTATATGCTACAAGAGGTAGGAGGTTTTGGAAAGATGATTTAGAAGATACGGCATTTCAGTTTAGAAGGAATGGTGTGATTTCCATGGTTGAGGTGGGCAAATGAATCCAAGGTTAAGGAACATCATGAGCAAAGGCACAGAATCGGGACTGTACATGGGCTACTTAAGGAATAGTAAGGAGTTCCATGTGAGTGGACTCTGGTAAGAATGTTAGGTAGGGGATTGGTTGTAGCTGATCTTGGATGCAGTAGTAGGGTGTTTGGATTTTCTTCTGCAGGCAGTGGTGCATTGACAAGGATATTTGAGCAAAAGGGACATGATTACTTTGTCAATAGTGTAAATGATGGGAAAAGAGAGATAATATTCAGGAAGGGGACTCCTGGGACTGCCAATAATGTAGACAAGAGGTATTAAGGTGAGAATAGATATGGAAAGGGAACAATTCTGGAAGCATTGTGCAAATTGACTTGTCAGACTCTAATTTGGAATAAGGGCGATTCCAATTTAAAAGTCCTTATTTCCTACCTCGGTGGAGCTTGCAGTGAGCCAAGATCGCGCCACTGCACACCAGCCTGGGTGACAGAGTGAGACTCCGTCTCAAAAAAAAAAAAAAAAGAGTCCTTATTTCAAAGGTGATGGCTCTAGTTTACATTCTCCGTCATTTACATGCTCTGGCCATGGCATGGGTAAAGTCACTCAGAAAGCGTTTAAAGAAAAGCCAGAGGGAGGTCACAGAACCTTGTGGAAAACTTATATTTAAGGGGTAGGTAAATCTTCATATTTAGAAGAGATTATGTTTCAAAACTTACTAAAAAGACAAAAATGGGCTGGGCACAGTGGCTCATGCCTAAAATCCCAGCACTCTGAGGCCATGGCAGGAGGATTGCTTGAGCCCAGGAGTGCAAGATGAGCTTGGGCAACACAGTGAGACCTTATCACTACCAGAAAAAATAAATAAATTAGCTGGGCATGGTGGCATGTGCCTGTAGTCCCAGCTACTAGGCTGGCTGAGGCAGATCACTTGAGCCCAGGAACAGTGAGGCTGCAGTGAGCTGTGATTGTACCACTGCACTCCAGCCTTGGCAACAGAGCAAGACCCTGTCTCAAAAAAAAAAAAAAAAAAAAAAAAAAGAAAACTCACATAGTTTTCATCCTTTAAGTGGTTTGCTTAAGTTAACATCTGGTTTATGGCAGAGCCCCCAACCCCTGACATGTAGCTCAGTGCACTTTCTATTTTATGCTCTAGATTTTAGTTTAATGCTAAATGTGAGGATATCACCTACCTTTTCCATCCTCATCTATCTTAGTAAACCGGATTAAATTTGAATTCTGGACCCCTCTACTTTAAGTATCTTCTATCTCAGCCAGGCGTGGTGGCTCACGCTATAATCCCAGCACTTTGGGAGGCCAAGGCTGGCAGATCACGAGGTCAGGAGTTCGAGACCAGCGTGGCCAGCATGGTGAAACCCTGTTTCTACTAAAAATACTTTAGCTCGGCGTGGTGGCGCACGCCTGTAATCCCAGCTACTCAGGAGGCTGAGGCAGGAGAATCACTTGAACCTGGGGAGGTAGAGGTTGCAGTGAGCCGAGATTGTGCCATTGCACTCCAGCAGAACTCCGTCTCAGGGCAGGTGGGTGGGGTGGGGGGGGCGTTGAAAGTATCTTCTATCTCATATGTTGATAGCTACCAATAGCAAAGAGAAAATTGTGCCACTGGAAAACAGGGCAAGTCATCTATATGGATGCCACTTAAAATTATGTGATATGAATTGATATAAAAAGCCTAATTAAATCTACCTTATGTTTCAAAGGCGGTAAGTTAATCTTTTACATTATTGTTTTTATACTCTACTCTTTATGTAAAAGAAAAACTACTTCATTTTCAAATGGTAAATTATTATCACCCAAATACATTGCTGTATACAGAAGTGGAAAGATTTTGCTCAAATAAGCCAAAGCTAATGATTTCATTATAATTCTATAGAAGTTTTTGTTGGTACTAATACTGTAATTGTCTATAGCATATGCCATAGGTATTGTTTGAAATTGTTTTTATCTCTTAATTATCAAATGAAATATACCTCAAAGAGGGAGGCCTGAAAAGACATGAAACTTTGAAATATAGAGCATCTTAAAAAGCAAGTACATGGTGACGCCAGTCTTCAGAATAGCATCATCCCTGTTGAACAGCATAAAAAATATATGGATTTGATGATCTATTTGGCTGGAAGATAAAAAATGAACCATCATGAGCCATTATTAAAGAGGTGTTTATAACTGAAAAACTGTGATAAAGGTCAGTTGACAAAATGAGTGGAGCACTGTAAATACTAAGAGTTGATGGCCCATGCCTAGATAATTCAGTGTTTCTATTCTTAGAAAATGGATTTTAACCATTTGAATGGGCCTAGTAAATGATCCTATTACAATTTTCACATATCAATTCATGGTTTACCCAAAAAGATGTGCAGCATACTTTTAAATTGGCCTTTTTCTGGCAGAGAGTTTCCAGAAAAATAATGTGTTTTTTTTTGTTTTGAATTTATTTGCTTACTTTGGGTTTTTCTTAAGCAAGAATATTAAAGTACAATATACATACAGAGAAGTATGTTTTCTAAATGTACAACTCAGTGAAGTTTCACAAGTTGAATATACTTACTTATCCAGCACCCAGATCAAGACACAAAACATCACCAGCGCTTCAGAATCTACCATCTCTTACTTCCTTCCAATCAATAGGTACTTACCACCCTAAAAGTTTATTGGGAGACAATTCTCCCATGTGTCTCATGTTTCTGCATATCTTGTGAGCAAAGGCACTGACTGCGTGTGTTCAGAATGTCTTTCCAAGGCAGCCTTGGAAGACCATGTCTCCAGAGCAAAGGGCAGGTGTGCTTATAGTCTTGAAAATAGAGATTATGTCCCTTAGAGAGCAAAGAACAGGTTTACTTACTATTCGGTATAATAGAGATGTCTCCCTTCAAAGCGAAAAGGACAGGCATGCTTACTGCCCATTATAAAAGATTCAGATTCCCTATGTTCCCTACAGGAGTTCCTCTCCTGTAACACAATCCACTGTATGTACAGGTGTCACTTGACTTTCTGTTGCCTTGTGGGAATTAGAGCTCAGGGAACCAGTGCAAACACTGACACTCTGACTATTGAGTTGTAAGGTCCTTTGTCTCTGACCTAGCATGTAAGGCTAACTTGTTAAGCTTGCAAGGAGCGTAAATCTCAGACCCGTCACTGTCCTTGGTAGTAAGCACTATTCTGACTTCTACCACCATAGATTAGTTTTACCTGCTGTTACACTTCATACATAAAAGAATTATATAGCATGTACTCTGTCTGGCTTCTTACATCCAACAACATATTTGTGAGATTCATTCATATTATTGCATGTAGGCATAATTCTTTCTTAATAGTATACCATTGTGTGAACATTTTAAAAAATTGGGTTTTTTTTTCCACTATTGATGGACATTAGGGCAGCTCCCAGTGTCAGCTATTAAAATTCTGTTGTTAGAAATACTTTATGCATGTCTTTGAGTGAATATATGTATATATTTCCGTTGGGTATATTCCTAGAACTAGATCAGAGGGTTCGCACTGGTGCTGCCAAACAACTTTCTAAAGTATCTGTACAAAGCTGCTCTCCCATAAACAGTATATGGGCCTTTTGGTATCTCTGTTATTTTCAACCTTTGTTATTTTCCATCATCTTTGTTTTGTTTTTTTTCAGTGACATGCTTCAATTTTACCATCATCCATTCATAAGGAAAGATCCCATTGGCATAATGGAATTATACCATTGGCATAAAATAAATATGCCAATGGTCGGGCGGATCACAAGGTCAGGAGATTTGAGTCCATCCTTGTTAACACGGTGAAACCCCGTCTCTCCTAAAAATACAAAAAATTAGCCGGGCGTGGTTGCGGGCACCTGTAGTCCCAGCTACTCGGGAGGCTGAGGCAGGAGAACGGTATGAACCTGGGAGGCGGAGCTTGCAGTGAGCTGAGATCGTGCCACTGCACTCCAGCCTGGGCGACTGAGCGAGACTCCGTCTCAAAAAAAAAAAAAATATGCCAATGGTATAATTCCAATTTCACAAAACAATCTCACAAGCACTTCCACTCTTTAGGCTGAGGCAGGTGAATCATGAGGTCAGGAGTTCAAGACCAGCCTGGCCAACATGGTGAAACCCCATCTCTACTAAAAATACAAAAATTAGCCAGGCGTGGTGGCACACACCTATAATCCCAGCTACTGAGGAGGCTGAGAAAAGAGACATGTCAATTACTAAGTTGTTACCAGGACAAGTTATCAAAAAGGACAATGAAAGCCATAAATATTTTGTAGTTTATTTACCCATGAACACAATAGTTTCCAGTCTTCCGCATCAGATAAGACCAAGTTATTCAAATTAAAATGTTAAAGATACGGTTTTAACAGAAACAAGAACAGGCTGAAAACTGCCATGAATATCCATATCCACATAATGTACAAAAAAGAAAGACTGATATTATTCCAAATATTTCTATTTGAAAGTAAAAGAAAATCTGTACAGCTGAATCTTCCCAGTAAACAGAAAGAGAAAATATTATAACACAGTATTAATCTTCCACATAAGTAAGGCCATATGCAAACAAGAAAGAGAACACCCAAAATTGCAGTGTTTCTTCAAAGAACCCTTCTCTAGGGAACATATTTAACACTCCAACCATCTTCTATTCTTCTACGTGCATACTAAAAAAAAGTACTTCTCTTCCCATCATAACTAGTCAACCCAGTGTAAATTCTAGGCCCGATTTTCCCCTGAATCATTTCTGCCTTTTTGTTCAGTTTTCCCTGCCTAGAGCACCCATCACAATCTCTTTAGTTCTTCTATCCACTCTGAACTAGAAATCACCTTTCATTCCATACAGCTCTGTAGTCCTTTAAACCCTCTAGGAATTGCTAAAGAGGGGTGAGGGGCTGAGAAGAAAGGAGAATGGGCAATAAGAGGTCTGGCAGTCTATTTTACAGAACAGCCTGCCTCTGGACATGACAAAGAGAGCCAAGAAACTAAAAAGCCTGCTTCTGCGGATGTTTCTGAACTACTACTTTTGTTTTTTTTAAAGGAAGACAGAAGAGATTTATGAGAGATGAGAGAAAAGAAAGTGTACACTCACTCTGGCACTTCATTAGGTTCAGGAAGGGAGGCAAATAAAGGTACCTAGATTTTGAATGAATCCACTGGTTGTGGCTGAGAAAGCCTGGTACTTGTCAAGAACACCAACATATTAACCTTGCCATGAGGATAGGGTCTGACATGTCCCCTCAACCACCTGTCTAACAAACAGTAGGGTTTCTGAGTGATGAGGGTGGTGGTGGTAAAGAGAGGTCTTTTGGAAGAGGAACAGGTCTTTTGTGTGCTGACAGGAAAGCTGTGTCCACCACCAGTGTTCTGGAGATCCCTGTTTATTAGAAACCAGAGAGTGGAGCTGGCAATGGTCTGGGATATGTTCACTCAGCAGGGAGCTGCCCAAGTAGCAGTACTTGGGAATAGCCAGTAGCAGGCAGCAATAGGTGACCAGTCTCAGGAAAAGTAATGGGGTCCCATAATTCACACAGACCAACTTGCCCCCTGCTGTTCTCCCTTGACTTCATTAATGCCCAGCAATTGTCCACAGGCCATGCACCTGTACTGTCAGATGCAGAGCAGGGTGAGCTGAATAGGTTCTTAGACACAGCTAGAAATCCAAGTAGGAGGAGCCAGACCAGAGGTCCTGGGAACAAACCGAGTCCAAACAAAGGTAAATACAGTGTAACCTACAGCATCATTCGCTTCGCTTAGAAGGATGTGACCCATCGGCTGGGAGCATGTGATGTTAATGCAGAATAGCAAGACGACCAGGTGAAAGGGGAGCAGCACAGCCACCAAGGTCTCAATCTTCAGGTTGAGAGAACGGAAAGTTTAAACAGAGGGTACAGGAAAGTCAGAACAAAAAAAGTAAAGGGCATACCTAATGCTGTTGCCCAAGCTCAGGTCCAGCTGGTGGTGGCAGGCAACCTTCTGCAGGAGTAATTCCAAAGGCAAAGGTTAACCACACTGGAACCCAAAGGGCCTGGGGATCTCCACTGGCTCCCTTACCAGGCGACGTCTAGCTCTATGGGCGTCTTCACCCAACAGGTAGTACTGCAGTGGATTTGACCAGAGGTCCTCTTTAATAATCTGAGCAATCCTGTCGGACTCTGGAAGGCTGTGGTCTGAAAACCAGGTGAAGAAGCTGCAGATGACATGTCGGTTCCTATGAATGAAGGACTGGGGTCCATGGCCCCGGCGCCACATGATTAGAGTGGAAAAAGACACCACTTGGCCGAAGGATCTGACCTCATACACCTTTACAATCAGCTTGTTTCTGAAGTAAGGGTTTCTTTGAAAGAAGAACTTAAACTTGCAGCCTGTCCTAGGGTGTCTGAGCTCCTTCACTTCCAAATTGGTTAAGTAGCTTAACATCTCGGCATCTTGGCCTCTAATCATGGCAGACAGCTGTGGGTGGTGGCGGAAAGCAGTGACCCAGAAGCCCGGGATATTGCGAATGATGTCATTCCTCTGCTCCAGGTAGTATTCATGAATCTGCCCAAACCTGCGCTCCACCTGCAGGAGCGCCCTGTCAGCCTCTGCATTCACGGAGTCCAGTTCCAGCTGGATGGACTCCAGGGGGTTCAGGTGGAGACCCACGTTCAGGGGCCCGGGCCCGGGCCCAGGCCCTGCCTCCCTGTTTACCTCATCTATTGCTCTGTTTTCTTCCGCCACGTCCATTTCTTCGCCTCCTGGCTTCTCATCCACTGGGGCTGAGAACATGGCACACTCCTCAGGCTTCACGTCCTCGGCCTTCCCCTCTGCAATCACTTCAGACTCCGACCTCCCTGCCCCACAGGTTTCTAGAGCCTTCTCCCCACCTAGGCCGTGCGTCTCTTCACCCGGAAAGCCATTTTTGAGGCTGCCGTCAGTTGTCAGCGAGGCAGAGGCCGCTTCTAGGCCCTCCGCGGGTGGTGGAGTCACTTCCTGCCCCGCTTTGATGGCTCCATGACTGCGACCCGCATCGACCAAGATGTGGAAAGTATGGCCACCATCTGCGGGATCCTGGGGCGCGACCCCCTCCTCTGGAAGCCGGGGCGGTGGGAACACGATTGGCTCCAAGCGGCCATCAAACATATCTGCCATTACCTCTGTCGCCTTGCTCTTTTCTCGGGACCTCTGGCCCTGGTGCGGGTCTTCCAGAGCATAGTCGAGAGTAGCGGGGCTGTGAGGACTCTCCGGGAGGCTCATGTTGGTAGCGGCCAGGGCAGCAGTGGGTAGAGGCCAGGCCAGAGGTAGGTAGCGTCAACGTTCCTCACACAAAATGGCGAGTAAACACCTCGCCCATTTGCGCCGCCCACTCTTCAGTCTCGCGACACCCACCCCTCAGTCTCGCGACACTCACTCCTCAGTCTCGCGAGTCTGTGGTGGTGTCTTTACGTCTTTGTTATTTTAGCCATCGTGCTGGATGAGTAATGATATTACATGGTGGTTTTAATTTGCATTTAGCCAAAGTCTAATGAGCTGAGAACCTTCTCATGTGTTTGTTGGCCACTAGGATATTCTCTCTTGTGCAGTATCCGAGGCTTCTCCCTATTTCTCTACTGGGCTGACGTTATTTTTCATATGGATTTGTAGGAAGCCTTTGTACATGCTAGATACTAGTCAGTCATTCTTCCAGTATAGGTATTACAAATATTTCTCTTCCAGTATAGGTATTACAAATATTTCCTCCCACTCTGTGGGGTTACTTTTCTTTTGGACTCGTAGTTTCGCTGTCGCCGAGGCTGGAGTACAATGGCATGATCTCAGCTCACTGAAGCTGCCGCCTCCCAAGTTCAAGCGATTCTCCTGCTTCAGCCTCCCAAGTAGCCGGGATTACAGGCGCCCACCACCATGCCCGGTTTTTTTGTTTGTTTGTTTTGTTTTGTTTTGTTTTGTATTTTTAGTCAAGACATGGTTTTGCCATGTTGGCCAGGCTGGTCTGAACTCCTGGCCTCAGGTGATCCGCCCATCTTGGCCTCCCAAAGTGCTGGGATTACAGGCATGAGCAACCGTACCTGGCCTACTTTTTCACCATCTTAATGGTACCTTTTGAAGAACAAAAGTTTTTCATCTTAATATGTGCCAATTTGTCATTTTCCCCTTTACCTTAGTGTTTTTCTGCTCTGTTTAAGAAATCTTACCTCTCACCTGGGCACAGTGCCTCACACCTGTAATCCTAGCACTTTGAGAGGCGGAGACGGGAGGATCAGTTGAGCCTAGGAGTTGGAGACCAGCCTGGGCAACACAGCAAGACCCCATCTCTATTTTTAAAAAGAAGAAAAAAAGAGGAATCTTATCTCACCAAGATTGTTCAAATTTATATATGCCATCCATCTGGAATTGATTTTTATGAGTGGGGTCACAATTTCTTTTTTTCCATATGAATATCTAATTGACCCAGCACTGTTTATTGAAAAGACAATTCTTTCCCCATGCATAGGTTTTTAAATGTTTCTGTCAGAAGTGACATAAATCATTGGCTACAGCTAGTCAGTTGGCCTTGTCTAACTTTAATAGGACAGGGAGGTGTAATCTTCTCTTGAGCCTGGAAGGAGGAAACTGGAAATATTGGCAAGTGCTGTATCACTCATCATGAAAAATAATTTGAGAAATATATAAAAGACCAATAGAATTAGGCCAAAGGACATAGAGAAAAGGTAATAATAAACAGGAGAAATTTATGTAAGACAATACAGAGCATTAACCAAAGATTAATAATAAAAGGAGAGAGAAAATAAGCAATATTTGGAGAGAAAATTATAGTCACATTGATGGTTTAAATAAATATAAGACAGGATGTTAGACAGCTTTATGCCAATACATTTTCAAACTTAGATGAAATATATGGCTTCATAGAAATGTATAACTTATCAACACGGACTGAAATGCAATAGAAAATCTAAATAGACCTAGAGACAATAAACAAATGGAATCAGTAGCTTAAAAAAATGTTTCCACAAAAATAGCATGAGGTTCAAATGATTTTGAGGCGACTGCTACCAAACCTTCAAGGAACACATAATCCATTTTTATATTTATTAAACATTCAACAAATATTTATTAAACATTCAACAAATGTTTATTGGGTACCTACTGTGTGCCTGGTACTCTTATAGGCCCTCTGGATATAACGGTGAACAGACCAAAGATTTCTTCCCTCTTGGGGTTTACATTTTAGCAGGGGAGAAAGATAATAACAAGAAACCAATATTGCACATTAGAAAGTTATAAGTGCTATGGAAAAAACAATAGAGCAAGGAGATTGAAAGTCCTGGGGGTAGGGAGTGGGGAGGAGATTGTAGTATGAAATAGGGTGGTCAGAGGAAGCCTCATTGAAAATATGAGATTTTGGCAAAGAGTCAAAGAAGTTGAGGGAGTCAGCTAGTAGAAATCCTGGAGGAGAGCATTTCAGCACGAGAAGTGCTAAGCAGAGGCACTAAGACAGGAGCATGTCTGGAATGTTCAAGAAATAACAAGGAGGCCAGCGTGACTGGAGCACAGTGAATGAGGGAGGCTAGATCAAGTAGGGTCTTGTATGATAGTGTAAGAAATTTGGCTTTTATTCTTAGTGAAATGGGAAATTACTACAGGATTTTGAGCAGAGGACACAAAATCTGACTTAAGTTTTGCGTGAATCACTCTGGCTCCTGGGTGAAAAATAATCTGTATGGTGGCAATGGTAGATTTAGGGGGATCTTTTGGGAGGCTACTGCAGTAACCCAGGTGAAAGATGTTTCTCAGACCAGGTGGCAGCAATGGAGGTGGATGGTGGACATAGTATGATGGTAGAGTCAGCCTGATTTAATGGTAAATTGGCTATGGGATCTCTTAGTTCATTTTCTGTTGCTGTAACTGAATACCTGAGACTGGGTAATTTATAAAGAAAAGCTTATTTAACTCACAATTCTGGATGCTGAGAAGTCCAATATGCTGTGCTATGAAGTAGCATGACAAAAAAGCAGAAGAGCAAGCAAGCACCTGGGAAAGAATGGACAAGAGAGGCTGACTTGCATTATAGCAACCCACTCTCTCAAAAACTAATCCATTCCCATGAGAAGTTATCCAGCCTTGCAAGAAAAACATAAATCCATCTTAACAACCTGATCACCTCTTAAAGGCCCCACCTCCCAGCATGGGGTGTAAGAGAAAGAGAGAAGTCAAGGATGACTCCAATGATTTTGACATGAGCAACTGGTAGGATGGAGTTACTGGAAGCAGAGATGGTGAAGGTTATAATGAGGAAGATCTTTGCAGGAAAATCAGAGTTGTCTCTCTTTTTTAACATATTGTTTGAGATGATTATTGGACACCAGAGTTGAGATGCCAAGTGGGCATAATGAGTTTAGAGCTCAGGAGAGGTCTGAGATAGTTATTCACATTTTGGGATAATCAGCATGCATGGAATTTAAAGTCAAAGGGTTGGATGAGAACACTAAGATAGTGAGTCCTGATAAGCTGGGCCCTGAAGACTCCAAAAGTATAAGGTCAAGAAAAAGAGGAAAAACAGCAAGGAAGACTGAAGAGAGACCAGCAGGGTAGGAAGGAAACCAAGAGAGTGCAATGTGCTTGAAGCCAAATGTGTAAAGGAAGGTGTTCAGCTGTGTCACAGGGTGCTCACATGTCAGTTAGTATGAGGTCTGAGAATTGACCGTCGGATTTTACAACAAAGAGTCACTGGTGACTCAAAAAGAGCACTTTCAGTGGAGTGGTGGGGGTTGAAATATGTTTGAAAGGGAAAGGGAGAAAAGAAATGGAGATTGAATATTGACAATTCTTTTGAGGAATTTTTCTCCAAAAAGAAACAAAGAAATGGGATCATGACAAGAGTAGTCAAGCTACTTTCAGTGGAGTGGTGGGATAATAGCTTGGCTGGAATAAGTTTAAGAGAAAACAGGAAGCGAAAAAGTGAAAACAGCGAGTATATACAACTGTTTTGAGAAGTTTTGTTTCAAAGAAATGGGATGATAGCTGGTGGGGAAATGGATCAAAGAACGTGTTTTTAAAATGGGAGATGAAGCATGTGTAAAGAAGCAGGTTGATGTGAATGATCCAGTAGGGAGCATAAAACTAATGATGTAAGAGACAGAAGGAAGCATTATTGGAGGGATGTCCTGGAATAGACAAGAGGAGGTGGAATCTAGTACCTAAGTGGAGAAGGAGATGTCAGCTTTAGGAGCATGGCAAGTTCACTAGTGGTAACTGGCAGGAAGTCAAAGTGTGAGGTGTATATGCTAGTAAACAGGTAGAAGTGATAGTGAGATTTATGAAATCGTCTTCTGATTGCTTCATTGTTCTCAGTGAAATAGAAAGCAAGATGATCAAATGAGTGTGAGGATGGGGCAACAGGCAGTGGGAGTCTGAGGACAGAGAAGAAGGTATGAAATAGTTGTCTAGAGAGAAGAGTGACTAGACTGTGACCTAAAGTATTGTCAGACAATGTTAAAGTCATGAATTGGAAATGAGGCCCATCAGCATGGCTATGAATTTTTCTCCAGCCGCATTCAACTTACAGCTGCAGTGTGAATAAGCAGAGTTGGATTTAGACCTGAAACAAGAAGGGCAAGAGAATAATTATAATAATTGATCTTAGAGTTTAAGCTGGAGGACGGAAGACATACAGGATGAGGTCAGTGAAAAGGTGGTCTGATCAATGAATTGGAAGATTCAGGGTACTGAAGGTCTCCTGGGGTCGAGTCCTAGGGAGAATAAGCTAGAGGGCTGAGAGACAGTGGTTTGAGAATGACCTGCAAGGGATTAGTCAGAATCCCATTCATGAATCCAAGGTGGTCTCTAATGAGGTAGACAGAGGATAGGGTAAGGTCATTGCAGGGGAGGAGGTCAATGAGCCAACAGGCCAGGATGGGAAGGATAGTCTATGTGTATATTGAAATCACTGAGAGATAAGACAAGAGAGAAGTGAGAATGAGGCAGGAGCTAAAAAACATGAGAAATGAGAGGGAATGACATGACAGTAGCAACGTTTTAGGGCAATAGGTGGTCCAAACCATTGACAGGAGACTCAAAGCTGGATATGTATTCTAGGGCCAAGGTATATCACCACTACCTTTCGATAAAATCAGTTAGTGGGAAGGCAGACACCTTTAGAATTTTATATTTCTTAATGTCACAGACCCTGGTATTATACATCTCCCCAAGGGTACACATACATTAGGAAACATGTATTTTTTAAAATTGAAAGGTGAGTAGTGATATTATTCTTTGAGTTCATTGTGAAGTGTTATTTTCTTTTGGGGTTCCATTCTGCTTTGTTTTAAGGCATGGACTAGAAACAGTTGAAAAGAATAATATACAATTTCAACTTTGGAGCCTGAAATATTCTGGCTATAATTTTTTTTTCCTAAAAAAAGGGAGAACAAGGAGAGCTATATAAAATCTCTGAAATGTTTTGTCAACTAGAGGCAGAAATAAAGATGTGGAGAAAGAGGGAGAGGGAGAAAAAGGAAAGAAAAATGAAAAATGAGTAAGGGAAGGAAGAACGATATGGCTTCTTGGGAAGAGTACAATTTAGCCACTAATCTGCACATCACAGAATTGTAAAGTGTTTAAATTCTCTGGGAAACAGAAAAACATGATGTTTTAAAAGATAAACTCAATATTAGATGACTGAAAAGAGCCTGTGAATTGTATAGTCTTGTTTTCCTTGGACTCCTCAAATATTCTTTTTCAGTTCTTGTTTTGAAAGGGATCCCTCTCTCTTGACTTAAATTCTTTAAACAACATTGTTTATATAGTGATTTAACATACAGAACTATTTTTCTTAGAACTAGGCCACCCAGTTTAGAAAGCTGAGGGCCTGAATACAATATGTTACTTTCGTAAGATTCAAAAGAATGTTGGTAAACAAGAGAGGGAGATGTACACTTTGCTAATTTCTTCTGTTTCCCATGGAAAGTTTATCAAACTGTTTGTGAAGGAAATGGTCAAAAAGAAGTTTTAAGTGATTAACCAAGTAGCTTTACAGCTGCAGTCGTCTTTATTGTATATAAATATAGATAAGAGAGGAGAAAAATATTTGAGTTACCAGGGCATGGGAAATGATTTACCTTGGCAAAGTTAATAAATTATGATTTAATCATTTTCTACTAATGTAGCACTCATAGAAAGAAAATATACATTATTGTGCCTGGTGAAACTGTAAAAGGCTAAAAGGTCTATGTAGAGTCCTGGCCTGATAGACTAGCCCCAGAGTGTTTCAGCCAGGGGTGAGCAGAGCCACAGGCTTGTGACTGGACCTGTGTCCTGGCTAGTGTCAAGCATCCCCACCAGTGAATGCGATACAGGAGCAAAATGATGCAACTGCTGTTACAGTGTTTATGTTACACAAAACCAAAATACCAGTATTTATACCAGACTCTTATTTTAAAAGTGTTCAGAATTCAGGAAATACAACAGTGAAACTAAGTAATACGTTTTAAATGCAAATTTTAAAATAGATATTATAAAATGTTTCTAATATCTAAGTGTTAGACATAATCACTCTAGCCTAATTTAGATAAAAATTTTTAAGTATTAGAAAAGAAATTGATACTACAGTAAATGAATAAGTTGGTTAATCATGGAAAATTGAAAATGAAAAAGAGTGCATTGATGATGTCATCATTACCATAAGAGTATTTTTTGGAGCAAATTTTTTCCAGCTGCTATAAAAGCTTCCAGTTTCTACACTGGTGGCAGAGAGGTGAACAGAGTTTTGCTCTAATTCCTATTATTTTCTTGAGTTGTCATTTTAGGATAATCTCTCTGTGATTACTTTTTTTTTTTAGAAATAACTTTTTATGGATGGCAAACTGTAGTTTTTGTTTCAAGTAAAGCATTTCTGGTTTTAACTGTATCATCTTTAATTTATCCTGTTTGAATATAGATTAGGTACAACTGTATCAACCTAATTAATTACTGTCCCATTCACATTCCACTTTATTGAACGGTCTTTGAAGTAGGAGTAAGATTTATGTATGTGATAGAAGGTTTAGAAGCTGGGTGTAGTGGCTCATGCCTGTGATGCCAGCACTATGGGGGGCCAAAGTGGGAGAATCACCTGAGGCTGGAGTTTGTGTCCAGCGTGGACAAGGTAGTGAGACCCTGTGTGTTAGGTCATTCTTGAATTGCTATAAAAAAATACTTGAGATTGGGTAATTTATAAAGAAAAAAGTGTAATTGGTTCAGCAGGCTTTACAGGAAGCATAGTGTGGCATCTGCTCATCTTCTGGGGAGACTTAAGGAAGCTTACAATCATGGCGGAAGGCAAAGGGGCAACAGGCACATGGCAAGAGGAGGAGAGAGAGGGAGGTGCCACACACTTAAGTGACCAGATCTTGTGAGAACTCACTCACTGTCAAGAGGACAACATCAAGGGGATAGTGCTAAACCATTCATGAGAAGCTGCCCCCATGATCCAGTCATCTCCCACCAGGCTCCACCTCGAACACTGGGGATTACATTTCAACATGAGATTTGAGCAGGGACAAATATCCAACCATATCACCGTGTCTCTACAAAGAAATTTAAAAATCAGCCAGGCATGGTGCTGCATACCTGTAGTCCTAGCTACTCAGGAGGCTGAGATGGGAGGATCGCTTGAGCCCAGGAGTTGGAGCTTCCAGTGAGTTATGATTGCCACTGGCACTCCAGCTTGGGTGACATAGTGACACACCCTGTCGAAAAAAAAGCTTTGGGTTGTCCATTGATATTTTCTCTTTCCTTTGGAGGAGTATAGAGTTGCTCCTTCATTCTTTTCAAATTTTAATATAGTGTATAACTCTTTGCATATGTTTCAAGATGATAATTCAGCACCTTTTACAGTACTGGATAATCATAGTAAAATAAATATACCAGAATTTCATTATTTTAACATACACCATATACTGAACTGCCAGAATACTGAGAGAAGATATTACAATCACTAGTTGAAACCAGGAAGCCAGCTTCAGTCATCAAATCCAAACAAACAGTGAGCACAGGAAGAGCAGTAAGTGCCTATTTATTGACCACCTTTTGTGTGTCAGGGAGGTGATAGATGTTTAGTGGTGAATGAAACAGGCATGGATCTGTGTCCAGAATTGGTTCCATCTGGTGGGTTCTTGGTCTCACTGACTTCAAGAATGAAACGACGGACCCTCGCGATGAGTGTTCTTAAAGATGGTGTGTGCAGAGTTTGTTCCTTCAGATGTTCAGAAGGGTCCGGAGTTTCTTCCTTCCGGTGGGTTCGTGGTCTCGCTTGATTTCAGGAGTGAAGCCGCAGACCTTCTCAGTGAGTGCTACAGGTCATAAAGGTAGTGCGGACCCAAAGAGTGAGCAGCAGCAAGATGTGTTGTGAAGAGTGAAAGAACAAAGCTTCCACAGCGTGGAAGGCGACCCAAGCAGGTTGCCGCTGCTGGCTCTGGCGGTCAGCTTTTATTCCTTTATTTGGCCCCGCCCACATCCTGCTGATTGGTGTGTTTACAATCCTCTAGCTAGGCAGAAAAGTTTTCCAACTCCCCACCCGACCCAGAAGCCCAGCTGGCTTCACCTCTCAGATCCTGCTCAGGGAGCTTAGAATGAAGAAGGCAGAAGCAGGAGACTAGCCAGGAAGGGCGGAAGCCAGGCAGACAGTGCTGCAAACTCACATGTAAAAAACAAGGTGGGAGGAAAGGGAGAAGGTCCAAGGTAATTGCCCAAAAAGGGATGCCGGTCTGGAGATGGGTGGATGCATATTATACAGAAACAAGTAGAAATCTTAATGCCCTTTCAAAAATATAAGTATAAATTTAGGTGGTGAGTTGTTTCAACAAGATACATGATCCTTGTTTGGGGTAGGGGACAGTAAAGCTCTCAAAAGCATTCTTGGGACAGTGGAGGAAATTAAAATAGGGACTGGATAGTAAATGTTTAAAAGAATTACATGAATTTTCTTAGGTGTGATAAATGGCATTAAAGTATAGAAAACAGCATTCTTATTCTCAGGAAAGGAATTTTAGTATTTAGAAGTCAAGTGTTAAGGTATTTCCAACTTACCTTCACAAAGTTCAACTACAATGCCAAAAACAAACTTATGGGGAGAGAGGGAGGAAAGAAAATATAGCAAACTTTAACTAGGTGGAATTATGTAGCTATTTGATTGTACTATGCTTTCTATGTATGTAGGAAAATTTGTATAATAAAAAGTAGGGGGTCAAAAGATAAGCATGTGTATTAGTCCATTTTCTCACTGCTGATAAAGACATAGCTGAGACTGGGAAATTTACAAAAGAAAGAGGTTTAATGGACTTACAGTTCCACGTGGCTGGGGAGGCCTCACAATCTTGGTGGAAGGCAAGGAGGAGCAAGTCACATCTTACATGGATGGCAGCAGGCAAAGAGAGACAGCTTGTAAATGGAAACTCCCATTTTTAAAACCATCAGATCTTATGAGACTTATTCACTATCACAAGAATAGCATGGGAAAGACCCACCCCCATGATTCAGTGATCTCCCACCAGGTTCCTTCCACAACACATGGGAATTATGGGAGCTTACAAGATGAGATATGGGTGGGGACACAGAGCCAAACCATATCAGCATCCTACTCTCCTTTTGACAATGGATGAGGCAGCTGAAAGGAATACCAAGGAGAAAGGGGAAGAATGCAGGGTGTGGCCTATTATGACTTTGGGCAAACGCTTAACCTCTTTGAGCCTGAGTTTTCTTCCTCTGCTTCACAGATAAATATCTACATACAGGGGTGATATGAAGATTAATTAAATAAGTTGAAATGTAGTGGTTAAGAGTGGTAAGTCCAAATCTCAAACTGCACTTAGTTACTAAATAACCTTGGGAAAGTTACTTTTGTGCCCAGTTTCCTTATCTGTAAAACTGACATAATAATAGTGCCTACCTCCCAGAATTGTTGTGAAGCACAGAATTGTTCTAAAGAGCGAAGCTTAGCATATATTAAGTATTTGATAAATATTGGCTCTCATTATTTTTGCTATCTAGGACTCAGCATCCTGAAAATAGAGAATACCCCTTCTTTTCACGTGCCCATTGGACATTCACAAAAATTGAGAATTTATTATGCCCATAAAAAAACCTCAATATATTGCAAAAAGTAGAGTGTGAGCAGCATGTTCTGAGAACAGTTCTGTAATTGCTGACATAAGTAACTCTCTAAATCAACTCTTGGGTCAAAAAGGAAATAAATAAATTACAGAACACCTTCAAAATAACAATAATGGAAACCTCATATACTAGAACTTATGGTCTGCAACTAAAGGACTTTTTAGTATTACTTGTGAATATTGATACAAAAATACTGGATAAAATATGAGTAAACAAGATCCACCAACACACTCAATCATTTACCACAACCCACTGGACATGCCCATGCCCTTTCAAAAATATAAGTATATGATCCTTGTTTGGGGTAGGGGACAGGAAAACTCTCAAAAGCATTCTTGGGACAGTGGAGGAAATTAAAATATGGACTGGATAGTAAATGTTTTTCCAACAATTTTGTTTTAGCAAATTACATCCTTATCACAACACCCTATAAACCAGGTACTATCATTGGCCCTGTTCAACAGATAAGAAAACTGAGGTGCAGAAATATATAGATATAGATATAGCTAGATAAAGATAGATAGATAGATAGATATAGATATCTATCTATCTTTTTTTTTTTTTTTTTTTTTTTTTTTTTTTTTGAGACGGAGTCTCCCTCTGTTGCCCATGCTGGAGTGCAGTGGCGCGATCTCGGCTCACTGCAAGCTCCGCCGTCCGGGTTCACGCCATTCTCCTGCCTCAGCCTCCCAAGTAGCTGGTACTACAGGCTCCCACCACCACGCCTGGCTAATTTTTTTGTATTTTTTTTAGTACAGACGGGGTTTCACCGTGTTAGCCAGGATGTTCTCAATCTCCTGACCTCGTGATCCGCCCGCCTCAGCCTCCCAAAGTGCTGGGATTACAGGCATGAGCCACCGCACCCGGCCGAGGTGCAGAAATGTTAATTTGCAGATGGACACATAGGAAATGGCGAGGCGAAGAAATGAACCCAGGCAATCTGAGCCTATAAAGCTCTTCCTTTTAAACTCTACGGGGTACTCTCTGAGCCATTCTCAGCTACAAAAGAGGGTTAGTAATTCTTATCTCTTGTGGTGGACAAGGTAAGATACGGAGTTGAGTGGGGAGAGGCATTGATGCTATCTTTATCTGTTTCTGTATTGTTGAGTTGTTATAATGAGCATGTATTATTCATGTATTTTTTCATCAAGAAAATGTTTTTTAGGGGCCTATAAAAGTGCCTGGCACAAAGAAGCTCCCAATAAAAACATTATTATGTCTGAAAGGAAATTCAGAATTTCCATTTGACTTAATAGGAATTCATCAGCTCCGGAAGCTGGGTGAAGAAAAGAAACAAGATAGGGCAACAGCTAGAGGAGAATTCAGGTGAGAGGTTTCTACTTTCAAATGAGAAGGGCTTATACATCCTAAAGTAAGGGGTGGGAACAGAAGGAGGGAGAAGGAATTGGGAGCTGGGGGAAGAGTGGTCCTAAAGCCTCCCTAGATGAATTTAATTATTTGGGGGAAGGTTACTAGTGACCAATTGTTGACATATATATAAGCCCCATTTCATACATGCCATGAATAATAGGCCTCCCTGGGGTAACAAAAATTTAAAGATCATTCTGGAAAATGAGACAGGAATTAAAAGAACTCTATGGCTTGCTTTCTTTATCTACCTGGTTCTGGCAATGTGAGAATAGGTTTTCTGAAGAGGAGCCAATAGTTTGTTTTTCCACTTGTGGGTTACAATGGTAAAATGATTGTTGGCAAAAGAACATCTTTTCAAGCAGCTTCCCTTGGTGTAGGTCAGAGGGGCAACAAGCAGAGTTATTTCTGCAGCTGGGAAAAAGGTTCAGAGCTATCTTCCTAGAATCGGCTCTTGTTTCAGAATCTAAAATAGATTTGAAATATTGTGCTATTTGGGAATTGGGGCCTATTCATGCTAAGCACATCTGTGGGTAGCTGTTGAAATTCAAATAAATTCAAATAAAGTCCAAGTAATGCTCATACTACACTTACCAATTTCAAATTTTAAAAATACATATATACAATACCTGCACCCCATTTGGTATCACTACCTAAGACACAATATGGAAAGCCTTGATTTTCTGCCAGCCATAGCTGCTTTGAACCTGAACCACAACATTTAATTCCTTTGAAAATGCCCCTTCCTCCCTACCTGAACTTTTCAACTGAGATTCATTTTCAAAAGTTTAAATATGAACTATAGCAAATAGTTCTATATTTTGGTTTTGATCATTTGACAGACTTTAGTAGCTGCAATGAGGTTGTTGGACTACTTAAGTCATAAAGCCAGGATTGAATAAATGCATTTTCCTTCTCGTCATCTTTCTGATTTCAGTAAATACAGTTTACTTAGGTGTGGTGATTAAGGAAACCTGGTCGATTTATTTATACACTATTCCATTCCATATTCAAGGTGTCTTTTAAAAGGCAAAGTAAGGGAACTTGCCTTTTTAAATTTAACCATGACTTTCTTATAGTGATCTACCCAATGTATGGAAAGAAGTAGAACTGGCTGGGTGCAGTGACTGACACCTGTAATCCCAGCAAGTTGGGAGGCTGAGACAGGAAGATCACTTGAGCCCAGGAGTTCGAAACCAGCCTGGGCAACATAGTGAGACCCAGTCTCTACCAAAAAAAAAAAAAAAAAAAAATTAGCTGGGAATGGTGGCATGCGTCTGGAGTCCCAGCTACTTGGGAGGCTGAGGTGGGAGGATGCTTGAGCCCAGGAGGTTAAGGCTGCAGTGAGCCGTGTTGGCAGCACTGCACTCCAGCCTGGAGCAAGACCCCTTTCTCAAACAAACAATTATTTTAAGGTTGTGAGTTTTTCTTTTTTTTCCTTAATAGTTAAAAATTTGAAAGGCATTTAAGTGACATATTCATGTCATAACCTGAGAGTTTACAATGTTATAAGTAGGTAACACATTAAGCACATTATATGAATTATCTCTTAATTTAAACCTCATAATTACCCAATGAAGTTTGTGTCATCATTTCCATCTTACTTATAAATGTATCCAAGGCTTACAAATAAGTAATTTGTCCAAGGTCACACACTCAGCCAGGAGTGAAACTGTGCCCATTATTCAAATTATTAACTGTTTTGATTTTTATTATTATTTGTAGAGACAGGGGCTCACTATGTTGCCCAGGCTAGTCTTGAATTCTTGGCCTTAAGCGATTATTCCAGGTCAGCCTCCCAAAGTGCTGGGATTACAGGCATGAGCCACTGTGCCCAGCCTGAGCTGTTAACTCTTAATCTAAACAATGCCTTTTACATGAGAAACAGTAAACAAGATGGCAAGGGATGGCAAAGAGGATACTGAAATATGTTAGGAGCTACATACAAGAAATAAATTCACAGTTAAAAGATGAAGACCTTTATCTAAATCCAGGCAAACTGCAAACTTTAAAAAGAATTATGATAAGAATAAAGCATCAGGAAGGAGAAAGACAAACTGATGACACTGATATCCCAGAATAAGGCCCCATAGACAAAGGTATAACCATCATCACATATGGTTGGTGACTCCCACAGCGTGTTCCTCACCTTCCCCAGTGCCTTTGGGAAATGTGAGTGTTCTCTGTAAAAGTTCTGGCATGGTGAAAGATCGTAACTCTAGGAAGCTGAATAACTTACCATTTGGCACTAATATCCCTGATTTCTTCTGTTTAACTTTTTTGCTCTCATCTCTATGTTGAAAAATGCAATAGATGTTAAAATCAGTAATAATGTTCAATAACTAGTACAGCTGTTCCCTTGTTCCACCTCAATTTTATTTATAGAAAAGCCATTATTCCACTATTCTATATCAATAACAATTTTCATTTGTTTTTCTACGTGTATAATATGAATTATATTAAATAACAAATTTTCCAGTTTCCATAATAATAATTCTAATGACTATATAACAGTCTGTTGAGTTGATGCACTGTAATTTATACTGGGTATTTTGTTTCCAGTTTTTTGCTATTATAAATATCCTTCCAAGAATTTATTTAGGCATCTAATTTACTTAAATTTCTTCATATGCAAATAGTATGTTTATGTCCTCTGACCATTTATCTCTTGAGGTTTTAATATTTTTGAAGATTTGGATAAGTCCTTAATTTGTTATGTATACTAACTTCTTCCCTGTTTCCTAATTATGTTTCCCTTCTTGTGTGTTTCAATCATTGTTAGTTTTTTTATGTTAAAATCACTTTTTCTTGATGTTTTTAAGCTATTTTTTTGTGTGATTTCCATTGTTGCCATAAGCTTTTCAAAAATGCTGTCTAAAGATTTCACAGATATTTGATGCATATTTCTCCTAGTTTGCTAAAAATTAAAGGATATAGTTAACTCTTTAATGCACTATGATCTTACTCTGCTATGTACCATAAGTGCTAATTTAAATTACTTTTTGTTTTTGTGTTTTTTAGCCAGTTATCCTGGCAATTATTAAAACATAATTAGCCAGACATGGTGGCACACATCTGTAGTCCCACCTGTTTGGGAGGCTGAAGTGGGAAGATCATTTGAGCTCAGTAGACGAGGCTACAGTGAGCCATGATCACACAACTACACTCCAGCCTGGGTGACAAAGCGAGATATGTCTCAAAATTTTAAAAATAAAGATAAAAAATAAAAATGAATACAATGAATAAAATGTAATTACTAACTTATTTTTTCCTAATTTTATGATAGTATATGTTGAATTTATTTCTACATGTCTTACACTGCTTTATTCAATTAGTGTAATAACTTATACTTTAGGTTTTAGGATTTCCTGGGGAAATTCTGGAGACTAGAGCAGCATCATAAGTCACACTTTCTTTGTTAGTGTGGAATTTCAATATTTAACAAACAGTAAATAACTTCACTTGGTGAACATTGTTTTTCTGTATAATATATATCTAAATCTGTTTATCTTGTTTTGTATAGTCCATTAAAGCTTTGTACTTTTCTTTACATATGGCACATACAATTCTTTATCATTTTCTTTATAAATGTCATGGTTTGAAACCACGTTTGCAGAGATGATAAAAGTGAGAGACTGAGGCAAGATGCTTCTTGCCTCACAGGTGGTGCTCCTTGCTCATTCCAGGGCATAGGCCAAGCTCACTATGGAAGAAATTTAGTTTATAGTTTGACTTTGAACCAAGGATGATAATAGTCCCTCCCTAAGACTGATCCCCTCCTTGTCCGGGACTGAAGCCACCTTTGTAAAACTAATGAAAGGCCACAAGATTAGTATTATGGGAGGAGCCTCAATTCTGCTCAAATGTAGGCATAGTTTCTATAATCCCTTACTGCTCAGTACTCATGTGGCCAGAGGTCACAAGATTTAAGACTTCCCCAATTGCGCCCATAGATAACATCACTATTGTAGAACCTACGATTGGGTTTTTGAGATGTTTTTTCACTTTTGTTTTCTGGCAACTGACTGACCATATCCAACCAGTGACTCATGACTCAACCAGTGTGTCCTGTGGCCCCCCACCCAAAGGAGGACTCAGCACACTGGGATCATTTTCCATACCCCTGTGATTTCATCCCAAATCAATCATCGGCACCCATTCCCTATCCCTCTGTGCACCAAATTATCCATACAAACCCTAGCCCCTTATCAGAGAGACTGATTTGAGTGATAACCCCAGTCCTTCTGCTTGGCAGCCTTGCATTAATTAAACTCTTTAACTGCAATACCAGGACCTCAGTAAAGTGGTTTTTTCTGTGTCCCCTCCACCCTTTTTTGTGGCTATGTTAAATGGGATTTCTTCTCTTTTTGTTAAACTAGTGGTTACCACAATAAAGAAATCCCCTAATTATAGTGAATTCACTATAAACCTAGTCACTTTGATAAACTCACATAGGCTAATAAGCAAATTTCTTAGGATTTTTAGACATGCATTGCTTTCTGCAAATAATCATAGTTTTCTCTCACCCCTTAATGTATCATTCTGTTGTCACGAAGTGAATGCAGTTGCCATTATTCCTGTATTAGAGTGCTAGGCTGGAAAGGCAAGAAACATACATGTTACTTTCAGTTCCTCAACTGAGGAAGCCATTGATGAAGCACCTTCTTTTCATGGATCAAGCACCATGCTAAACACTTCATATCGACCATCTTGCCCAAGGCTGAGAACAAGCCTACCAAGTATACAATTATTAAATATCAGTGTTGAGGAAACTGAAGTTTAGCAGATGCAGGCTGCCCATGTTAGGCCCCAAGAAGCAATAAAAAATGGAACACTGAGGGGCCTAACTATGGGGGTCTGTGAATGAAAGGCTGTGAGTCTGTGTCTCTGGGCTCCTGTGACTGGCAGGTTTATCTCTACCCAGGAGCTGCATTGACCATGAACTTTGGCCAGTGATCTATGAGGAACTAGGGAGGGATCTCAGAGCTGAATCCGCTCGCCTGCATCTGTGTCTTGTGCATATGCTTCACACTTCCTGTTTCTAGGTCATAGTAAGTCTAATGTGAAAGTAATCCTGAAGGTAGTCTATGTTCTTGTTTTCACTGCTCTCCAACCCATCAGCCCTTTGAGGTTAATTTATCTCAGATCTTAGAAATAGCAAACGATGGAGTAAGTGGCTTCCTTCACGACCAGTGGTCTTTCCATTGTACCAATGATGTCCTCATCCAAATGTAAGTCAGATAAGATGATCCAATTTTGACAGGCTGACTGTTCCTGAATATGCATTATACAAATTCTCACAGAGGCTATACTGTCCACATCCTTGAGTTGCTTATATTGCTTTGCACATAACAAGTATTCAATAAATATTTGTTGATGCAGAATGAATGAATGAATGAGGCAAAGACAACAGTCTTAATGCTTTTCCTACAAGAGAGACTTTCAATGATAGAATACAAACTCATGTGGTATCTCCTAAAAATCTCACCATTTCACATTTCAAATGTGGAAGCTTCTATAAAGACTGTATTTGTCATGAGCCTTTTCACAAGAAGATGTTTAGTACCAGGTCAGCTTGTTTTCATCTTGTTTTCAAAGAATTGGGGTTAGGAAAGCAGGAAACTAGGAAGGATCAAGGTGGGAACAGTGGTAGGCAGGCTTTTCTCTGACAAAGTTGTTTGGGTTATTTTTATCTTTCTGCTTCTGTTACAGCAACAATATGAGAAAACTGACTGTTCAAATTTAATAAATAGAGTCTGTCCAAACCCAATTTTGAACAAATGACAAACTATGGTGCACATGCATTAACATTTCTGTTTGGGTATGCAATGGGAAACTAAGTCTTATGTTCTCGTCTGTAATTTAAACATACAAAGTTTTAAATGTTCCATTAGAAGATATACTACAATACTAGTACATTAATTGAGTGTTCTTTGTTATGCCAAAAAATTCCAAAGGAAGTTACACAGCCCCTAGAAGGCATAGAATCTGTAGATTTTGTAATTATGGTTTTTAAACTTAAAATCTCATTGAAGTCATTAGTTAACATTTCTAAACTTTTTGTTTGTTTTTGTTTTAGACAGATTCTGGCTCTGTTGCCAGGCTGGAGTGCAGTGGGACAGTCTCACCTCACTACAACCTCTGCCTCCTGGATTCAAGCAATTCTCCTGCCTCAGCCTCCCGATTAGCTAAGATTACAGGTGCCCACCACTACGCCCATCTAATTTTTTATATTTTTAGTAGAGATGGCATTTCACCATGTTTGCCAGGCTGGTCGTGAACTCCTGACCTCAGGTGATTCACCTGCCTCGACCTGCCAGTGTTGGGATTACAGGCATGAGCCCTCGCACCTGGCCACATTTCTAAACTTTTATGCCTGAATAATTCTGAACAGATATTCCAATAACCTTCCTGCCCTCCACCTCATCCCAGCCAAAGCCGGGAGAGAGGGAAGACCTATACTACCAATAGTTACAAACAATTATTTTTGGAATTAAAAACAGGAATTTGCACCATGAACAAGTGTCTCGTTTTGTCTTCTGAGCTTCTCAAAAACCACCATTATATTGAGACTATAAAATTGTTCTTTAGGCTGGGCAAGATGGCTTATGCCTGTTGTATTAGTCTGTTTTCACACCGCTGATAAAGACATACCTGAGACTGAGCAATTTACAAAAGAAAGAGGTTTATAATGGACTTACAGTTTCACGTGGCTGGGGAAGCCTCATAATTATGGTGGAAGGCAAGGAGGAGCAGTCACATCTTACATGGATGGCAGCAGGCAAGAAAAGAGAGCTTGTGCAGTAAAACTCCCCCTTATAATAACCATCAGATCTCGTGAGACTTACCATTGCAAGAACAGGGCAGGAAAGACCTGCCCCTATAATTCAATCACCTCCCACCAGGTTCCTCCTATGACACATGAGAGTTGTGGAGATGAGATTTGGTAGGGGACACAGCCAAACCATATCAACTGTAATCCCAGCACTTTGGGAGGCTGAGGTGGGAGGATTGCTTGAGCCCAGAGGTTTAAGACCAGCCTGGGCAACATAGTGAGCCCATTTCTACAAAATAAAATAAAAAATTAACCAGGTACGGTGGTGCACACCTGTGGTCCCAGCTAGTGGGAGGATCACTTGAGCCTGAAAGGCCAAGGCTGCAGTGAGCCATGGTCACACCACTGCCCTCAGGCTGGGTGACAGAGCAAGACTCCATCTCAAAAAAAAAAAAAAAAAAAAAAAAAAAAGTTCTCTGAAACTAAAAGAAAAATCTAGGGAAATTAAACATTTTTTATTGCAAATCACTTAACCTTAGAATGTCAAAGATTTTCCCTAAGTTTTTATATAAAAAGAAGCATGGGAGAGAGCCATAGGGAATCAAAATTTATGAGCCACAATATTTGCAAGAAGAGAAAACATTACATCAGCCATGCACGGTTTCTCCAACATGGATACAAAGCAGAATGATGTAATAGCAGCTGCAGTTTTGTGCTACCACATTAAACAGTGGTGCTTTTGATATCATTTAACTAAACCAAAATATGCAGTTCAACCTCACATAGCTCAAAATACTCAGTTCAACCTGAGATGGTCCTGAATTAACTAGACCATGTTTCAGGCTTCTGAATATTATTTTTAAGTTCTGTGTAAGGTAAGGTATAAAAGAAGAAAAAAAACCTCCTTGCCTCAATAACTTTGGTTTTAATAAATGCACCAATAAATTTATTTGAACCCTGAGTTAAAATGATTCAGCTCTAGTGGATGACCAAATTGAGGCTGCTTTTCTTTATTTATTCAAGTTAGATTTCATGTAAACCCTTAAATTGTATGAATTCAACTATCATTTCTAAAGCAGCCAGACTAATATGAACCTAAATCTGAGTATACTTTTCCAGAAACAGCTGACTATTTAGGTCTCGTTATCTGTCCTGTATCTCACTATCTTCTTCCCAACCACAGGAAACTGAGGATTGGCTACTGACTATTTGAAATTGGCTATTTCATAGAGGTAAAAATCTCATCAGTATGCTGGCAACAGTCTTTAATTTTGAAAGAGGAATAGTCCCACTTGACTATTTCTAGCTTCCAGTATTAGGTCAGGAGAGAAAACATTTCTTTAGAACCTTTTCCATAAAATCAGGGAATAATTTAGGAATGGGGAAATCTTCTAGTGTTTTATTTCAGCTCTCCTAGGGATGTGCTTCCCAAGGCTTTGACAGGGAGAAACTGATAGCTATCAGTGTGAATCAGCTTTGTGTCTAACAATTTCCTTTCTAAGGAACATCAAGCATAGAGAAATGATTAAGCATATTTATATAATCTAACATATTAAGTGAATTACATTTAGGTGAAATTGGAAAGTCAGCACGTATTGCTTTATAATGAACATCCAAGCCCTGCTTGATTTGCCTAATGGACTATTTGATAAGGGCAAAATACATTCTGATTTAATGGAATTTCTAATTAGTTAATATTTAGTCAAAGTGCAACATTAAGCGTATCCCTAATTATATGTATGATAGGAGTTTACAAAGCAATTGGTATGGGTTTTATATTTATATTTATATGTCATATATCTTTTTCTGAAAAAAAGTTGAAACTAGAACTTAAATAGCTTACATGTTTATCCTTTCTATCCTTGTTAGGAAAAATTCCTTTAAAGAGATTACAATTATTACTGTACCCCGATAATCATTATTATCCTTGTGCTTAATTTTCATTCCTCTAACCTATCCTTTACCTTGAGTTTTTATCCCAAAATACAACTTCATCCATGTCTTTACAGAAAAAGTAAAAGTCCTTAGCAAGCTGTGCAAGACCCTTCCCCTCTGGCCATTGTCCCAATAGCATATTTTAGTTAATAAAAGTCTCTCACTCAAAATGTCTGGTGTCTCCATGTTGTTAGTGTAGGTATTTCAGACAGCATTCTCCTTTGTTAAACATCCTACATACATTAGTCTAATAGTTGTCAATGTTATAACACTTATTTACACACTGGGGGAAAAATTACCCTTGCATTACCATGATGGAGTTACTAAACCCACTGAGAAGACTCAATACCATGGGTAGAATCTTCATTAGTGTTTAACTCTGGATGTCATTACCTCCCAGCTAGAGACATTGTCAATAAAATTTCAGCATTTATTGTAATGACTTTGACTTTGATCATGAAAACCACATTTCATCTTTTTCTTTGGGTTCAGATTGTTCTTTCACACACACACACACACACACACACACACACACACACACACACCACACACAAGAAAAATTGTTTTTTTCCTTTAGGGACTTTCTCAAACCCTTTCATAATCTTTTGTTAATTTTAAATTGATATTTACTGGAGAAATTTGAAAATAATTAAAAAAGGAAAGAATGAAAGCCATTCTTATTTCACGGGGTAACCACTATTATCCCTTTGATGCACATTTCCCAAATATTTTCCTGTCCATATGTTATTTTCTCACAAAAGTGGGGTCATCCGCTACATCCTGTTTTGCAACTTGCTTTTTAAAAAAGCATAATACCATATTACAATCATCTTTATATATTAGTAAAAATTCATCTTCATAAATTTAATGGCTATTATTTCTATTTATGGAAATAACATATAAAAAATCCTAATTATTAGACATTTAAATTGCTTGAAACACTTTCCTGTTACGTACAATGCTGTAATGACCATTCTTGAGGCAAAATCTTTACCTACATCCTTGATTATTAGGATAGAATTTTAGGAGCAGGATCGCTGAATCAAAGTGCATGCTCATTTTATTTGTTTACCTATTTAATAAGGCAACACAGGCAAGATGTACAAAAATTCAGAAGGACCAATGGGAGATTCAGTGACAAATAACTCTCCCTCCTTCCTTTTCCCTCCTAGGAGACAGCTACTTTTAATAGTTTCCATTTATTTTTCCAGAGATATTTAATGCATTTATATAAACACACACAAATCCTTTAATATGCCTATTAAGAAATTAGTAAAATGGGCCGGGTGCAGTGACTCACATCTGCAATCCCAGCACTTTGGGAGGTTGAGGCGGGTGGATCATGAGGTCAGGAGTTCGAGACCAGCCTGACCAACATGGTGAAACCCCGTCTCTACTAAAAATACAAAAATTAGCCAGGTGTGGTGGCATGCGCCTGTAATCCCAGCTACTCAGGAGGCTGAGGCAGGAGAATCTGTTGTACTTGGGAGGCGGAGGTTGCAGTGAGCCACAGTCGTGCTACTGCACCCCAGCCTGGGCGATAGAGAGAGACTCCGTCTTAAAAAAAAAAATGATTTCAATAATGAAAATTGTTTTATAATTTCATGTGCTAGATAATCATAGGCACAAAGCTTTCTACAATTAGGCAACATTCATTATTTCAGTTCTATATTATTTCTTAATTTATATTTTACCTTACCTTTATGTAATAATATATTACTTGTCATTTACCATGATATTTTTATCTTCATTGAATACTTTAAAAACATTTTATTATAGGAAGTTTCAAATGTACCCAAAAAGAGAATGCGATAAATCCCCAAGTCTCCAACTACTATGCACATTTTAATTAATTAATTTATTTATTTATGTATTTATTTATGACGGAGTCTCGCTCTGTCACCCAGGCTGGACTCCAGTGGCTCACTCGGCTCACTGCAAGCTCTGCCTCCCAGGTTCATGCCATTCTCCCGCCTCAGCCTCCTGAGTAGCTGGGACTACAGGCGCCCGCCACCATGCCGAGCTAATTTTTTTGTGTTTTTAGTAGAGACAGGGTTTCACCGTGTTAGCCAGGATGGTCTCAATCTCCTGACCTCGTGATCCGCCCGCCTCGGACTCCCAAATTGCTGGGATTACAGGCGTCAGCCACCGCACCTAGCCCATTTTAAGTCTTTCAATAAACAATGCCAGGTTTTTCTCTATGAAAGGTTTTTTAGTGAGACTTACCCTATCTTCATTTTGTTGAGTTGAATTTTATAGCTGCTGAAGCCAGGGTTACATCTTTTAGCAAGAATAAATTGGTGGTTGGAATAGAAAAAGTATAGTAACTTTTGTTGCACTGTGACAATAGATTTTATCTGGCATGGTAATGCCAATCAACTTGGCATCATTTCCTGGCTCAGCGAGTTGGAATAATTATGAGAATCCATTCAGAGTCTGTGGGGAAAACTGCTAGGATTGATTAGCAATGTCTACCATTGGAAAAGTAGAGAATTGTTGGCTTTTATGACATAGACAGTTTGCCGATTCTGCTTTAGCTTACATGCATAACAGCATACTTTTTTTTAAACCATTCTTTTGCTTAGTAGCCATAAAAATCAATTTGGCTTATTTAAAAGTTTCATAATGAAACATACCTATTTACCTATAGGTTTCTTTTGCCAGATATTATATTAACAACTTTTCTTAAAAATAATTTTATTTTTTGAAAGGAACTAAATAATGTCAGTATATAGATGCTGCTGTACTATCATTAAGGAAGCATGTGCTGAGGTTGTGTTCTCAGAAACAAGGAAGAATGACATTTGTCCAGTCATGGAGCTCTGTGGCTCCATGCAGGGCCATGAATTTGTTGATGTCTGTGATGTACAGTCATGGAACAGAGAGAAGCTAACTGACCCATGATAAGTTAAACCTCAAATCTTACCACTTTTAATGCCACAGTAAAATTTTCTAAACTGGTCAACCACAACAAAAGTATATTTAAAAACTAATATGAAGTATATCAAGAATTTAAGAACTGCTGTTTCATGAACCTATGGAATGGCAGATCTGAAAGTCATCGTGGAGATCGTTTAGACCAGGAGCTTGCAAACGATAGCCAGTGGGCCATATCCAGCCCACTGCTTGTTTTTGTAAATCAAGTTGTACTGGAATACTGCCAGGCTTATTTGTTTATGTATTATCTGTGGCTGCTTGTGCACTATAGTGACCCAGTTGAGTAAATGCAACAAGGCTATATGGACCACAAGCCTACCACATATACCGAGGCTATATGAACCACAATGCCTAACACATTTACTATCTGGCCTTTTATTGAAAAAGTTTGCCAACTCCCGATTTTAACCAACTTTTCATTTTAGAATTATGGAAATTAGAAATCACAGAGGTTGTGTAACTTGTTTGGGATAATTCTACCACTTGAGAAAATAGCCAACAGAATTCCCAGAACCCCCAGTGGCAGGATCCAGAGCTGCAGTCTCAAGAGCTGCAGTCTCTATCTGAAAGAGAGCATTTTCACGTCTCTGGAAGCCCTACCCTACCTTGTCAGCCATGCTGCCACTCCCTCCCTCCCCACTTCACACACTTAATGCAATAAAGGCAAAATGAATACATGGATGAAAACTCTCCTGTATTCATAGAATATTTCTCACATTCCTTCATCATTCCAAGTATTATACGGAATTGTAATCATTTGCCTTTCCCACTAGAACATGAGTGCACTGGGGACAGGGACAATGCCATATTTGTCTTTGTATCCCAGATGCTTAGCACAGATTACAGAATAGGTATCTATTACCTGTTTGTTAAATGCTTTGGATTTGCTATCTTATCTTCTTCCATGCCCATTTTAAGATAAACTTCAACTACAGGGAAGATAAATGCAAGTTGTGGTTTGTAATTTTCATCATTCCTGACCAAGACCCACCACTGAGACCCAACAATAGGAGATATCCAGAACCAAACACCATGATAGGAAAGTTACAAATCTGTTTTTTTCATTGCACCTACTAAGGAATGGCCCAAAGCCTCCAAGGCAATCTTGACCTGCATCCCTGGCAAACAGATGAGAACCTGATGTAAGTCAGGGATAATAAGAGTGAAGAAGAGAGAGATATGAAAGATTATTAAAATCAAGAGGACATCATGGTTGATTGACTGTCCAGGGGGTGGTTGAAAGTCTGTGACTGCCCAGATTCTGCCAAGTTTCAGAATGCAGGAGGAAGAGCACATTGGGTAAGGGAGGTGTGGGTGGGAAGGGGGCATGGAGGTAGAGGCAGATAGGATACAAGCGGGGAGGTTCAGTAGTCAATGGTATATGAAGCTGCAGCTTTCATGATAAACATGGGTTCAGATGAAGTCATTCAGAGAGTAAATCAAGATTAAGAGAACACAAAATTAAGCCTAGAGATCACCAAAAGGATTGAACAAAGTAAAAAGGAACTCCCACTTAGAAGGATCACCTAGAGACACAGGAGGGAGGCAAAAGGGTAGTGTCCCAAAAGCCGTGGGCAGAGAAAAGGAAAAATGTCAAGTAAGATGGCAAAACAATATATGCCTTTCATTTAGCAACTTGGTGGTCTGTGACAACCTTCCTGAGAGCCGTTTTAGTGGAGGAGTTGTCTTGGAAGCCTGATTCAATGGGTAGAAGAGTAAGTGTGAACTTGGGAAGAGACATTGAGTATATTTTACTCTTAAGAAACTTAATCGATAGGAAGAAAGAGAAATGAGATGGTAACTGGAAGATAGGTTTGTATTCCACTGAGTGGGTAGCATCATTGATTTGTGAATTCTTTGAAGAGAATCTACCAGGTGTCAGAATCATAGAGGGAAGGTATATAAAAGCCAGGTGGGAAAGGAAACATCACCAAGAAGAGGAGGAATTTATCTCTATGAGGCTAGGTCTTTTCACTTATAAATGGAAATAATAATAGCTTCCTCAGAGAGAAGTTGGAGGTTTAAACGAAATAACATAATTTAAAACATTTTGAAAACAGCAAAGCACTATTCAAAACCAGATTATTCTATATATTATCAACTCCAGTTGATTACCTTGACTCAATATCTGATTAGTCTCAATCTTAGAGTCCAATTATGATTAACTTTGTCATTGCAGCTCAGAAGTCAGGGATCAATTTCCTTTTCCTGACAGTGGGATATATTCTGATGCCTTGGATGCCAGATAATTCTTATTTACTTCAGTTATCAAATTAAGTACCATGTTTAAAGCAAATCAGTGGTGCTGCCACAGTGCACATGCATAGTCAATGGATGTTATAGGAGATACAGATGTCTCTGTCAGTAGGCTAAGGGGTGCAAGTTACTAGCCTACATGATGATACCCAGGACAGGTAAAGATGAGATGATGTTGGTGGCTAGACAAGATTTCAGTCGAGTAAGACTTCCCATCTCCTTAGAATTATAGTAGCAAAGATATCATGTGGCAGAAATCACCAGAGCTAGACTCTGGTGAAACCCTTATGCTCAATTTTTTGTGATGTGGAAGTTCCTTCTAGGCTCTGGTATTACGAAGTAAAATTAAAAAGCCAAAATCAAAAGCTTACTCTTGTGAATCAGAGTGTTACAACTCCTGGTGAGAGAACTAGGAAGGAGATCTTGATTATGGGACCATTTTCTAAGGAGTTAAATACAGATTGTAGCAACATAGATCCTAGATTATGAAAAATGCTTTACTAAGTTTTGCTTTTTTTCCATTACACAAATTCAATTTGTTTGAACAAGATTATAAAAATAGTAATTATACCCTATCAGCTAATTATTTTTTTAGAATGAATGAGTTATAACAGAAGCAAGCAACACAGTTAGCAAGCATCATTACTGTTTATTTTCATTTTTTCATGTATACACTTACTTATTTATATCCTATGTTCTTCCACAAAGGAGCCAAAGTGACTGTTGCTATTTATTTCATATGTTGTTATTCATAATTCATTACCCAGAAGACACCAGTTCTCTTGGTAGTGAAATATATGTTAATTTAAGTATTTTTTTGCCTCAAACATCTCAAATAGTAAATTAAAATCTCTTATGAAATAACAGAAGAATATACAAGTTCTCCAAGTCCTTCAAAGAATAAAAATATTATTTACACTCCTGTATCTGTTAGGGTTAGAGATTGGGGACTTTAAATAAAATAACTAAAATAACAAATGACCACCAAATCCCACCGTCACGGACGATGGGAAACTAAAATCAGCTTTAACATTTTCAGACAATTTCCAACCTCTCATCCACTCCTCTTTTGTGTCCTCACCCTGCTCCACATTTTGCTTTACTCTGCCCTGCTCTAAGCAGATGGCCCTTGTGGTCATATGTCAAGATCCTAAAACTATTTCTGACCTGGAACAAAGTTCTGCCTGATTTGATCTTAGTTCAGGTCACATGTTTTTCTCCATCTATTCCTATGAATGTTTAAGAAAACTTATTCACTTCCTTATTAATAGAACAAAAACATTTGTTTTTGTTCTATTGCTTGCTCTTACATGGTTAGCCAACTACAATGAACCACTCACTCCTGGGGAAATCACTAGAAACAAAGATTTAATGGATAAAAACACCAGACTAGTGACAATTTTTTCTGATGGAAATTGTTTGGAAGTTTTTTTTTTCTTAAATATGAAAGTAGAGCTGTGTGACTTATAATTAAATGCTGATTATCCTCTGTATGGACATATTCACAGGTAGCTGTGTGTATACTTGTATATGCACAGGAAAGGTGTGAAAGAATACACCTTCAAAGAGTGGCCATATCTAAGAGTGGGGCTGGGAGATGAGAAAGGAGAGCTTTCACTTCCTGCTTCCTGTATATCCTGTTTGAAGTTTTACAATGATCAAATATTATTGTTTTAATTAATAATGTGAAGAATGAAAATATTTCTAACATTCACAAATTAAAGATGATAGCATGGTTGATTTGAAATTTTTTATACTTTGCACAGTGGTGTTTTCAATTCAGTGATTTATGACACATTTTGGGCTTTATCCTAATGCACGAATGATTGAAAATAAAAAGATGAAACTTACCCTAATTATCATACATATACAATTCCTGTTAGATATGAATATCTTGCCTCAAGATTTTTATTAAAGAGTTCTAATTTAGTCCTATCTCTGTGACTAGGATTATAACCTTTTAATATTGTTACCAAGATCTTATACAAATTACTCATTGAACAAGCAATTCATTGAACACCTTGTCAACCCCTGGGCTGAGCATTGAGGGCAGAGATGGGTAGACGTGAGCCCCTTCAGTTGTATGAGCTAGCTTTCATTGCATGCTTTCCATGCCCCAGGACTCTGTGTAGTGCTTTACATATATTAACTCCTTTCATCTTCACAACACTCCTGTAAGGTATAAATATTATTAAACCCATTTTACTCAGATTAAGACCCTGAGACAGATTTAGAATCCCAGAGGTCTAGCTCTGACTCAAAAGCCCATGGTTTTAAACCGTGACTTCGTAGTGCCTTCTGGATCATAAAGTAGATGTAATATAGTAGGAGTTTTACAAGTAAATATTTAAGTATATTTTAACATTTGTAATTATTTAACAATTGGAACAACTCGAATTTCCAACAATAGGAAGTTGATTAAATACAACGGAGTCTACCCATACAATGGAAGACTTAAGAAGCATTTGAAATGATGATGTAGAATGTAGACACTGATCTATTAACATTAAAAAACTATCTTTGGCCTGGTGCACTGGCTCACGCCTGTAATCCCAGCACTTTGGGAGGCCAAGGCGAGTGGATCACCTGAAGTCAGGAGTTCAAGACCAGCCAGGCCAACATGGAGAAACCCCGTCTCTACTAAAAATACAAATATTAGCTGGGCATCGTGGCACCTGTAATCCCAGCTACTCTGGAGGCTGAGGCAGGAGAATCACTTGAACCCAGGAGGCGGAGGTTTCAGTGAGCCGAGATCGTGCCACTGCACTCCAGCCTTAGTGACAACTCTCTTTATATTAAGTGGAAAAGATTATAACAGTTCTTATAATATGATTTAAACTTTGTAAAAAAAAATCATATAATTAAAAGCCAAAGCCAGACTCATAAAAAGCATCCACATGCTTGTAGGCCAAAGCAGGCTCCATAAACGATTCAGGTCAGAATACTGGGGGATGCATCACTGATCACTGCACTTTCTCCCATGGAGCCTGGACAAAGCTTCACTCGTCTCCTCAACATACAGCCCCAGGCATCCACTACCAGTCTATCTGAGGTGGCCCTCAAGAGAATCCTCTTTATCTTTTGAGCATTTGCTACCCTCAATTCCACTGCTAGAATCTATTCATCTAGTATTTCCTCTTGGTCTCATTCTTATCCCTTATTTCATTCTCCTGTGTGTCTCCACGTGACTCCTTTGTGTACACTTTTCTTGTGACTCAGTTTTACCCTGGATCCTGGTTTGCTACTTCTATTATTGCTCTCTTTCACATCATCACCTTTTTTTTTATCCCATCATTCCCATAGGCACACAAATATGCTCTTGTATCTACAATTGTTTTTTAAAAGATGTCCTCTAGAGCTACATCATCTCCAGCCCTTTATAGCACATCTCCTTGATAAAGCTATGTTGACTGTTTCTTCTTTCTCACCCACCTATTTTTCTCTTCATTCCCTCCCAGCAGGCTTTGCTTTCTACCTCTCCATTGTAACCAGGATCAACTAGTGTCCTTGACTTTGAACTTGCCAAATCCAGTGATCAGTTCTTTGGCCTGTGTTACTTAAACATTCAGCAACCCATGAGACTGTTGAGACCCCCTTCTTGAAATACCTTCTTTGCTGAGCATCTTCGTTTCTTCAGGCTGCTGTAACAGAACACCATAGACTGGGTAATTTATAAACAACATAAATTTACTGCTCACAGGTCTGGAGGCTGGGAAGTTCACGATCAAGGCACTAGCAGATTCAGCGTCTGGTGACAGCTCTGCTCTGCTTCAAAGATTTTGCCTTCCAGCTGTGCCCTCATATGGTGGAAGGGGCTGACAAGCTCCCTTGGGCCCTCTTTTATAAGGGTACTGGTCCCTTTGGAATCCTCATGAGCTAATCATCTCACAAAGGCCCTATCTCTTAATAACAACACATTAGGAATTAGGTTTCAACATACAAATTTTGGGAGGACACAAACATTCAGACCACAGCACTGAGTTTCTAGGATACCACGGTCTCCTGGCTTTCCTTCTGCCTCACTTGCTCCATCTTCTCAGCCTATTCTGTGGGATGCTCCTCTTGCTGACCACTTCTCTTCTGTTTCCATTTATTCCCAGGTATTGCCATCTAGCCCTGTGGCATTAAATATCATCTGTAATCAGTTCCCAATTTATAATTCCAGTTTCAATCTCTCTCCTAAATTCTGTTGTTAACGTAGGTGTCTAAAAAGCATCTCATGCTTACTGTGTCCAAAACAGAACACTCAATTTCCACCCTGTGGCTAAGACTGCTAGCTGTCCTCCAGTAATCATCCTCTCCTTCTATTGTAATACATGTGTTTTTACTGGGCACACAGCCACTCAGAATAAAGCCTACATTGACAACATCTCAGTCTCTTTTGTAGCTGAGTTCTGGCCAATGAGATGTAATCAGAAGTATTGTGTGGCAGCTGCTAGAAAACCTTTTTAACATACTGCAAACATATATAATCTTCCTCCTCTTTGCCTTCATCTATCCTGCTGTCTGGAACACAGATGTGATGGTTGGAACTTTAGCATCCATCTTGGGTTATGAGAATGGAGGACAACATCCTAGAAATCATGGAGTGGTGAGTTGGAAAGGTCTCTGAAGGTATGGAGTTGTCATACCTGTCCTGGACTGCCCACCTTCAGGCTTCCTTTATATGATAAAGGAATACAGATGCTTCTTGACTTATGATAGGGTTATGTACCAATAAACCCATTGTAAGTTGAAAATACTGTAAGTGAGAAATGCATTTAATACACCTAACCTACTGAACACCATAGCTTAGCCTAGCCTACCTTAAATGTGCTCAGGGCCAGGCGCAGTGGCCTTTGGGAGGCCAAGATGGGAGGATTTCTTGAGCCCAGGCATTCAAGACCAACCCTATAGCTGGGCTAAACTATTTGGCAATGCAGTACATTGTAGAGTATCCACTGTTTACCCTCGTGATCTGGGAGCTGTGGTTTGCTGCTGTTGCCCAACATTGTGAGAGAATATCAATGCATATTGCTAGCCTGGAAAAAGATCAAAATTCAACATTTGAAGTAAGATTTCTACTAAATGTTTATCATGTTAGCACCACCAGAAAGTCTAAAAAATGTGAGTTGAACCATTACAAAGAGTCCCCCCATCAGGGACTCTCTGTAAACTACCTTCTTCAAGCCACTATTACTGTGCTTCAAAGCTGAATCTAACCCTAACTAATAGTCATCTATGTCTATCAGAGAACAATCCTCCTTTCACATACCAGGCAACTGAAAATATAAAATTGGTAGAAAAGATGATCCGTTTTTACACTACTTTGCTCAACAGATAACTTTTCTAGAATATAATTGTACTGATTAAGGATTTATACTTCCATTTTCTCAGGTTTTAAATGAATTCTAATAAAAATCTTTATGCTGTTTTGATTATACTCCTCTCTAAATGGATTTGTCCTCATCTGACATTTTGTGCTGGTTTGAAAACTTTCAAAGACAGGCCTAAAACAAAATACAGCCTTCTCAATACATAAAATCATATCCAAATGTGAGTTTTCTCAGGCTATAATATCTAGAATTTTTTAACTTTGAAATGCAATGTTTATTCAATATATGGTAAAAAGCTCCGTAAGTATTTGTGAATGAATGACTTAGTAAAGAGTATACTATCACATAATTATTTAACTACATAAAATTACCCTGGTGATTTAAAAACATGTTCCCCAATTTTTTGATACTCTTTTCACTAAAGGTGAGTGCATTTGTGCTGCTATAACAAAATATCTTAGACTGGGTAATGTATACAGAAACTTATTTCCCACAGTTCTGGAGGCTTGGATGTCCAAGATCAAAGTGCTGGCAAGTTCAGTGTCTGATAATGGCCTGATCTCTTCTTCCAAGGTGGCACCTTGAACACCATTTCCTCCAGAGGGGGCTAACTCTATGTCCTCATAGCAGAAGAGGTGGAAGGAATGGAAGGAACAGACTTACCCATTCAAGCCCTTTTTATAAGTGGCTAATCCCATGCATAAGGGCCCCCCCTCATGACCTAATCACCTCCTAAATGCCTTACTTCTTAATACTGTCACACTGGCAATTAAATTTTACCATATGAAATTTGGGGGATACATTCAGACCACAGTAGGTGAGATCTAATTTCCTTCCCCTTGAACATGGGCCAGCCTTAGTGACTGACTTCAAACTCATAGAATGTGTTAGAGGTGACACTGAGTGTCTTCCAAGACTAGGTTAGAGCAGGCAGTACAGTTTCTGCCTGGCTCTACTGGACATACCTTTGGATCCCTGTGACAACACACACATAAAATGTCTGGCTACTTTGAAGCCGCCATGCTGAAGAAGTCATGTAGGGATAGAGGGAGACGACTGAGGAGCCAGAGCTGTTGCAGAACCCAGCTGACTGAGTTTTCCCAGCATCATCTGCCAGACTTGTAAGTGATTCCAGTTATTCCAGTCCTCAGCCTCAGAGCTGCTCTTGGCAAGTACTGCAAAGATGAGGTTTCCCTGTTGAGCCCTGACCAAATTGCAGACTTGTAAGCTGGCTAAACAGTGTTTGTTATTTCTAGGTGTGAGGGTAGTTTGAACAGCACCCACAGTATTGGGAACATTCCCTCATCAGCACGTTGACTCTCTATGCTGCTTGCTTGATTGTCTTGGAGAACATAATGACCCTTTCAGTCATTCCCTTTGGGTTAATTCCCTCTGTGGAAAAGGGGTATTCTTGCACTTGCCTGCCACTCCTGTAGCCACAATTTAGAGAGGGCTTTGTTCCCTTCACCTTTCCTCTATCCAGGGAAAATATCAGACCTGTTGCCTTCCAAAATGGAAACAAAATCACCTGTTTCAAAGCAAGCTGCCTTAAGATGTGGTCTGTAAAGATACTACAATTAAGTGATAAGCTTTCCCTTTTCTTTACCCTAGAAACAGAAACAGACTGTGTTTCAGCATAATGCAGGTGACCAAGGCATATCCTCCATATAGGAACAGAGCAACTAAAAAGAAAACTATAGCCTCATTAACTTGTCTGAGGTAGTGATTTGTTAAGTGAAAAGCAGTGGGTGGTGTAGTTTTTAAAAAGGTGGGCCATATTACCATTTCTTCAGTGCTTCCTGGGGAAAAGGATACTATCATTATGTATATTCTCTAGGCCAGGTTTCACCTAGGCTAGAGAAAGAACAATCTAATGTAATTCTGTCTCATTAGTGCATTAGTGCATTTCCCTCAAAAGGAAAATTATTTTATAAATGGCTGATATACTTGCCTACTATAAATGATGCATGGTATTCTAGTTTATAAATTGATCTCCTAGGAAATCAGGTGTTTGTTCCCCTAAACTTGATCATTCCAGAGAGCTTTTAGGATCAATTCCTTGACCAGAGAAGAGCTTTGGCAACTCCACCGATGTAACGGTGCCTTGTAGGATCCCACAGAAAGCTGCTAACTAGTTTTTTTCTTTCTGTGATGTACATTTAGCTGTAGCAGGAAATAGTGTGTAATTAGAAGAGGCTCCCAAAGGTTGAGGCCTTATCTGGATGATTGCCAAGTCCAAACTGCACTTTGTAGACCCAATCTCAGGGAGTCCAGTTTCTTCCACAGCAGGACCCACCTACTGGCTTTAGTTTCATGGTTGTAACTTCTGCGACCCCAAGCTTTTAATTCTATTCAAAGCCTCATCATCTAAAAGTCATTTGGAAAACTAAAGAATGACAGCTATCAACTATATATAAGTAGCTTTCAATTCAAAAGAGGGAGGTGTAATATAATGAAGTTAAATTACATTTTGATTCTGGTTGCTAGATATTCTTTGATCATTAATGGTGTCAGCAAAATTGAGCACACCTTAAAGTCAGACAACCTCTTCCATGAAATGTTTCTCTCCTCTCCCTTTCAGCCTCACATCCTTCCTTCTTCTACTTTGTCACCTCCCACTAGATAAGCAACTTGGATATATTGATGACGTCCTCTTATTTGCCAAAAATTCACCAAGCTGTTAATAACTTAGATTTATTTATGAAAACTACAGCAGATTTAAGTCAACCAACAGGCCCAAGCTCTTTAAATTTTTTGTTACTAGGGTGACAATTCTACACCCAATTTTAGTTTTCAAAATCTAGGCAGAAACACCTTTATTGGGATTTAGCAATGACTTTGTTTTATAACCTGCAGAGATTATTAGGAAGATACATATTTCTTCCTCACCTTCTATTTTGTTCTATATTTTTGTTAAAAGTTGGCATATGAGTACAAAAAGGAAAACGTTTTTTATGATCATCTCTGTCTACATAACAGACTGAAATTTGTGAGCATTTAACACATTTGTGCCGAAAAATATTGAAATTATAAAAGTACCATTTACAGGCAGCCACCTACCAACTAAAACATTACTATGGCATTCTTACCTTCCATCATGAGCCTCCCTATGAACTGAGTCACATAGGAGAATCTAAAAAAAAAATCCTGGGAGGTTCAAAAGGTAGCCATTTCCCTAACAATGAGACATGTCCATAAAGAAGGGCTTCATTATTTTTGATTCTCGTCAAATATTTCAAGGCATTCCGAGAGCCCCCATCTTCAGGGTTAACCACATGTAGTATGCTCAATACAGCCGGTGTCTAATACACAGCCAAACAGTCGTCTTTCCATTAAAATGTGATTTTTGCTTCTGCTTTTCCATCTAGCACATCTGTTCTTCTAGCGGTTCTTGTGTCGTTAGCCGCCTTTCCATCCCACCTTGGCGCTATTCTTTTAATTCAATTGTGCGCAAATTGCATCAGGCTGTCAGGGCTTCGCTTTATGAATTTCCCTTTGAGGACTTGCACATTCCTCTCGGCACAGAGGTCGGAGCCGGTGGGTGCCCGGCTGCCGCCGCCCCGCGATCAATGGCACCTGAAGCTTCCCCGGGCGAGGCCGTGGCTGCCTGGCTTGGTCCCGGAGTCCACGGCCACAGAGACTGGTGCCTTGAAGACGTGGTTTTTATAACCATAGAACGTTGCATGCCTTATTTTAATGGAAAAGGTATCTAACGAAGTCGGCCGTAAAGCAAAACTCCTTAAATAAATCTGTTCCCCCACCCCTACCATTTCCATTATAAAATCAAACAAACAGTATCAGCAAGCCGGGAAAATACAGAGCTTTTTATGTTTGCACCTCACTTTGTTCCCAGCAGGATTTAAAGTGATTTGTAAGCGTATGTAAAACAAGAGCATGTACATTTAAAAGTGAAAAGGGATTAAAAACTAGGGTGGGGACATAAAATAGAGCCAGGACAAGGCTTAAGTGATGCCTAAAATAACAACCTCTGCTATGAGTGGGCCACAATTTGGCACTAGATTATCTAGTAGTTCTCTATCGGCTAATGGCATCCCCCAACCCCAACTCAATTTGTTTATGAGCATTTTTGGTGGGAGATGGAGAGATCAGGGTGAGGGTGAAAACGCAGGCGTGTCTGGCCAACTCATTTTTCATTTGGCTTCATGTAGGAGTCGATTTTAACATAACTGGAAGAGAGAACATCCTGGACTGTGCATCCTTAAAGCAATCTTCCTCAAATATTGCTCTTCTGAGACAAAGGCGCTCGTAAATATTGGAAGGCATTGAATTCAAAATCTAGGCAGGCTTGCCTTGCCAAGAACAGAACCGTAAAGATGTATACAGCTGCTCTCTCTCCTCTCCTTCACAGGCAGACAGCTAGAAAGATGATCTATTCTTGCTGTCTTAGATTCTTAACTTCCCCCTCACTCTAAAACCATGCAAATCTAGCTTCCACCCCCACCACTTCACTGAAGCTGAGCTTGCTGAGGTCCCCAAAGCACTTTTCAGTTATTTTACTTGGGTCCTGACAGCATTTGGACACTGACTGCTCCCTTCTTAAAATACCTTTGCCTTGGGTTTTCCTAACAGCACACGTTGGTGGCTATCATCTCCCTCTTCTCTGGTCATGCCTTCTACATGTCCTCTGTTGCCTTCTTCTGCACCTGACCCTTCAATGTTGGTTGGGATGCTGTTCTAGTGCTGAGAACCCTGTACCAGAAAGGGTCCACAGAAGTGTGGCCACCATACAGACCGGCAAAAAAAATCTAATTCCTCTGAATCCCAGAGTGAAGAATTTCATGAAGCTCTTGTTAACTGAATAATGGCTGCAGTAGACGTGGTATATTGGCTTGGTCGACCTCTATTCCAAACTCCTTCTGGGGTCTTTCACGTACTGCAGACACTGGAGAGCTAGGAGCTACATTTCCTGACTGCCTCGCAGCAAGAGTTTCAAATGTGATTTAGTCATTATTAATCAGAGGTATTCCTGTGAAATTTGAATTTGGGACTGAGTTCAGTGGAGAAAGAGGCAGCAGTGCCTGAGGCATCCATTTAGCTGGTGTGAAGATCTAGCCCATGTGGCTCGGGGGCCAACAATTCTGGTGGTGCCTTCCTGATACCTGGACTGATAGTTAGGGTAGTATATTCATAAATACAGTATTTTTCCTGGCAGTCAGATTCCCCTAATAGGCCTATCAGGAAAAATTGTCCAAGGCTTGAAATTGGGTCATAGAGATCGGGAGTGTCTTTCAGGAAAATTCTGATATGGTCTGGTAGAAACTTTAGGAATTTTCTAATTCTATAGGGGTATGCACTGGTGACTTCCTATTAACTAAACTATTTTACAACTCTGTAAGGTAGAAATTTATTTGCAGCAAACTATAGAAATCCAGATAGTTTTGTTTTTTACTTTTTAATTTTATTTGAATGTAGCAGAAACAGGATCTCATTCTGTTGTCCAGGCTGGTCTCAAACTCCTGAGCTCAAGCAATCCTCCTGCCTCGGACTCCCAAAGTGCTGGAATTACCAGCATGACCAGCCACAAATAATTCTTATCCATAGCAAAACAAATCTTTTTTTTTTGGTAGATATAAAATTGATTTTAGCCCTGAAGAAAAGATAATTCCAAACATTATTTTTTATTGCCCTAAAGCTACATTGTCTAATATGAAAGCTACTAGCTATGTAGTTATTGAACTCTTATAATGTGGCAAGTTTGAATTGAGATGTCTTATAGGTATAAAATATACACCAGATTTCAAAGACTCGATATGAAAAAGTATGTAAAAAGATCTCATTGATTTTATTATATTGATAACATCTTGAAATAATTATATCTTGGATAGAGTGGGTTAAATAAGATATTATTAAAATTAATTTTAACTATTTTTACTTCTTAAAATGTGACTCTTAGAAAATTTAAATTACAGATGAGGCTTGCATTATGGTTCTGTCAGACAGTGCTGTCCTGTAGAATTTTAGCCAGTTTTGCATCTATTAACCAGTTGATTGAAACATTTCTGATTGTGTGTGTATATATGTATACACACACACACACACACACACACACACACACACACACACGTGTATGTATCTCTGAATTCTCCTTTGAACTGGACTTAACATCTTACAGATTCCCTCATTAATTAATGTATTAAATAAAATATTTGTGACATGTCATTTTATACTTGCATGAGAATCACAGTTCTAACATTTATACTTTAGCAGTCAATTCTGCAGAGTTGCTCCAACAGGCCCAATCTAGATTTGTTATTCCAGTTCTTCCAATTATTTTGTAAGTACCTAATTCCCTGTATTAAATTCCATCCTAAAATGGCTAAGGTGGTTTTAGTTACCTGCTACTGCACCCTGACTATACCCTGACATTAGCTTAAAATTGAACATTTACTATTTTCCAGATACTGTGTTAAACACTTTACAGATTATTTTATTTAATCGTCACCGCAACTCTGTGAGGGAGGCAGTATACTCCTCATTTTACAGATGAGGCACTGAGAGTTTAAGAAACTTCTCCAAGACAACCAGGAAGTAGTAGCTGGACTCACACCTAAGCATACTGACTCTAAAGTCTACTTCCATCCATTACCACTGTGCCAGCACCTATTCTGTTCCACCAAATAAAACAGAAAGAAGGGCATATCTGTCACTAGATATGTGTTGACCTAGAAGCTGCGGTGCGGCAAGGAAGTTACAGGTTATAGTCATCCCCTCACTTGTTCTGCCTTCTCTACTCCTAGGACCTTTGATTCAATTAGCTGGTTCTCAGAATCCTGGGCATAGCTCAAGCCTGAGTGGCTCTTCCAGACTCTCACCCAACTGAGGAGGTTGGATGATGCGCCATTTTCCGCTGCAAGCTGAGAAGCACCTCTGCCAAGACCAAGAGGTCTCACTGGTGGAGATGCACTAGAAGTATGTGACTCTGAGGGTCACAGAGCTTGCTAAACAGGCTGTCTACCATCTTTGGCAAAGGCAGGAAACAATTACACTGTAATAATAGTTATTAATGGCCAGATGTTGCACTAAGTGATTTACATACATTCTCTCTAATCCTTTCAATAGCTCAGTGGGGTGAGTAGCAGTATCATCCTTTTAAAAATGAGGAATCTTAGGTCTTAGGTTAATTATGGATGCTCTAGGATTTCCTGGATAATCACTGAACTCACTAATCAAGGGCTACATATCTGACAAATATTTCAGACATTAAAACATTTGATAATAAAGGAGTCTATGGTATTATTTGTCCACATGTAACTGAATAAAGAAACTTGTTAAAGAAAGGAGAATGGCAAAAATGTTATATATTATCCTTCCATTATTAATGCTAGTTTAAAAGCTTGAAATTGACAGGCAACTCAGTATTTTCCAACATGCATCACATTAGCTTTTAATTCATTATCTGTCTTTATTTTTTACTGTCTCCTTTCTTGCTATGGTCTTCATTTTATACTGGCGCTGAAGAGACATCTGAAAGGATTATGCCACCCCACTTTAGTCCCAGGGAATAGAACTACTATGAATTATTGATAGTGTTAGCTTTCTAGTGCTTTAATTTCACCTCTGTTTCAGACAAGGATATTAGTTAAATGGAATTTTTTATATCACCCCAGGAGCTTACTACACAGGAAATACTGACTGACTTGAATTATTGAAAAGACAGTCCTATGTTGATTTCCATTTCTACATAGGATGGATTCTTCATACATTCCACTCCCCTATATTTTTGCTTAGTGTTAGGTTAATAGGGCAGTTTTCAAATGGAGTCCCTCAGAACCCGCGGGATTCCTCAGAGATGCTTGCAGTACAACTGGAGAAGCAAGAGGGCTCGGTGGGATGGTATCTGCAGGTAGACATACACATGAGTGCACACATATGCCCCCAACCATTGCCTTGCTTCAGAGAAAAACTTCACTTGTCTACCGTAAGTATTAAGCCTTTGTGCAAGATTATGTTGGAAGAAAGGTTTCTTCTCTTCACAAATCTTGAGGCTGTGTATGGTGGCTCACTCCTGTAATTGCAGCTCTTGGGAGGCTGAGGTGTGAGAAGTGCTTAAGGCCAGGAGTTTGAGACCAGCCTGAGCAACATAGTGAGACCCCATCTCTACAAAAAATTAAAAAAAAAAATTAGCCAGGTGTGGTGGCACACATTTATAGTCCCAGCTACTCTGGAGGCTGAGGCGGGCGGATCCCCTGAGCCCAGGAGGTTGAGGCCACAGTGAGTCATGATCACACCACTGCATTTCAGCCTGGGTGACAGAGTAAGATCCTGTCTCTTAAAAAAAAAAAGAGTAAAATATCCTGAGTTAATACAATAAATACAATAGATGTTTGCACATCTTTGAGATACTAAGAAAACATGTCTAAGGGGTTTTATACTATATAGTTGAGTGTATACAGCTGTGCACTGGACTTGACAGAAGCTGATGGCATGTCATATGACTAGGCTTGCAGGATGGACTTGGCCCTCCTGTGGTATTGTAAGAATTACCCCGAATTCTGGGTAAAGCCAGTTACCATGTATATTTATGTAATGAATAAACTCACAAGCGCAAAAAAATGCAATAATATTGGGGAATGGCACCGATAAATGAACCAATTGCACAAGTAAACTTGGTTCACCTGCTTCTATTCGGGTCATTAGGCCCCTGAATCCATAGGCCTCCAATGTTCTTTAAGAGAAGGAATATAGTCATTGCTTGTGTTCTTCAGAAGGGACTACCATGAGTAAAATATTTTCTGAGTTTCTGTAATAAGAGCAAATATTTCTCTAACTTGCAAAGAGTATTTTAAAATGTGAGGGTTTTGTTTTTTGTGAGTTAATGAGTTAAAAAGTAGCATTCAGGGTTCCTTTCTGTATGTGGATGGTATAGGTGCCTAGAAATTGCCCTCCTCCCACGCATGGAAGCTGTAGACCTGAAGAAGGTAGGCAGATGACAAAGGCTCATTCATTCAGTATACATTTATTTCTTCGGGGTCGGGGGGTATTTCTTTAAGTTTTATTTTATTTGTAATTGACCTATGATTGTACATATTTATGAATATGTATTTATTGAGTACCCACTATTACCAGGCATCATGCTAGGTGTTGGGAATCTAATAGTAAGACCTATCCTGCCACCTTCTTTTTTGTGTGTGTGAGACAGAGTATCACTCTGTCGCCCAGGCTGGAGTGCAGTGGCGCGATCTCGGCTCACTGCAACCTCCGCCTCCCGGGTTCAAGCAATTCTCGTACCTCAGCCTCCCACATAGCTGGAATTACAGGCACCCACCGCCATGCCTGGCTAATTTTTGTATTTTTAGTAGAGACAGAGTTTCACCATGTTAGCCAGGATGGTCTCGCATTCCTGGCCTCAAGTGATCTGCCACTTCCACTTCCCAAAGTGCTCGAATTACAGCATGAGCCACAGCACCCAGCCTGATCCTGCCACCTTCTTAGAATTTGCATTCTGTTGTGGAGGAGGCATATAATAAACACATAGACAATCACATAAACATAGCAATTACAAAATGTGATCGTTGACATCATGCATGCAACAGAGTAGGGGTGGGGCCCTTTTCACATAGGGGCAGTCAAAGAGGAGGCCCTAGAACAGCAGAAAGCTAAGTGCATTTTAGAAGGCCACAGCTGGCCTCTCTGCTGGCTTCCAAAGCAATAAATGCGTGGTGCTTACTGTATTTGATGGCTAAATACATGCCATCTGTACTCAAGAATTAGAATGCTGTGGAAACTCTGAGGGGACCAATAGTTGGTGACTTCTTGTATAGGAACAAAAAATATGGCACAGTTAATTTATTACACAAATAGATTTTTCCTTAGTTATTTAACATTTATCAGCACTGTGTTTTATTTATTTCTTAACGCAAAGGTGGGCTGAGGGATAATTAAAAGTAATATACCCAAGATCATTGTCCTTTTCCATTCCATAAAAAAATTGTCTCCACCACTGTTTATGATCCTCATCAAACATATAAAAAATGCATCCATAATGAAATCTCCTCTTATATTGTTACTTTATAACTGTTAAAGGCAACATGATTTTTGTAAAGGATAAAATAGACTACAAAAATTAGTTTCATTTTCAAAACCTCTACATAAGCATGTAAAATATATTAGAGTGAAGAGGGACACATGGTTATCAAATAACCTGACTTCTATCAACAGAAGTTTCCAGTTTACATTATTATTCTTTCATTTTTACTAGATGAACCTTCTTTTTTGTTTTTATAAGCTTATCAGTGGATCACCCTTCTTAAATAGAAATACCTGGAAGATATATGCACACAAAACTGATTCAGATTTACCGCAGAAATACTAGATTTCAATGGGACATTCAAGCAAATATAATTCATCCATCTACCCATCCATCCATTCAATATTTATTGAGTAAGCTAAACTAATAGGTAAAATATGCTGGAACCAGAGCAGTGTATTGTGGTTGTGTTGGCTCCTTGGGTGGGTGAACACTTTTCCTGTTTTTTTTTTTCATTCTTTTGCACACTTACTGTAGAAATTTTCTGAAAGGCAAGTAGTCAAACTGACTGGATAGCCTAAGAAATTTGAAATTATCTGGCCGAGTGCAGTGGCTCACACCTGTAATCCTAACACTTTAGGAGGCCAAGGTGGGAGGATCACTTGAGCCCAGGAGTTTAAGACCAGCCTGGGCAACATACTGAGACTCCATCTCCACACACAAAAAAATTTTTAATTAGCCAGGCATGGTGGCTCATTCCTGTAGTCCCAGATACTTGAGAGGCTGAGATGGGAGGATAGCTGAAGCTCAGGAGTTCGAGATTACAGTGCACTATTATTGTGCCACTGCATTCCAACCTGGGTGACAAAGTGAGACCCCCATCTCAACAACAAAAAATGAACAAACAAAAAAATTATCCAGTCCAGCCAATGTGATAAAATGGACTAACAGAATGAATTTGGGGAAAATAATTCAGGAAAAATACATGGAGTGGTTTACTGGCAACCCCAAGAAAAAGAGAAACTATTATACTACTAAAGGAGTTCAGTAAGGCATCTGATTACAATACAAGAAATTACTAGTTTTCCTGTATCTTGTTTAAAAACATAATGATTAAAAAGCATCTTGTTCAAAATAGCAAGAAAAATATGAGTATAAATTTATCAAGAAATATACAGGACCTGAATTAAACAAACTATAAAATTTTAGTGAGAAACTTAAAGACTTGAGCAAAACTGGAGAAAATTTTCACTCTTGAGGACAAGCTGAAATGTTAGAATTGCCACTTTTCTCCAAATTATTTTTAGATTTAAAAGGGGATGTGAAAGGACTGGATGAAATTATGCTAAACTCTAATAGAATGTATGACACAAACACGGACATTTAAAACTAGAAGAATAATGAGGTGGCGGTATAGGGACTAATGGACATTAAAATATATTCTAAAACTATAATAATTAGAATAGTTTGGTACTGGTTTTATATTCTAAAACCATAATAATTAGAATAGTTTGGTACTGGTTTAGGGATTAAGTAAATATATCAATGGTGCCAAATAGAATGCCTATAAACAGACTCAGGCATATGCACAAATTTAGTGTAACAGTTACATTTGGAATCTGTAGAAAAGGATAAATTATTTAGTAAAAGATGCAGGAGGAAATGTCTATTCAAAATTAAGACATCTTTTTCATATAAGGCAATCACATAATTCCAGATTTATGAAAGATTTAAAGGATAAAGCCATACTTTTATATGAAGATGGCATATTTTGAACGCATGCATTTGCCTCTGCTCCCTCCTCAACCCTACTTAAGTATCAGTAAAAATGATTTTTAAAAACCCTTAAAAACACCCACAAGGACAAATAACGGGAGATAAAGCTACAGCAATAAAACCTTGGAAACTAGAAAGCAGATGAGCGGGTGGTAATGCAAATTTGATTGTAAGCATTGCAGGCTACCAAAGCAGAGAAATGGTCCAGTTAACACAGTGGAAATCCCTCAAGGCTCAGGCTACTGGAAGTGGGCATGAAGGTGGGGCTAAAAATAAAAGCACTGATTCCAAATCTGCTTACTAAGCAGTTGTGCCCCATGTCACACAGGAGAGCAGCTGCCCTGTCTGCTCAGGCAGAAGCCAGAGTTCATTTGTTTTGAGACAGTCTTACTCACTCTGTCGCCTAGGCTGGAGTGCAGTGGTGTGATCTCGGCTCATTGCAACCTCTGCCTCCCAGGTTGAAGCGATTCTCTTGCCTCAGCCTCCTGAGTAGCTGGACTTAACGGTGCACACCACCATGCCCAGCTACTTTTTTTATTTTTTGGCAGAGATGGGGTTTCACCGTGTTGGCCAGGCTGGTCTTGAACTCCTGACCTCAACTGATCCACCCACCTCAGCCTCCCAAAGTGCTGGGATTACAGGTGTGAGCCACTGCACCCAGCCAGAGTTTCACTTTTATAGACACAGTTGAAAAAATGATGTAGTGCTGAAGACAGGGATTCAGTGAAAGTTAATCCCTGGAATGTTGAGGCCTTAACCTTCTTCCCAGATTTTTAAAGCACACATAACCAGACTCATAGCTTCTAGGCAGGAAATAGGGTGTATCTTCCCTGGAGAATATGACCAGTCCAAGGAAAAAGATATCAAGATACCAACGTCAGAGGCTCCCAGATGCAATGGTCACCCTAGAAAACCTAAGACTGGCCGGGCACGGTGGCTCATGCCTGTAATCCCAGCACTTTGGGAGGCCGAGGCGGGCAGATCACGAGGTCAGGAGTTTGAGAGCGGCCTGACCAACACAGTGAAACCCTATCTCTACTAAAAATACAAAAATTAGCTGGGCATGGTGGCGCATGCCTGTAATCCCAGTTACTCAGGAGGCTGAGGTGGGAGAATTGCTTGAACTTGGGAGGCGGAGATTGCAGTGAGCCCAGATTGCGCCGTGGTACTCCAGCCTGGGCGACAGAGCGAGACTCTGTCTCAAAAAAAAAAAAAAAAAGAAAAGAAAAAAAAGAAAACCTAAGACCACAGCTCAGCAGTAGGGCAAAAGAGAAATCCATTGCAGATTGGTGGATGGGGAGGCTCACACTCCTTCACCCACTCCGGGAAACATCTGACTGAATTGTTAAATCTGCCCTCTGAAATGGATTGTTCCTGCTGAAAAAAACTCTGGCCCAGGCATTGATCCCAGGCCCCAGTGGTTTGGACCCTGCTTGCAGGACAGGCACCTGAAGAGCACACTGCATTGCAGGCAGGTGTGTTTGCAGGTCCCTGGCCATCTAGACTAACTTTAAGGGTCCTCAATGCTCTTTCACAATTCCTTTAACATTTGTCAACTCCTTTAGTGATTATTACACCTTTTCACTTTATTCAATCCCTCAACTCTTCCTCCACCCCACTTATTCTCATTAAATTACCTTACCTCCCTCACACTGAGAAAATGAAAGCTATCTCATGTGAATGCCTCTCCCTATCCAAATTGCTCTCCAATTTTTAAAATCCACTGTCTTCTCTTCCATACAGAGAAAATATGTCCTCTTTTCTATACCTAATGAGTCCACTCATCTCTTGATCCTGTTTCTTCTGACAGCTCTGGGCCTTGTTCCATCAATTACCACTCCTTTGCTCGAATCTTCAATTCATTCCCTTTGCCTACTTATGAGAGTATGTGTAGTGGACACTGATCTACCACTCAGATTCCCTTTCAAGATTGAAGGATTCAGTCCCCCAGAAGCCAGGAATGCTGCTGGAAGATGGCCCTTAGCCATCAGCCTTCTTCAGGAATTGCCTCAGCAGAAGAAAGTCACCTCACTAGAGTTCATGTATTCTTCCCTGGGCAGCTCTCCTCTAACAACTGGGTTAATGTGGGGAATATAAAGACCAGCCCTCTCACCTTGAGACAACTGTGAAGGGTCTTCCCAGTTTCAGAGCTCCTTAAGTCTTGGCTAAGGTCTTCATTGAGACTGCATCATTGCCCAGCTTCTCCCTTAGTCCAATCTTGTCTCCTTTCCTTTCCTCGCTTTCCACAAATTGTTAAATGTGACAGCACTCCCTAATTAACTTCCTGCATGCTAATCATCTCAGAGCCTGTATCCCAGGGTACCCTCCTTATGACAGTATGTTTGTAAGACAAGGACTTTTAATAATTTGTTAGGTAGTACCAAGTTGCCCTTTCAAAAAGCTGTACAATTTTGCACTCCCATTACCAATGTAGAAAAGTGCCTCTTTTCCTACACCCTAATTGCCACTACTGGATATTATCAAGCTTTTAAATCTTCCCATTCCATAAGTGACAGATGGTGGCTTATTCTTGCTTTATTTGTATTTTTAAAAATTATGAGTATGAGTGAGAATGTTTTTACACATTACTTACTGGCTATTTATATTCCTTTCCCTTTCATTTGCTTGTGTTATTTGCCCATTTTTCTATTGCACGGCCATACATATTGGTAATATACCATATGCCATACGTATATTAATTTTCAAGTACCATTTGTATAGTAAGAAAGTTGCAAATAAGTTGTTTCAGTTTGCTGTTTGTTTGGCTTTAAGACTTTCTTCTGGCCATTCAAATGTTTTGCATTTTTTAAATTTGCTAACATTACCAACATTTTTCCTGTGCTTCTTGGTTTTCTGTCAGGCTTAAATTGGCATTTCCCATTCTAAGATTTGGGGAAAAAAACCAAAACACTAATGTCTTCCTTAAAACTTAGCTCAAATGTCATTGCTCTCACAAAGATGTCTCTGAGTACCTTGACCAGAGTTAACCCCCCAATTCCCTTCTCCCTTTATATAATATAAATCACATTGCCTATCATATTCTGCCTTAACATTATGGCCATTTTTATTATTTTCCAAACTCTTCTATTGGAATGTAAGTTACTGAGGAAAGGAATTCCATTTTAAATCTCTATGTATGCCCTCCAGTATCTAGAATGACTTGCGTAAAGTCCTACTTAAATATTTACTGAATTGTAATAACTAGTACTGTTTGATTATGTGGCTCTGACACTAAGGGTGAGTGATTTTATATATATGTATACATACACACGTGTTTGTATATGTATACATATACACGTACATACATATATTTCACACTCTTTCTCATTAGACATAAATTTTGTGAAATTTTGTGACTATTTTTTTGCTTGGAGAACTCTTAGTTCTGCCATCTTTAGACCTCAGCCACACTTACCAAAGACTGACTGCAAAAACAGCACTTGAGAGTCAGGTCTCAGGGCCTGCCAAGTGACAGGTGACCAGAACACTCCTAGCTGAGGAGGCAGATCAGGCAGGGTGGTTCCTAGCAACAGGGGAAGCATATATGGAGCCATGACACAAAGTGGCCATCCTCCCCACAGGGTAAACAGAGCTCAGTCTCCCAACACCATGACCATCTGCCCCATCAGTGGCATAGATTCCTCCCAGGCCATACTTTTGGCTGGGGAAGAAGTCCCTGATGATGTTGAGGACAAGATACAGGCAGGTATCTCAACTAGGTCAATACATTGAGTTATCAGCTCAGGTGGATTAGTCGTTGCCCAGTTCCTATGCCCAGTAGCCCTAGTCTTGGATTCCATGGTTTCAATTTCTCCCTTTTCATTCTCTTGAGCCCATTCAAATATGGTTTTCATGCCACCACAACTGCTCCTGCTCCTGCCAAAGTCACAGGTGACATCGACGTTGCTAAACACAATGGCCAGTTCTCATTTCTCACCTCACTGGCCCTGCCAGCAGCATTGGCCTGGTGGATCCCTCTCTACTTCCTGAGGGCTTGATTGGGCTCCCTGGGCACCAGTTTTTCCTCATACCTCACTGGATGCTTCCTTCTCTGCCTTTCCTGGTTCTTCCTCTGCTTCCTGAGCACTTCACATTGGAGAACCCCCAAAGTACAGTCATTGGACCTATCTTTTCTATCTAGATTCATTTTCTTGATGATCCCAGCCAATCTTATAACTTTCGATACTTTCTATCTGCTGACAAATTCCAAATTTTATATCCTCTAACCAGACTCATAGGTCCAACTGCCTACTCACCATCTCGCTTTGGATGTCTAACAGACATCTCAAATGTAACATTCCAAAACTGAGCCTCTGATCTTCCCCTTCCCCCAAAATCTGCTCCTCTCACAGTCTCTCCATTTCAGTAAATGACAACCCTATCCAACTAGTTACTCACACCAAAAACTCTGGTGTCATCCTTCACTCCTCTCCTTTTCTCACACCCACATTCAATCTGTCAGCAAATCTACTTTTACTATACCTTCAAAATATACTCAGAATCTGAATCCTCCTGACAACCACTCTGCTAACCACCCTGTGCAAGTTACTATCTCTTAAGTGTCTCTCTTTTCTCATCAATAACTGGGGGCAATAATAGCCTATGACTTACAGGGTTCTTGTGTGGAATAAAAGATAAGACATGTAAAGAACTTAGCATAGTGCCGAACAAATTGTTAGTGCTTGGCCAGTCATGGTGGCTCACACCTGTCATCCAAGCACTTTGGGAGGCTGAGGAGGGAGGATTGCTTGAGGCCAGGAGACCAGCCTAGGCAACATGGTGAGATCTTGTCTCTACTAAAATTCAAAAAAATTAGCCAGGTGTGATGGTGCGTGCCTGTAGTCCCAGCTACCTGGGGTACTGAGGCTGGTGGATTACTTGAGCCCTGAAGGTCAAGGCTGCAGTGAGCCATGATCATGCCACTGCACTCCAGCCTGGGTGACAGAGTGAGACCCTGTCTGCACCCTCCCCCCTCCAAAAAAAAAGTTGTTAGTGCTTAATAAATTTTAGCTTTCATTATTATTTGTGGCGTCAGTTTTCTAGGAGGTTTCAAGAAGACGTGGCTAGTAAAGTTGAAGCTATCAGTTCCTTTTCATAAGAACTGAGTTTTTTCTTCAACACATGAAATTTTCATTTTAAAGGTTTTACCTAAATGAGCTAAAGAGAAAGAAGTCCAAACTAATCTCACCCAGTAAAACTGTCACAGATAAGATCCAAATAAAGGGTTAAAAAGCACAATAGCAATTTGAATCATTGGAATTCTTCTCTATAAAAGTAATTTTCAGCTAACCTAGAAAATATTTTAAATCTAAAGTTATATAAGATTGTCACATATCATACTGCATAGCTGTCTACAGCCCTAGCTTCACAACCTGAAATAATTTGGGGATATGAGGAAACTCATAGGATGTTTCTACAACAGCAACTGAGATAACAGCCATCATTTGTATAAAACAGCCTTGTTTTATAAACCTAAAGTCCCAGCTAATTAGTAATAGGTAGAAAGATTCTGGAAAATCCTCAGTGTTATCTGAGATGTCAGCAATATACAATAGGCCTGAACTATATAGGAAATATCTTGGGTAAGTGACCTAATGCATAAATTAGATGTGTGGATATCACTAATAAGATAAACCATTGCACTAAATAAGAAGAAAAATATTTCAGAGCATTCAACTTGTCCTTTAATGCAATCACTTTGTTAATATATGTGGTAAGAAACAGTATTTGAATAGATAAAAGTAGATGAGCATTTTTTCTTAATATTTTTCAAAAATTATGTTTCTTCTTTATTCTTTAAGTATGGATCTCTTTCATTATATATATGTCTGTGTGTGTGTGTGTGTGTGTGTGTGTGTGTAGAGATATATGTATCTCTCTATATACACATAAATACATGAAACATCTACCACGTGCTGAGTAATGAGGAAACAATAGTGAATTGTTTTTATTACTAAGCTCCTTATAAAAATATTTTGATCGTTTTGAGTATAAGAGCCAGGTAACAGTGGCCTTGGAGTGTTTTAAGTTGGCGGGTGGGGGAGATAACCCTAATATAAAATCATCAGGAATTGACTGTGCTTAATTTATTAGATTTTCTTCATCTGTATTTAATTATACATTATACTCTGTGGTATTCTTAGAGTGATATATACAATGTAAACAAATTTAAATATCACATATATGCAAAAATTACTTAGTAAAGGTAAACTCCCATTAATACCTACTGTGGGCTCATTTTAGCTGATCCATGTATACTTTGTATGCTAATTTTATTTATTTATCTGTTTTTTTATAGGAAGTCCTGGCTGAGCAAGGTTGGAAGCCCTAGTTCTCGCATTGACCGCACAAACTTTTCTAATGAAAAAACCATCTCTAAGCTTGAATACTCTAATTTTAGTATTAGATACTAATAGAAGAGAAAAATTGTAACACACTGAACAATAGATACTGTATGTTCTTAAGACTATGTATACTAGAATAATAGTAGCAGAGTAGGGTGAAAAGGAACTTTCTGTTCTGAAAGCTAAGCGACTGTACGTGCTACTAAAAATGTCTGACACTGAAATAATTTTACTCAACTATGTTTTCAACAAGCAAAAATATAGTATTCTAAGATTAAAATGTCATTACAAAATATTTAGTGTGAACATTTAATTTAAACTTGTCTCATGGAATCTTTAATTTCAATGAACATTACAGCATATATATGTTATTTGGCGAGACATCAAATAAAGTTAACCATTTAAAAATTATTTTCATATACTGTTGTCTATGTTGAATTATAAAATCCTCTGAATAATTTGTTACTACGGTTATTTGTTATTAAACTCTTCAAAAAGAACCAGTGATTAGAAATAAATGTGATGATCAATATAACCATAAAATATTATCAACAAAGAGTTTTAAAATTCTGGTTAATGTGAACATTATTTGGTTGGAGCTACTTTAATGCCTTCTATATTGTTGTGTGCAGTGAACATTCAGGCTGAATGATGGTGGCTAACAAGAACTCGCAATTTCAGTATAGCAAGCAGCAAGATTTTCAACCACCACCCACAATAGATGTCCTATTAACCAGAAAAGAAACCGAGAGTCTAAATGAATCCATACAATACTGTCCCCTAAACTTGGCCTATCTCTTGGGAAGCTTCACATGTAACTGATAAAGCAATGGAGAATTTAAAGGGGAAGGTTTTTTCTATAGCATAAAATGATAATGTTAAAAAAGGAAGACCTTTAATGAAAAACACTGGGGAATTTCAAGTGTTGTAGGCATATACTTGCACATATTCCATGATTTTCAAACTTTTTATATCAATGGAATCCTTCCTTAAACCAAAATTTTATATAGAATTGAATACGTAAGTTTTTAAAAAAAGCAAAAACAAAGCACAGCTGGTGAAAATAAAGTGGAGATGGGCGTCCCCAGAGCCTTGCATACTTGGTGTCCCTTTCTCTACTTGGACAGTTTCAAATACCTTGCTAGTACACTTTGAAAACTACTATTCTATCTAAGGAACAAATCTCTATTGCTATCCTCCATGGCCTGGAGAACGAATGCAGGCCTCTTTCTCTTCTACCTATGCAAGATAAGAAATGAGGAGAGATGAAGGGGGCGGGGGTGAGTTTGTTCATTGGAAAGGTTAACTCCTTGATGATAATATTGTTATCAAATGTATATAAAACAACACAACATTAGGGAATGACTTTCCAAATAAAGGACTAAAGAACTTTCCTATTATTCTAATACCATCATCATGTTAAGTATTACATGTTTCAAATGTCACGCAGGAGAAGCTATTGAGATGTTCTTTTGGATTTTGCTCTCCTTCTGTTTCCCCACTCCTGATTCAAGAAAGGTTGACAAGTCTTTGTGTTCCCTTATTTCAGGGGAAGCTTTGGGTGCCAGATCCCCCTGAAGACAACCTTTCTTCCAAAATTTCATTTTAAAGAGGGCATTATCCTGTGAGTTGAGGAGAAAGACAAATGCTGGGCTTTTAGGGGGTAAAAGAGAAGCAGAAGTTGTGAGAGCCAAAGAAGACAAGGAGATTATCCAAGACTTTGGAAAGGAACCAAAGGCTGTGGATTACCCAAGTCATGGAGACCTGCACCTTTCTCCCCAGTGGCACCTCTACCTATAGCTAAACCTGAAAGGGAAGCAGCTGTAGTTCCCAGAGAAGCTAGATCCCAGGCCCAGGGGCTTCCAGCATTAGCAGGATTCCTGTCCCCAAAAATGCTTCAAAGCATCCTACAAACACCAGGGTGGTTACAAGGGACCATGGTGGTTTGAACAGTGATCATAGCAATTGGTATGCGCTGGACACCGAGAGGTATTTCCTTAATGTTTTCTCTGCATATAACCCTTTGCATGCTGCTTCTGAGAGAGGGAACAAAGCACCAGGGATGACTAAGATATCCACCTCCAGACAGGATGAGGCTTGAAGCAGGCTCGCTTTGATTTGGAGAAAATAAAATAGACATTTTTTTCACCCACAAGTTTGAAAACAAAACCTCTATCTCTCCACACATAGAAAGGCTAAGTGATTGAAAAAAATGTATGATCTCAGAAGTGACACCAATATGTTACTTCTTATTATCCTGATATCCTTTGGTAGCTCCCTTCCCAGCTTTCTTCATAAGAAAATCACACTTCACTAGAACAATCTTCTAACTGCACAAAGTGAATCACACTAGTCAAGATTGCTTAATGATTAGTACATAACTAAATTCTATTACTTGATGAAAAATGTAGATAATGATTGAAAAATAGGTGTTCAGGAGTGGGTAGAAAGCAAGAGAAATCAGGATAAAGCAATATAAAAATATGTTATGGGGACCAGGTAACACATCTCAACGGTAAACTTGTCAAATTTCATGTTGAATTTACACAGTGAATTTTTAATTTACATACATTTTAGGTAACAAATTTTGATACATTTATTTGTATCAGAATTAGACATTTTAGAAACCAAGAAAAAATTAAGCAAAAACTGGATACCTACATTTCAGTGACTATCAACCTGCGATCTCAACACTCCATGTGCCCATGCTGTTCCCCTCAAGATGCAACATATCAGAATTAGGGGAGAAGTGTGATTTCTAAAATCATATTATTTTTCACACTTATACAAAAATATCTATCTTTTTGTTTTTGAGACAGGGTCTTGCTCTGTTGCCCAGGCTGGAGTGCAGTGGCATGATATTTGTTCACTGCAGCCTCGACTTCCTGGACTCAAGTGATCCTCTCACCTCTGCCTCCCAAGAAGCTAGGACTACAGGTGCATGCCACCACACTGGCTAATTTTTTTTGTAGAGACGAGGTCTCACTATGTTGCCCAGGCTGGTCTCAAACTCCTAGACTCGAGCGATCCCCCTGCCTCAGCCTTCCAAAGTGCTGGGATTACAGGCGCTCAGTGAGCCACTACCGTGCCCGGCCTTTTTTTTTTTTTTTTTTTTTTTTTTTTTTTTGAGACAGTCTCGCTCTGTTGCCAGGCTGGAGTGCAGTGGTGTGATCTCGGCTCACTGCAACCTCCAACTCCCGGGTTCAAGCGCTTCTCCTGCCTCAGTCTCCCAAGTAGCTGGGACTATGCGCACCACCATGCCCAGCTAATTTTTGTATTTTTAGTAGAGATGAGGTTTCACCATGTTGGCCAGGATGGTCTCGATCTCTTGACCTCGTGATCCACCCACCTCGGTCTCCCAAAGTGCTGGGATTACAGGCGTGAGCCACTGCGCCTGGCCAACATGCTGATTTTTTAAACTCAGGAAGTTCAGTAGAATCTCCTTGGCTGGAGAGAATGTGAAAAAAAAAAAAAAGGCTCTTTACTGGTGGGGCACATAGGAACAACGGTGGTGTAGGAGGAACGACAGGGGTGTAGGAGAGAAGTGAGATTTTTATCTGAGGAAGGGTGTGGGCCTCTCAGGTTGAGGAGAAGCAATGCAAGTTTCATCTGGTAGTGGGAATCTTTAAGTTCAGAGAGTACCCTCATGCCTGAAGAATGCGGCATAGCACCTCACGGTAGAAGGGCAGAAAACACTGAAGAAGGCACGAACAGGCAGTGGGTGGAGACAGGCAGCAGTATCGGTTAGTTTGACTTTGCTGCAAGCTGGTCACTATTTTTTATGACTAAGTATTTTTAACTTTGTCTACTGAAGGAATTTTTCAAAAGCATATATCAGTAAACTCATAATTAGGGACAACAGAAAAACAGAATTCACTTCAAAAAATTAGCTTGTATTTGAAAGTATACAGGCCACAAATGTATTTATACAGTAACTCTCCTTGGTTTCTGTTGATAAAAAAATGTTCTCTATTTGGTTAAAAGGAAACATTTTAATGTCTGGAACTAATTTCAGGAGCTGAAAACAGGCAGCATGGTATAGTAGACAATGCTCTGCTCTAGGAAGAAGACCTGCATTCTGGCCCAGGCCATCCACCGATTACCTGTGTGTCTCAGTTTCCTCAACTGCAAAGTCAAGAAGTTAGACTAAATCAGGATTTTGTACAGGATTCCACTGAGCCACAGGACTTCCACGGGGTGGTACTAGGAGGACTACAGAAAGGCAGTCAGAAAGAGAGGCAATTTGACCTTGGCCCAGGGCCCTGATCCCTGCTCTAATCAGAGCAGCTCCACCCCCATCTCTTCCATACATTAGGATTGTCCATAAGACATCTTTGGAGAAGAATTCTGCCTCAAAGAAATAAAAAAAAAAAAACACAAAGACACTGAATTTAGATCTAGGGTCTTCTTTTCTAAATGTCTATAAATGCTAAACTCAAATGCAGTTCCTATTCTCTTGATTACTTCTGTCAAGCCCATGTGGTATGTATACTTAACCTTAAGCTATTTCTGTTGAAAACATGCATAATTCATGAAAAGTACTATTGGAAAAAAATTCTTCTTCATAATGGCTTCCATAAAGGTGCACGGTGGCTAAGGTGGTTAAAATCTGTTTTGTTTTGTTTTTTGTCTGTCACCCAAGCTGGAGTACAGTGACATAGTAAGGGCTCACTGCAGCCTCAACCTCCTGGGCTCAAATAGCCCTCCTGCCTAAGCCTCCTGAGTAGCTGGGACTACAGGTGCCACCAGTAATCCAGCCTACTTCTTTTTAAGTTTTTTTGTAGAGACAGTGTCTTGCTATGTTGCCCAGGCTGGTCTCAAACTCCTGGCCTCAAGCAATTCTCCTGTCTTGGCTTCCCAAAGTGCTGGGATTATAGGTATGAGCTGCCATGCCCTGTCAGCTAAAATATTTCTGAAATTAATTTTCTGTTGTCTTTCATTCCTATTCTTATCTTACTGTGATTTAAAAAAGTGCAAGAGGAAATACACATATATAATTTGTGGGTTAATTAAAAAGTGTTTTTATAAGCATGTCTTGGAGATGTTAACCTAACATTTAGAATCATACATAAGAACTACTTTTCTTTTTCTTAACTGGTTCAAATGGTTTTGAATAAAACTGACATCTGAAAAAATTTTAAATTTTAGAATTAAAAATTCTAGTCACTGTGTGATCTCTTTAGCTGGTTTTTCTATAGAAATAGGGTGTTTTTTATTTGCCTTTTAGAGAGCCTGACTTATGCTTTATTCTCTGCTGGAAATATCAGTATACATTTTTGGTTGGATGTTCAAGGTCCTTCTTTCATCCTCAAACTACATTTTTCTTTGATTAGTGTTATTTTCCATGTTGGCAAAATGGACTTTGCAAGTAGCAGTGAATACAAGCCTGTAGTATAGCTTTTTCTCTCTCATTCCCATTTTCTACAAAAATTAGAAGACACCTAGAGAAAATGAGAAGGTGCAGGAGATTTATTGTATTGAAAATTTAGTGTTATTTCAAAACAATTATAAAGAGCAAGAATCATAGTCATTTCATCATTTGTTAACATCAAGGCAGAATTTCTACCAAATTCAGTGCAGATTAATCTGCATTAAAAATATGCCTGCAACGGTTAACCAGGACACTGACAAAGTGAGCAGACACTGCGTAATATTACATCAACCAGAAAAAAAAAATGGAGCAGAAATCATTCTACTCCTCAGGGATGATTTTCTGAGGCAGCAAAAGAAGAATCAACCATTCTCTCTTTTCCCACATCCCAACTACCCCTCCTTCTCCACTGAGTGGGCTAACATGACTCATAAGTCACAGCACATAGGAATGAGAAGGTCACAGGTACTGGCATAGCGGGTAGTCCCTTTTTTCAAAGCATGGAACTGGAGGCAAAGAAAAGAGCCTCAGTGGCAGAGCATGCTAGAAATTGCATTGAGAGATGCTAACAGCAATAACAGAACTATAAACAAAAGCAAGGGGGTGATTATCACAAAACAAGGATAATGGTTATTCTGGGTTAGGGGAAAGGGGTTGTGTTCCAGGACAGGTACATGAAGGCTTCCTCAACTAGCTGGTGGTCTTACTTTTCTCCACTTGAATGGTAGCTCCATAGGGGTTCACTTTATAATTATTTAAACTCTACAAAATATTTTATACATTTTTTGTATGTGTATTTCATAGTTTTTTTTAAACAAATGTTAAGGCTCCTAGAAATCTCATAGCAAAAAAAAAAAAAAAAAAAAAAAAAAACAAACCCTAAACACTGGATTACAGTAGATAGACCATTCTAAGGTGTTAGACCTGAGGAATACTCTCTATTGGCAAATGTCAGTGTATCACCAGTCTCCTCATTAAAAAATGAAGAAACAGGAAACAAAAGCCAGCCTTGCAATTCACAAAAAGCGCTATACAGCCCAAGGTAAAGGGTGCATTATGTTTTAAAATCAGAGGAAGTACATACCTCTAAAAATTACTACACAAAAAATATTTCAGGAAACACCTGCTGATGTCCATTGTATATCCTGAAATGCATACAATAAAAGTTGATCTCTGTGAAACAAGAGAAGGCAGCCTTTAGAAAGAAAACGTGCAGGTTAAAATAAAATATAAAGATGAAGGAATATTAGCTGAGATGTAAAGATCATAGTCTGAAGAACAGGCAACACACACACACACTTAAAGACAAACTGTGGAAAATACTAAAGAGAACAGAATTACAACCCATTCTGGAATTAGCAACTGATAAATTGAATTAGTGTATATAGAGCTGTGGCTGCCAAACCCAGCTGGTTTCAGAATTATCTGGGGAGCATTTTAAATATACTTCTTACCAAACCCCACCCTAGACCTAATGAATAAGGATCCTCCATGATTTTTGTCTCTAAATCTAAATGTTATTTTTTTTTAAAAAAAAAAGCCCCAAATGACTTTGACAATCAGGCAGGCTTAGAAAACAATGGTGTCGAGAATAAATTTTAAAAGCTCATCAGGAGAGTAGATGAAGGAACAAGAAATAAAAGTGTGAGAGGAGATAATTTGGAAGACAGAGTACATATCTAAAGCACCAATAAATCAATGATAGAAGTTCCTGGGGAAAAAGTCAGGATAACTGAAACAGAAGGAAAAACCAGCTATGACAGAAGAGAAATTTTCTTGAGTTAAAGTATATGGCCGCAAGGCTGGGCACGGTGGCTTATGCCTGAATCCCAACACTTTGGGAGGCTGAGACGCATGGCTCACCTGAGGTCAGGAGTTCAAGACCAGCCTGGCCAATGTGGTGAAACCCCGTCTCTACTAAAAATATAAAAATTAGCTGGGCATGGAGGTGGGAGCCTTTAGTCCCAGCTACCCAGGAGGCCAGGTCAGGAGAATGGCTTGAACCTGGGAGGTGGAGATTGCAGTGAGCTGAGATCGTGCCACTGCACTCCAGGCTGGGCGACAGAACAAGACTTCATCTCAAGAAACAAAACAAAAGAAAAATAAAGTATATGGCCATAAAGTAAACAGTACAGTATTAAATTATACAGTATAAACAAAAATGCTCTAGGCATTCCACCTCAAGAGGAACCTAACTTCTGCCCAGTAACTTTCTCTAATCCATTCACTCCCTGCCCTTTTAGACTGCCATTTCATGCTTGCTCCTCACTCCTCAAATCTCCATACCCTCTCCTTGACTCGACGTGACCTTACTTTCTACTTCCATCCGAAAGAACTTCCATGAGCACCGAGCATTGCATCTACCCACCTACCTCCATCTGTACCTCAGTTCTTCCTCTACCATCTTATTACCATAGATGAATTATTTATGATCCTAATTAAGGCAATGCCTGGATCCCATAACCTCAAGGACTCTGCTCCAGCAGTCTCCCCATCACTCCTCCATCATCAGTTTTTGTTTCCTACTGAATGCCTCTCTCCCCTCAAACATGCTATTATTTCTCCGTGTCTTGGCCCATCTGGCTACGGCGACATATTTCTTCTTTTACAGATGAAATCCTCAAAAAAGCTGTCTACACTTGCTGTGGTCTAACTCCTCCATTCTCCTTGAACCTGTTTCCCATCATGCTTTTGCTCTCCCACACCCACCAGTCTACCAGCTTCCTCTTCCCTAACAATTTCATTTCACGGCTGCTAACTCCGCTGACCAGTTGTCTGTCCTCCTCTTACTTAAACCTATCAGCACTTTTTTCACTTGGCTTCTTGGACATCACACTTTCTTGGGGTTCCGCTTTCCTCAGTATTCGCATCTTTTTAGTCTTTTCTGGTGATTTCTCCTCATCTCTAACTTCGTAATGTTGGAGAGCCACAGAGCTCAAGGCTCCAGACGTGCTCTCTCCTTCACCTATATTCATGCCTTTGGCAATATTATCCACCTCATAACTTTAAATACCACGTGCATGTTGACAACCCTAAACTTTACTTCTACCACTTAAGCTTATTCTCTCGACTCCAGATTCATTTAACCAACACCGTACTCAACATTTCCAATTGAACATCTAACAGGCATCTCAAATTTCAATGTTCTAAACTATGGCGCACTTCCCTCCTAAGCTGATGGCCCCTCCCACAGACCTCGCTGAGTAACGGCCCGTGACAGCCCACCTCAGCTGATGGCCCCTCCCACAATCTTCCCACCTCAGCTAATGGTCCCTCCTGCTGCCCCCCACCTCAGCTGACGGCCCCTCCCACAATCTTCCCACCTCAGCTGACGGACCCTCCCACAATCTTCCCACCTCAGCTGACGGACCCGCCCACAATCTTCCACCCTCAGCTGATGGCCCCTCCCACAGACTTCTCCACTTCAGTTTATTGTGAACACCCCAACTTTTGAGATGTTCAAGGCAAAAATTTTGAAGGTATCTTTACCTTTCTCTTGCATTCATGCCCCTGTTGTCTCTATCTTCAAATGTCCAGGATTTGCTTAAAAGTAATCCAGTGGGGTAGGGGGAAGAGTTGGGAGGAGAACGGGAGGGAAGATAGATGGAGGTATAGATGAAACAAGATTGAACATGAGTTGACAACTCATGTTCTAAAGTGGGTACATGGGGATTCATTAGACTATTCCCTATTCTTTTATGTTAATATTTTTATAATACAAAGTTATGTTGACTCTAACCATTTCTGATTACCTCTAAGGTGGCAGCACTGACCCCATCACCATCATTACTGTCACAGCCTTCTAACTAAACCCCTTGCCTCTGCCTCTGCCCTTCTTCCGTCTATTCAACACAGCACACATGTGATGCTGTTAAAACAGAAACCAGATCATGCCACACCCCAGCTCAAAACCTTCTCAGTGCAATCTATTTTACTCTCAGTAAAAGCCAAAATCATTACAATGGCCTACCAGGCCATGCACAATCTGGCCTCCCCTTATGTCTTTGGCCCCATCTCCTTCTACTCTCTCTCTTGCTGACTCTGCTCCAGCCACATGGAAATCCTTGTCCTTCCTTGACCATCTCAAGCAAGCTCTGCTCTTAGGCCTTTCCACTTATTTTTTTCTCTCACTTACATGCTCTTCTCCCGGATATCCACAGATATCACTCCTCCACTTCCTTCTGGTCTTTGGGTGAATGTCACTTTATCAGCAAGTCCTGCCCTGATCACCCTATTTAAATTGTCAAACATATACTCCCCAAACTCCCTATCTACTTTTCTCCTTTAGTTTCTCCATGGTACATATCACCATCTGATGAATATGTTTTACTTCTTTGTCTTTCATTCCAACGTAAGCTACACTGCGGCAGAAATTTTTATAAGAGTGCACCTTGCTACATCTGTAACACTGGTAACAGTGCATGAGCATAGGGAATGATCATTAGTATTTGTTGAATTAAATAAAAGAAATATTCCTCCAAGAGCTTAAGCTAAGATGACAGAAGTCAGACCCCATATTCATGATAAATTAGCAATGGTTAAAGTTATCCTATAATAATTCCTCACATAATCCAAGCATATGCTGATTACAATAAACAGATTTGAAAGTGACAAAAATGACTATCATCCATAATATAGTGACAAACCCTGGACTTAATCTTCTATGGTAAATAACTAGAATGTTCAACAAAATACATGGAACAATTGTTTTTGGACACAGGACAACAGCTAGCGCAAGACTGCGGTCCTTGAGAAAAGGGAAACAAAATAAAGAGCCCTACAATTGCCCTAGTTTTCTGGATACAGGCAATTTCCAAACGGCAGGAGCAGGAAAGGAGAATTAAAACAGTGCCTCCAAACTGCAGGAGCAAGAAAGGAGAATCCAAACAGTGCCTGGAGATGTTGCTGAAGAGACAGAAAATGGTGTTTAAAGAGACAATGGCAGCTGAAAATTGCCGGTTAGAATGCCAGAAGGAAAGAAGCTACACAGAAAAAAAAAGCTTCAGAAATATACACAGGGGTTCTTTTGAGTCTTTCCTGCATATTAGCCATGCGTATGTAGACTGAAATTCCACAAAGTTGTGCAAAGAATGCCTGGAGAACTGTAAAAAGAAGAAAATCTCACAGCTAACATGGAGCTAAGAGAAGTTCAAGCCAGAAGTAGATAGTGCTCAGTGACCATTCTAGATCCACCCTAGGAAAGATGAAAAATAGCACTTTAAGGTATCATACTGATTAATTGGTAACTGCTGGCCAAAACAAAGCACAACATTCTTTACAGAAAGATTTTTTTAAAATCTGGATTCTAAAGAATATTAAAAGTATCTAGCGTTAAATTTCTGAATGAAAAAACTGAAAACTAGCAATGTAGAATTCTATATCCATTGAGATATGAAAATGAAGACAAAATTTAAACTTTATCAGATAAACCAAATTTGGAAAAAATTGTCAGCAGAGCTGCACAAGAAATGTTATATGAAGTTCTTTCAATTGAGGGGAAATGACACCAGATGGAAACTCAGATTTACGTAAAGAAATAAAGAGTACTAGAAAGGGTACATATGGGAATAAATTAAGAAGACATTTTCTTCTCATTAAAGAAAATTTAAGACAGTAGACTCCTCACAACAAAAATAACAGCCATTTATTGATGGGCTTATAATACATACAAAAGCAGTATGCATGACAATAATACTGCAAATGATACGAGGGAGAAATCTAAGTATTCTGTGTAAGGGTCTTGCACTATACATAAAGTAGTATAATTTGAAGGTAGACTATAAGTTAAATTTCCACATTGTAAGCCTTAGAGCAATGACTTTTAAAAAAGCTATGTTCTATATCTGGATTTAGGTGAAGTTTACACAGGTAGGTGTGTGAGTTTGTGTGGATACACATATATATTTGTCAAAATTCATTAACTTATAATCTTAAAATAGGTACATTTTATTGTATGTGAATTCTACCTCAATAATGTTTGATTTTTTTTTTTTTGAAGTGGTCAGGCAGATTTGAAAAAGAACCAAATAAAATGTTTTAAATGTTTCAAAAAACATAAATGCTAAAGTTATAAACTTAGACATCATGTTAAACAGTAGATTAGATACAGCCAAAGAGAATATTAGTGAGCTGAAAACAAATTTATGAAAATTGCCAAAATACTATATAAACACTGAAAAATTGAAAGAAAGTAGAGACACAGAAGATAGAAGGAAAAGTCTTAAAAATGTCTTATCAAATTCTAAGAATTAAAGGGAAGAAAGAGGATAAGTAATCATGGTGATGACAGAAAATTCTGCAAAACTGACCCAAAAAACTAGAGTCTACACAGAGAGCACAACATATTCCAAGACAACACTTTTAAAATTCATGAACATGTTATAATAAAATTGTAGAGTTTAAATAACAAAGGTGAAATATTTAAAAGCAGCCAGAGAGAAAAGATAGATCACCAAACAGCAATTGGTTTTATAGCTGACTGTTCAACAGCAACAATGGAAGCCAGAAAAAAGTGGAATAATATCTTCAAGATCTTAATATAGAGTAACTATCAACCAGAACTGTCTTTTTAAAATGAGAGAGAAAAAAAGAATGAAGACATTTTTGGCAAACCAAAATCTGGTATTATAAGCCTGTGTATTTTGAGAAAAAGCAGAAAACAAAAGTGTGTATATGTGAGTCTTCATGGAAACTATATATAGTTTTACTCTCTGCAGCTTTTTGCATATAGTTTTGTGTGTACATGTAGTGTTACATATATGCATAAAAATGTATATTACATAGGATATAGAATACATAGAAAGAATTCCATATATGTACATAGAATTATGTTTCATATGGATATAGTCTAGGTATAAGTATACCTCTAAATAGCTCTACCAATAGAGCTTTCTGTAATAATAAAAAATGTTTTATATTTGGGCTAATACCATTGCCACTAGCCACAGGTGGCTATTAAGCCCTTGAAATGTGACCGAAATTTTTTGTTGTATTTAATTTTAATTAATTTAAACATAAACAGTTGCATGTGGCTAGTGACTACAATATAAGAAAGCACAGCTATAGACTGATGGTGGGAAATGGAAGCAAATCCATTGAAATTGGATGGTGATTGTCTCCAACTGGTAGAATTTTGCTTTATATCTATCTGTATTTATGCATTCCTTTTATAATATGAAAAAGCTTATTTAAAATTATGCATTATATTTCTAATTCCTAATTTGAAATAAGTCGTGATTTTACCAGAAAATTTTAGAATTAAACTTTAATAGTGTAGAAACTGAATTAGCACTTAATCCTTATAGTGTTTATCTCTGGATATTTTTATGCCAACAAAGAGTCTTGCAACGGAAACTTCATTTTTTTTAAGTTCTTTTTTCTTTTTTTGGTAGAGAAGAGGCATGTTGTCCAGGCTAATCTCAAACTCCTGGCTTCAAGCCATCCTCCTGCCTCAGCCTACCAAGGCATGAGACACCACACCCAGCCAGAAACCTCATTTTCATTTAAGTAAATCAGCTTTGAGTTTTCACATTAGAATAAAATCAGTAGTTTCTTTACAACAATATTTCTTTTGCACTGTGATGGATCTAGATAGGATTATTTGTAAAAAATGCAAGAAAAGATATTCTATCTCAGAGACATCATGGATTTATACTCTGAAAATATAAAAATAAGTTAAAATGTTGAAACTTTCACTCATTCATCTAATTGTATATCATAATTTTAAAAAAGACATCTTTGGGTTTGTGGTTGCATACAATTTAACAAATATTTTAATAAAGTAGAAAATAAAATTAATGGTTGAGATGAAGAAAGGATTTAATATTAGATTATTAAGAAATTGGGAGGACACACTATAAATTCTTCCAGTTTGCCTCTGACCTCCTTACCATCCCTCTCCCATACCAATTTGCTTGAATTTAGCAAGAGTAAGAATTATCTTAATGGGTCCCATTAGTGCCTACAATATGCAGTCTGCATAATACATTTGAGACATCAGCATTCTGGTATTTAGGCTGTAGCTTAACTCGGATTTTAAAAAGAATGCCAATGTTCCATTCATTGTTTCACCCATTGTTTGAAAACAGAGTGGGGAAAAAAAATGAGCTATTTTCAAATGTCAGCAAACCCTGGTAACTGTAAATGTTCAGAGCTGTCAATCCATGGCACATCACAGAGGTTTAATTCAGCAGTACGTGTATAAGCAAGTATCACTGCCAGCCATGAGTTCAGACTACTAATACAAGTTTAATTTCTACTCTGCACATCCTTTAGTACTACAAGTATCACTACATTTAAAAAATTCACCATATGCAAGGACAAAACTTGGGTATGTTAAAGCTCTCTTCATTTGATTACATTTCAAAGTATCACTCTGAGATATTACAAAACAGATCATTTTCATGATAATCATGTTTTTCCAAACCATAACATGCATTGTTTTTTAAGTGGAAGACTTAAATGCTAGCTGTCCTTAAGTAGCCCACAATTTGACTGAGACACAAGATAGTCACAAACACACATCTAGAGTAAAATTCTAAGGTAATAAACAAATGATGCCATGGTACTATAATCTGTGTGGTGTTAACCCTAAAATTAAGGGTCAATATTGTGTGTTGCCTTGACATCTGGCTTGATTGGGAGGGCCTCAAATGGTTTTCCTGAAGTTCCCTTGCCCCCAACTCTGTTCCCATGAAAAAGGTTCCCTACCCAAACAACCCTCCCTGCTTATCACTAAATTCAGTTCCTTACCAGCCGACAGAATTATTTAAATAAGCCAATCACGTCCTTCGGCGAAAAGTGCGGGTCATCCCATTTTCTTGATACCACACAGCCTGCTTCCCACAGCCTCTGGTTCCTCATTCTCTTTTCTAGTGCAATCCCCACGTGGCCCTGCATGGCATGGCGTCCTCTTGTCCTTGGCTGTTAGTATGCGTGACTAATAAACTGCTGCCAATCACATCTGTTCAGTGTCAGATGTCATGAGTTTAACCATTCCCCTAATGCTAGGGCAGGAATCTCTCCATCATCAGCAGGGTGAATAGGGGGTGATTAAAACAGGATGTACCTCATAATACTGTAAGAAGTGTAGTTTTAGAAAAAGACCCTTATGATGGCTGTCTGAAAAGGTTTTGTGAAAGAGGTTGGTCTGGATGGAGATTAGTATTAGGATCTTACTTCTGGGATTCTCTGCTGAAGGAGCATATAGACAAGAAATGATGACAAAATAGTCAACAAAACACTGATTTCATTAGCTAGACAAAGACCCATTGCAATAATAAAAACTTTAGTAAAAACTAGATTACAGAAATTGATTTAGGATAGGAGGCCAAAGTGAACTCTCTTATTTCTTATACTCTCTGCCTTGAAGTCTATACCCTCCCTCCAAACAGTTGCATGATTATGGATGACTGGTCCATCAGCTCCAAGGTGCAGGTAGGACAGAGAGAGTTGAGATGAGGAAGCCAGCTAAGGCAGGCCCTGCCTGCTTCATGCAAACCCTGGACACAGGAAGTGAGAAAGGGCAAGGTTGTATACCATCCCTGAGCACAGACTTTAATACAACGAACGTGGTCCCAATCAAAATCTTCTTCTAACAATCTGATTAGCAAGTTCGTTCTCCAGCGGAATGAAAGTGGGTAAAGAGAAGGATGCCAGAAATGAAGTGACAGTTTCCTTCTAATCCATGAACTAAGGCAAAAATAACTCCATTCCCCACAAATAGGACAGAATATATTCCAGCAAAGTTAATTAGATCAACAAACAGAGTAAAATAGAAATGAGGAATGTCTGTGGAAAACCAAAGTACAGTTTGGAGCAAGGAATCCAAATTGTGGAGGTGTGAAACCAATGGAACCAGTGTTAAGATATTCATATTTTTTTGAGTGTGTGAAATCCAAAGCCAGAAAAGAGCTAAACAACCACCCAAGAAAAGAACATGAAGTCTCATCAAAAAGATGAAATCTTTTTTGCCTATCACCAACATCTCAGGATACCCTAGGTAAGTCCAGTCTCTGACACTCGTAACTTCCAGTGAACAATTCCAGAAGCAGGGGGATACCAGTGGGCTGGAGAGGAAGAGAGGGGTCTGTATAAAACTTAACGAGATGCTTTTGCCATTCATTCAGGAAATATCTACTGAGAATCCGCCAGGTACCAGGTACTATGCGTGGGGCTAGGCAAAACAGAGAGGAGTAAAGACAATCTCAACTTCTAAAATACTTATAATCTGATGAAAATACTGATGGATAAGAAGTCAATGAGCACTTGCTATGTGCCAGACAGTATACTATGGACCACCTTATTTTTACTCTCACGAAAACTCTGTGAGGAAGGCAGGTGCTATAATTATTATTTTATAGATAAGGAAATATCAGAAAGATACAACTTGCTCAAGGTCATGCAGCAAAGAAGCGGCTCCAACTCCAGAGCCCAGCTTGTAACTATTATGCTATATAGTCCTTCAAATAGTGAATGAGAAGCAAAGAGAATATTCACAATAGGAAGGAAAATTCAGGTCTATCTATATTCAGTTCAGAAAAAAAGACAAAGAATCTAAGTGTAAAAATGTTCATAGAGAAGGTAAAAATAAAAAGTTTAAAGAGTAGTAGCCAGAAGAAGTAACATAAGCCTCACGTTACTATATAAGAATATAAAGTGATAGAAGATAATAAGCTTGGAATATAACCCCACGAAATACGCCCAAGATAAATTTAAATAACTTAAGTTTCTACTACTTAAGTAACTTCAAGCATTCATTAGGAAAATAACATACTTAGAATCATTATATTTTACACTAGTGAGTTTTTCTGCTCTCATCCAAATTAATCAAACCACAATCAAGTTAAAGTACAAGTCTCAAATTAGTTATGTGGTCCTATCTTCTACATTATTTGGGCTCATGTTTAGAGAGACAGATACGAGTTTGGAATAGCTGATCTCATGAGTGGGCTTCTCAGCCTAATATTCTTACAGAAATGAAATCTGGTTTAAAATAAGGATTAATAGCAGGCTCAGCAAACAAACAGAATCTAAAATATAAACAAAAAAGCAAGGGCAAGCAACAGTTTTGCAGGGAGGCTATTACCAAAGTGCATGCTGATGGAAACCACAGTTTACACACCAGAAGTTGTCTCCTTCTGTGAAACTAATCCCAAGAGGGTGGGGTTAGGACATTAGCGTAGCCAGCTATTGGATTTCCTAATGATGATGTCTCCCACTTGTTAAGCAAGTTCTTTCGTATGTAACTGCTCCTTCAAGCTTGCTAGGTAGGTAGGGTAAATGGTAGCATCCCAGTCTACAGATAAAGACAGAGGCTCAGAGAGGTCAGATTTGCTGACTGTCTCAGGGATGATAAACAAAAAAGCCAGCCCCAAATCTGGATTTCCAACAGGAGAATCTCCTGCCCTTGTTCACTGTGGTGGCTTAGACAACAATGGCTTGCAAGGCTTAGACCTGAGGCAACAATAGCCCCCCAGGCTTCCCTGTAGTCCCCATAAGGTTGACTAGCCATGACGTAGGTGAAACAAGGTCTGTGATGCTTTCCATATCTATTCTCTACATGGCAAAAAATTGTGGAAATGCTGCATTTCTTTCTAATGGTTATTTCTTTTATAAACAGAAAAGGTTTTCTAAGATTTCTTTTCCTGAATCTTACAACTCATTATTAAAGTCTAGAGGTTGGCAGAGAAAGCAAGAAAAAGAGAAGCTCAAATCAGCTAAATAGTTTGCTCCCAGACTTACTATAAGAGGATAAAAAATACGGCTAAGTTTCCAAACTCTTGAAAAGCTTATAAATGCTGCAGTAATTAACTACAACTTAAAGCACATAATGCCATTATAATTAAATGAGGGGAAAAGTGTAGGTTAGAATAATAGTTTAAAAGAAATGACTTGCAAAATCTTTATTTGCCACACCATTTTGAAAAGAAAGACATAGGTCTAGGAGATACTTGAGGTAAACTAAACTAACACTTATTAGCATTGTACTTTTCTTTTTAAAAGTTTTAATTGACAAATAATAATTGTCCATATTCATGGGGTACAAAGTGATGTCTCGATACATGTAATATATAGTATGCACTTTTCTACTTAAAACCTCAACTGTGATTTCTTTTTAGGCATATTCTTTTAGGTCAAAACCCTCATTGTCCTTTAAATGGCATCTTACCTCCTAACTTCACTTTTTCTACAGAAGGAAAGAATTTTTAAATTTATCATAAGGTCCACCCATCCATATCAACATCACTACCATTGTTTACCGGTTCGGTGGCATAGTCTCAAAATTGTGGCACCATATAAAGTCATAAGTCAGATTCATGGTGATTTGTGATTATGCACTTATTCTTGGCTTGTTATTGTTTCTGTTTTACAAACCATGCAACCTAAGCTGCTGCATGTGTGTCAGAATGCATTGTGTATGACATTTTACAAGCAGATGGAGCACACTCACTCTTCCCAACAACCCCATCACTGAATGCATATATCATATTCTCTTCCCCTATTACAGCCTTCCTATCTCAAAGCCTTCCACCTACCATCCATGGACTCCTATAACATGGCTGACTTCACTTTTTCTACTTATTTTTCCCAATTTCATACCATAGTGTTCCTAACCTTTTCTAGTCTACAGTAGAAAGACTCTATTTAGGATTTTATGGGTTTTTTTTTTTTTTTTTTTTGAGACGGAGTCTCACTGTGTCGCCCAGTCTGGAGTGCAGTGGCGCGATCTCAGCCAACTGCAACCTCTGTCTCCCGGGTTCAAGCAATTCTCCTGCCTCAGCCTCCCGAGTGGCTAGGACTGCAGGCACCTGCCACCACGCCCGGCTAATTTTTGTATTTTTAGTAGAGGCGGGGTTTCACCATATTGGCCAGGCTGGTCTCAAACTCCTGACCTTGTGATCCACCTGCCTCAGCCTCCCAAAGTGCTGGGATTACAGGTGTGAGCCACTGCGCCCAGCAAATTTTTATTATCATTTACACCAAGAGGTAGAAAAACTAGATATAGAGGTAATGAGGTATGAATATAGAGAGACACTTGTCTAAAAACAAATCTGGCTGTATTGCTTTCTAGCTGCCCTTAGACAAGGGGCAAGGGTGGGGAGAAATAATAATTATTGGGTACCTATTTTGTATAATGGGCCTTACGTATATTATCTTATTTAATATAATAACCCTACAAGATAACTTCTTTTATCCCTACTCTGTTAGGGTCTTCTTTTCTGTATTTTAAAGATTAACAAGAGAAATATTGAATATCTAAAGCTCAAATAATTTAAGTAACTTGCCTAAAGTCACAGAGCTAGGATTTAAACTCAGGTTTAAACCCAAAGTTCAATAAATATTAGCTATCCTCCCCCAGGAAAAGTACAGAGAATGGCAATTTGTGTTAATCAAAGGGATCAAAAATAGATTTTTTGGGCAAAGTTTAAGAACTTAAGTTTTCTTTTAGCTTAAAAGGAAGTTCTAATTGCCATTTTAAAAATGAGATTCTCTAAGTATATTGAACAGATATTATCTATTTCCACAAAAAAAAACACTTAGAAATTAAAAGTAGTTTATATTTTGTGGGATATAAAGGATTTTCTGTGTCTGTCTTATTCACAGGACCTATTATTTGGAAGATAATTTTTTTTTTGAGACGGAGTCTCACTATGTGACCCTGGCTGGAGTGCAGTGGTGTAATCTCAGCCCACTGCAACCTCCACCTCCCAGGTTCAAGCGTTTCTCCTGCCTCAGCCTTGCAAGTAGCTAGGATTACAGGCACCCGGCACTATGCCCAGCTAATTTTTTGCATTTTTAGTAGAGACGGGGTTTCACCATGTTGGCCAGGCTCGTCTTGAACACCCGACCTCGTGATTCACCCACCTCAGCCTCCCAAAGTGCTGGGATTACAGGTGTGAGCCACCATGACTGACCCATTTGTAAGATAATTTTCTAGGTGCCAGGAATTTCAAAGAATAAACTAAAATTTCATGTTCCAATGAGAATAGGCCACAATACAGAAGGTACTCAAATACAGAAGATAAATACTGGCTTGGCTATATGTTAGCTAATAAGATATAGCGATGACCTACAAGGAAGATGATCACATCTCTGGACTTCTTCAAATAGAATGAGGAAAATCGTTTTTAAGAGAAGCTAGAAGACATAGAAAACCTTCAAAACTAAAGAGCTTAGGCTAATGATATGGTTTGGCTCTGTGTCCTCACCAAAATCACATCTTGAATTGAAATCCCTATGTGTCGGGGGAGGGTCCCGGTGGGAGGTGACTGGATCATGGGGGCGGTTTCCCAAATGATGTTCTCATGATATTGAGTGAGTTCTCATGAGATCCGATGGTTTTAAAGTGTGGCACTTCCCCTCTGCCTTCTCCTGATGCCATGTAAGACATGCCTTGCTTCCCCTTTGCTGTCCACCATGATTGTAAGTTTCCTGAGGCCTCCCCAGCCATGCTGAACTGTGAGTCAAATTAAATCCCTTTTCTTTATAAATTACCCAGTCTCAGGCAGTTCTTTATAGCAGTGTGAAAACAAACTAATACAGAAAATTGGTACCAAGAGAAGTGGGGCACTGTTGTAAGGATACCTGAAAACGTGGAAGCAACTTTGGAACTGGGTAAAGGTCACAGGTTGGAACATTTTGGAGGGCTCAGAACAACACAGAAAAATGTGGGAAAGTTTGCAACTTCCTAGAGACTTGTTGAATGGTTTTCATCAAAATGCTGATAGTAAAATGTACAACAATGTTCAGGCTGAGGTGGTCTCGGATGGAGACAAGGGAAGAACTTACTGGGAACTGGAGCAAAGGTCACTCTTGCTGTGCTTTAGCAAAGAGACTGGCTGCATTTTGCCCCTGCCCTGGAGATCTGTGGAACTTTGAACTTGAGATTATTTATGGTATCTGGAAAGAGATTTCTAAGTAGCAAAGCATTCAAGATGTGACCTGGCTTTTTCTGAAGTGTATAGTCATATGAGTTCACAAAGACATGGTCTGAAATTGGAACTTAATGTTTAAAAAGGAAGCAGGGCATAAAAGTTTGGAAAATTTGTAGCCTGACCATGTGGTAGAAAACAAAAACCCATTTTCTGGGGGAGAAATTCAAGTCCAAGCCAGCTGCAGAAATTTGCATAAGTAATGAAGAGCCAAATGTTAAGACAATGGGGAAAATGTCTCCAGAGCATTACAGAGATCTTCATGGCAGCTCCTCCCATCACAGGCCCAGAGGCTTAAGAGGGAAAAATGGTTTCATGGGCCAGGCCCAGGGCCCAGCTCTGTGCAGCCTTGGAACAGAGCACCCTGCAACCCAGCTGCTCCAGCTATAGCCGTGGCTAAAAGGGGCCAATGTACAGCTCAGGTCATTGCTTTGGAGGGCACAAGCCCCAAGCCTTGGCACCTTCTATGTGGTGTTGGGCCTGTAGGTGCACAGAAGACAAGAGTTGAGCTTTGAGAGCCTCTGCCTAGATTTCAGAGTATATATGGAAATGCCTGAATGTCCAGGGAAAAGCCTGCTGCAGGGGTGGAGAACTCATGGAGAACCTCTCCTACGGCAATGCAGAGTAGAAATGTGCGGTTGGAGCCCCCATACAAAGTCCCCCACTGGAGCATTGCCTAGTGGAGCTGTGAGAAGTGGGCCACCATCCTCCAGACCCAGAATGGTAGATCCACTGAAAGTCTGTACTGTGCACGTGCAAAAGCGACAGGCACTCAACGCCAGCCCAAAAAAGCAGCCGCAGGGGTTGGACCCTGCAGAGCCACAGGGACAGAGCTGCCCAAGGCCTTGGGAGCCCAGCTCTTACATCAGCTTGTCCTGGATGTGAGACATGGTGTCAAAGGAGATTATTTTGGACCATTAAGATTTAATGAGTGCCCTGTTGGGTTTTGGATGTGCATGGGACCTGCAGCCCCTTTGTTCTGGTCAATTTCTCCCTTTTGCAATGGGAGCATTTATCCAATGCCCGTACCCCCAATGTATCTCGGAAGTACTTAATTTGCTTTTGATTTTACAGGCTCATAGGCAGAAGGGCCTTGTCTCAGATGAGACTTTGGACTTGGACTTTGAGTTAATGCTGGAATAAGTTAAGACTTTGAGAAACTGTTGAGAAGTCATGATTGGTTTTGAAATGTGAGAAGGACATGAGATTTGGAAGGGGCCAGGGGTGGAATGATATGGTTTGGCTCTGTGTCCCCACCCAAATATCATCTGGAATTGTAACCTCCATGTTGTCAGAGAAGGGACCTGGTGGGAGGTGACTGGATCATGGGGGCAGTTTCCTTCATGATGTTCTCATGATAGTGATTTCTCACGAGATCTTATGATTTAAAAGTGTGGCACATTCCCTCTTGCTCTCACTCTCACCACCATGTAAGACATGCCTTGCTTCCCCTCCACCTTCTACCATGATTGTAACTTTTTTGAGGCCTCCTCAGCTATGTGGAACTGTGAGTCAATTAAATCTCTTCTTTATAAATTATCCAGTCTCAAGTAGTTCTTTATAGCAGTATGAAAATAGACTAAAACTACTAGTGATTCCTAACCTTTTGAGAATGATATCACCCCAGCCATGTTTCATTTTGCAATGTTCCTTCTTCAAGAAGCTAAATATCCATAGCCATTCATTCAACCCATCTTCACCCCATGACCACTCTATTTAAAATACCACTGCATTATGGAAATGTCCCTTCACTATTTTCTCCACCTAAGACAGGCTTTTTCATTCACCCTTTGTTTGGTCATGCAACATTTATACAGGCAACCGTATTTGGGATTATTTAAAAATAAACCTTAAGTCATGAAATCATAGAGGTGGGCAAATTAATAAAATATAAGCCCTCCAAATTCATAAAATACAAATTTCTTCATTCAATCGGGTAAACTTGCAAACTAGTGATTTCTGATCATTTTGTAGTAACTCAGGCTGTTTTAATTCTTTCAGGAGATCTCATGTAATTAAGATTTTAATTTATATATCTATATGAATATAAACATACCCATGCATATATCCAGGATTTGTTTTGTATTTTTTGTTTGTTTGTTTGTTTTTGAGATGGAGTTTCACTCTTGTTGCCCAGGCTGGAGTGCAGTGGCACAATCTCAGCTCACCACGACCTCTGCCTCCCGGGTTCAAGCAATTCTCCTGTCTCAGCCTCCAAAGTAGCTGGGATTGCAGAGACCCACCACCATGCCCAGCTAATTTTTTGTATTTTTAGTACAGACGGGGTTTCACCATGTTGGTCAGGCTGGTATTGAACTCCCAACCTCAGGTGATCTGCCTGCCTCGGCCTCCAAAAGTGCTGGGATTACAGGTGTGGACCACCATGCCCGGCATACCCAGGATTATTTATATCAGAAGTGATCTATATGATTTCTACTAGAGATTTTTACCCTTTAGGAAATGTAACAATTTATACTTATTTGTTTAGTAATATGTCTCTCTTAAAAGCATGCTACAAATCAATTAGCTTTGAACCTCGACCAGAGGAAAACACAGGGTCCCTTTCATTTCTGTGATTTATTTGAACCTATCCATCTTCAAAGATGGGCAGACCTAACACTACCATTTTTCATTTCCATTATCCTCAAATTCATGTATATTCTGGTTTGATAAAATTTTTATAGTATAAGATAATGAAACAAAGACAACATAATGCATGCACTTAATGAATCTTCTACCCTACTAGTTATAAAAATAGGAAGACTAACAGCTAACTCTTAGTGAGTGCTATGTGCCAGGATAAGCTCTCTGAACGTATTTTCTCATTTAATCCTCACAACACATGTATATGAGGCAAATAAATTATCTTTTAAAAATAGAACTAGGACTAGCTTTTGTTTATGCCATATTTTTGAGATCCTCACCTGTATCACACGCACAACATTGAAAAAAGAACTGAGAGGAAGCTGGATCTCCCTGAGCCTCAGCTTTCCTATCAGGTTATACAACTGTGCCATTCTTTACTTCTGGAATTTTCCTATGGTTACAAAAAAATGTTGAAAATTTTCTACATCTATAACATTTTGGATGTGCAATTTCCATCTTATTGTGTTCCCTCACATATGGTGTTCTTGCTCAAAGAGCATCGGTATTTTTAACTTGCATAATATTAGTACCTACTTTGAATTATTCTTCATTGACAAGAATCCAAATATCTATCACAAATTAGAAAATTACATGTATTATTTAAGCTAGTGTGTTCATTGATTTTTCAGACAAATTTTTCAGTAGAATCACTGTATTTTACATTTGGAAGAGATCATGAAGACAATATGAAGTTATCTTTTTACAAGTCAAAATCTATAGCGCACAGAGGTTTAAGTGTCTCTCCTAGGTCAATGCTTAGTTAGTAGTAAAAACCACTAATGGCAGCCCAGTGTTTTTTCTGTATAAAAAACATCAAAAGTTATTATAAAATTCATACTTTTATGCGGCACCCTGCAGAGAATGCACCAGGAATAAATAATTGGCACATTATTATACTATCAGTACTGCAATGTGATACTTTGTCTATCAGTTATATAATGCGTTCATGTATCATTGATGTTTTGGTCACAGTTTTTTGTTTTACTGTATGTCTTATGTCTCTAACTAGATTGTGACTTCCCTGTGATTGGCACAAATTCTTTCCTTTTTTTTTTTTTTTTTTTTGAGACTGAGTCTTGCTCTGTCACCCAGGCTGGAGTGCAATGGTGCAATCTTGGCTCACTGCAACCTCTGCCTCCTGGGTTCAAGTGATTCTCCTGCCTCAGCCTCCCGAGTAGCTAGGACTACAGGTGCGTGCCACCACGCCCGGCTAATTTTTGTATTTTTAGTAGAGACGGGGTTTCACTGTGTTAGCCAGGATGGTCTCGATCTCCTGACCTCACGATCTGCCCGCCTTGGCCTCCCAAAGTGCTGGGATTATAGGCGTGAGCCACTGCACCTAGCCCACAATTTCTTTTTTAAATGTTTCTCATAGCTTTTAATAAGTCCTAGACATATGCAAGCTACTTAACAGAGATTGACATAAATATATTTAAAACTAATACCATACCGCTCAAAAGAGAGGCAAATGACTCTAATCCTGTACGGATGCAGGTGAACTTGTCAGTCTGAAAGGATCAAGTTGAGAAAATGCCCTCATTTCTTTAAGCCCTGAGATTGTTCCTGAGGGTAAGTGGTTTTAGGACTTGAAGAGATTGGTGAAGGTTGAAGCAGAAATTAGGGGGAATGATGAGGGAGTTGACTAACCCTCAAGGACATGTGGCAGCATAAGCAGATCAAGTTGATCAATAAAAATAATGGCAAAGCACTTACTAAGCATCGGGCCCTGTTCTCAGTACTCTGCCTGTATTAAATCATCTACACCTCACAACAACCCTAGGTATTTTCCCCATTTTGTGGATGAAAAAAATTGAGGCTCAGAGAGGTTAGATCATTTGCCCAAGTGAACTAGCTAGTTAAGTGGTAAAGCCAGGTTTCAAACACTGACTGCTCCCAGACCCTAAGCTCCTAATCACAGTGTGATGGTTAGGATAAGACCAGATAAGCAGGTGGTGTTTAATACAATGCCTAACAAATGCCTGGTCCCCTAGTGGAAGCTCAATTGCTATTAGTTCCCCCTGCTTTCTGGTTTTCAACCCACTTGCCCCATATTTATTTACTCATCCACTCCTTACTCACCAAACACACACACACACAATGACACATTCACACACACTCCAGTCTTTAACAACGAAGTCCACACTCAGGTATTTAGGTCACTAGGTGTCAAATCTACACATATATTCTTCTTCCTGATAGGATTTCAGGTCACATACATAAAATGAGTCCTAGGACCAACCTCTGCTCTCCCATCACTCTCCAAGGTGAATGTAAACACACACACGAACACTGACTCTGGATTCCAAACATATACGTATGCATAGCCTGATATAAGGCAGAATTCAACTCTGGACTTTTCTTTTTCCGTTATCCAGGGAAATGCGTGAGTTACTATGACAGATGCCAAAGACTTTTGGCTCTGGTAGTGGAAATTGGGAGGCAATGGTGAAATGAAGTAAGAAATTCCAGGGCCAGAAGGTGGATGCAAGTCAGCAACGGCTTTTCCCAGGAGCTTGCTCTTTTTGGGTAAGTGCTACACATACAAGCCCCAACCCGCTGCCTAAGCTACCCTATTCTGAACCCCGCTCAGGCTGCAACAGATGACACACAGCAGGGAGCCTCATTTGCAGGAGATGAGTGTTCCCTTGCTCTATTTTAATCCTGGCAGCCCAGCCGGGGAAGGTTTTGTCAGAAATGGTGGAAAACAGTGACAACCAAGCTTTCTGGAGTAAAGGCTAGGCAGCTCAGGAGCAACCAATCACGACTCGCACAGTATTGTTAACAATACAAGGGAAAACAAGTATCCTTCCCGCCGGCCCGCACTTTTGCAGCCAGCTTGGGCGACCCGTGGCAGCGCTTTGACGACGACCTGCCGGGCTCCGGAGGGCGGGCACGGCGGAGACGGCAGCAGCGCTGCCCCGCAGCTCCGGAAACAGCCCTTCCCCTATCCTCAAGGACCAAATCAGTCCTGATAAACACCCCTCCTGGCCCTACAATGGGAAGGGCAAGTTCAAACGCAGGGCGTCGAGCCCACACGCCTAGAGACGCGGCCAGGCACCCCCGCCCTCCTCGCCGCGCAGTCGCGCACAGTGAGCAACAGTCCAGCACCAACCCGGCTTAACTGCGCCTGCGCACTCCAGGAGTTTCCCCCCACGCCCCTTTCCGAGGACTAGCGCCCGTCGCTTAGCAACGCGCGAGTCACAGTCGCCGCGCTTTGCGCACCCTTTTCCTGGCAGGGCTGCGTCCCTGTTCTTCCCAGGAGGCTCCTCGCTGCCTGGTGCCGTAGAGGCCCATGGAGGAAAAGGAAGATAAGCATCAGTAAGTGCTGGGGTTTGGTGTCTTATTTCCCTTTCCAAAAACTATTTTCCTCCTTCAGGGGGAGGCCGGGATCCAGCATGGACAGTCCAGGCCAAGCTCAGACAGCCCCCTTGCTTCTCTAATTTCCAGTTGGCTGAGCGCTTACAACAATAATTTTTAAAACGCACCGTTTACTGAGCACATACTGTGTGTCAGGGACTTGACTTGCATTACCGGATCTAAAATTCTTGAAGTCATCCACTCCTTCTCACAATTATTAGCAGATTCTGTAGTCTTTACCTTTAAAATTATCCAGAATCTACCACTGCTCATCACTTTCAGTACTGTGCCCACCCAGTCCCAAGTACCAGCTTCTCTTGCCGGGATGCTGCAACAGCCCTCCAGTTGGTGGCTTTGCTTTTCCCTTACCCCTCTGCAGCCTCCTCGACACAGCAGTCAGAGCTATCCGTTTACAGCCCAGGTTAGATCGCCGTTCTCCATCCGACATCGTAGAGTAAAAGCCAAGGCACCTCCAATGGCCTATGGAGTCTACACAACACGCCCCTTACCGTTTCTTGCCTCCCTCTGACAGGACTCTGCTACAGCAAACAGGCCTTTCTGCTATCATCTGCAGTGATAAAGACCAGCATCAGCAGCACCTGGTTGTTAGGAATGCAAATTTTGGGGACTTCCCACCCCCGAGACACACAGAATCAGAAACTCTATGGCTGGGGCTCAATAATCTGGCTTCAACCAAGGCATCCAGGTGATTCTGATGTACCTTAAATTGAGACTATTAATCAAGGTAGTACATACAGCTAGTTAGGAATGATGTGGAGCCAGGGATACCCTCTTCCAAAGCCTGTATTTTTGTCCCTGGAACAATGGTTCTCACACTTGAACGTGCATAAGAATCAGCGAAACAGCTGGTTAAAACACGTTCCTGGGAACCAGCCCCAGAGATTCTGAGTTTGCAGTGCTTTCTAAAAACAAGTAAACAAAAAACTAGGTACATAAAGGAAATGGGCCCCATAAATTTGTATTTCTAACAAGGTCACAATTGATGCCAATGCTGCTACTCCAGTGCCCATACTTTTAGAAGCAGTGCGCTAAGGATGGTTACACTTCTGCTGGGAAGCTTTGGCAGTTACAGTTCACTCTGCTAGAATGCTTTTCCCACAAATATGCACTTAGCTCTCTCTTCCCCTCTTTTTTCATTTGCCACCTTCACAATGCAGCCTCCACCCTACCTGAAAATGCAAACCTACCTCCTACATACATACACTCCCTTTTCCCATTCTCTATTTTATTATTGTCCTTAGCACTTAACAGACTATATAATTTACTTTTTCATCCGCCTTTCCCCATTAGAGTGTAAGCTCTATGAGGGCAGGAATTTTTGTTTTGTCACTGCTTTATCATCAGTGCCTCCAACAGCACCTGGCACGCAACTCAATAAATATCTGTTGAAACAATGAATTATTCAATGTTATTCTCATATCTCTTACAATAGGTATTGTTCCTATCATGCAAATGAGACAAAGGCTCAGATATGGCAGAACTGGGATTCCAGTCCCTGTCTGACTCACTTCAGAGCCCATCAGTGTTTTTATCTGTGCTTTTCTTCTGGCAAGAGATTGCTCGAGTCATATATTTCACACTTATTTATCAACCCGTAGGCATTCATACCACAAGTGCTTAATCAAATGAATTTAACTATATAACAAATAGCCCCAGTCCTTTTCTTCAAGGACTTGATCACTACAAGTGTATATTGTTGGGTGATAACTATGAGAAACAGGTGGAAAAAACTGATGCCAGAAGCCTACAATAATAAATTAATTGACCCCAAAGACTCTACCTTTAAATAAATAATTGTATCTCTGGAAAGGTAATAGAAAAAGGTTTAGAAGTTTTTTACACTTTACCAGTAATCAGTTTTTCCAAATCCTTTGCAGAAAGTAATTTTTGGGAAGCAGGGAACTAGAATCCAAGGATTCTGAATGTTGTTTTTATGTGTACTGGAGGGGTGGTTGAGGGTATTCAAACAAAGCTGGAGTAAACTCCAGCAGATTCACCAGAAATATGTAAATGTTATAATGGCAGTCCATTTACCTTGGATGAACAGGACACTTTTCCTGATGTTGGGCACATGGTGAATTCAACAATGTACACCTTCATGGAACTTATTGACTAGTAAAGGATATTTGTAGTGCTTACTAAAAACAAGTAAACAAAAAACTAGGTACATAAAAAATTGTGGTGTTAATAAAAGAAATGAACAAAGTACTAAAATAGAGAATACATGTGGTAGAGGAAAGAAATCTAGGAAAAGCTGCTGAGGAGATGGTTTTAAGCTGAGACCTAAATATCCTGAGCCAGCTGTGCTGGGAGCTGGGGAAGAGCTGTCCAGGCAGAGCGAACAGCATGTGCAGGTGCCGTGAGGGAAAAGAGATTGATGTGTCCCTGGAACTGACAGAAGGCAGTCTGGTTGGAGGGTCTTGAGTGAAGTCGAAGAGGTTCACTGGGGCAAGTCACACAGGACCTCAGAGCTACAATTAGGAGGCAGTATTTTATTGTAAATGAATGGAAAACTACTTGAGGGTTTTAACTGCAAAATGATGTGGGCGAGGCACAGTGGTTCACGCCTGTAATCCCACCACTTTGGGAGGCCGAGGCTGGCAGATCACCTGAGGTCAGGAGTTAAAGACCACCCTGGCCAACATGACGAAACCCTGTCTCTACTAAAAAAAAATACAAAAATTAGCCGGGCGTGGTGGTGCGCGCCTGTAACCCCAGCTACTCAGGAGGCTGAGGCAGGAGAATCACTTGAACCTGGGAGGCAGAGGTTGCAGTGAGCGGAGATAGCACCACTGCACTCCTGCCTGGGACAGAGTAAGACTCCGTCTCAAAAAGGAAAAAAAGAAAAATGATGTGGTAGAAGAGATGGACCTGGCATTCGTTTGGAGGAAGGCAGGTGTTATACTTTAAGGGCTGTGTATAAGATTAAACGGTGCTACCTGCTTTCTCTGTGAATTTGGAGTTTCATTGACTCACCTGCTGTGGGATCATGGCTTTGATTTTAAAAGCTTCTATGTAAAAAGTATTCAAATTCATATATTTCATTCTTTATTTTTCAAGTATGTGAATTTTAAAAATACTGCCTTTTATAATTTCAATTTCTCCTTATTTGAAAGGAGAAAAATCTGATAAGCTGTTTCTTCCTATACATTTTTAAAATATTTTATTTTAGTAATTTTCGTATTTGTAACAGAGTGCTTACTAGAGGCAAAAAATGAAGAGATTTATTTTGACTGCCACATAGTGTTCTTTTCTTGAAAAGATAAATAATGGTGCTCCTTTGGTAGCTTTAAGTTTGCCAGACAAACTTTTAAAATTAATTGGTTTATCCTTGTCCAGATAGCTGTTTACTAGGTAAACGGGAGAATAAAGCCATTCTCTTGGTAATAAAACTTTTAAAGAAGTTGAGTTAACTATAGCGTGTAACTTATCCACACACGTGAGTACTGCAAACATGATATGGAAGCATAATCCAATCACTACTCTTTCTTTACTCCAAGCAAATAAGAGTTGGTGCACTGCACTGGTATATTATAATGAGTAATCATTATTAACACAAAGCCCTTTATCGCTTATATGATTTAGAATTAGAAAATGGCCTCCTAAATTTTAACAGCACAAACCCTTATAACTATTAATACAGCCTAAATTGTCTTGACTGCTGTTTGTAGTATATTTAAATCTTATTTTACATAATTTTGACTCAATATTTTAATGGTTACTGGGGTAAATGGTTTACTATTTATGTTTTTCAGACAGCATAAAATAGAGGATGCTGCTATAACATATGTAAGTGAAAATGAAGAAATTAAACACGAAGAAAAACCTGGAAAAAGCATACATCATTCAAAATCACATGTTGGAAGAGGACGTATATATTATGCTAAATTCATTAACACAAATGCAAGAACATACAATGAACCATTTCCCTACATAGATCCCAAAAAAGGGCCAGAAATACAGGTTGGACAGATGTTCATTGTATACAAATAGAGATTTAGATTCAGATGCTGTTTTGCAGAATAATTTGGTCACAGACTATAAAGGATGAGACACATCTCAGAGTAGTACTTATCATAATCCAATAGTTAAAAGCAGTAACCTGAAACTATTTTGCCAGCTGACTTTTACATATAAACAATACGGATACAGGGAGGGAATCTAAGTAATTGTTTCCCTAGATTGGGTCAGATTATTGCCACAAAGTAGTGCTTTGGGGTTACTAAAGAAATTTCATGTATTTACGATATATATTCTAATATAAAAATGTCCCATGATACTCAGTAATTCACATACCTTCTGTAAAATAATAATCATTTATTGAAAGCATATGAAGTTCTAGGAATGAGCTAAGTGTTTTATATAAATTATATTCTTTAATCTCTACAACAATTTCTATGAAGTCTTATTGGAAATAGTTTACAAATAACACATATTCCTTTGAGGTTAATTAACATATCTGAGATTAAGTAATAAGCAAATGTCACAGTCATATTTCTGTCCCAGGGCTGTTGGTTTAGCCAAACCACACTTCACTGACTATCCCATGCTAAAAATATTCCATTATCTTTTTTACAAAGTCAGGTTTGTTGCGGTACAATTTATTGTATTAGTTTCCTATTGCTGATGTTACAAATTTTCACAAACTTGAAAGCTGGTTTAAAGCAGCACATATTTATTATCTAGCTTAGAAGTCCAAAATCCGTCTCACTGACTGTTGCCAGGCCTAGTTCTTTCTGTGGGCTCTAAGGGTGGATGGGTTTCCTTGCCTTTCCCAGCTTCTAGAGACTGCCCATGTTCCTTGGTTTATGGCGCCTTTTTCTTTGAAGCCAGCAACACAGCATCTTCAAATCTTTCTCTGACCCACTCTCCTGACTCTCTCTTATAAGGACCCTTGTGATTAGAATGCACCCACCCAGATAATTCAGGATAATCTCCCCATCTCACAATCCTTAATCACATCTGCAAAGTCCCTTTGCTATGCAAGGTAACATTCACAGATTTGGGGCTTAAATCACGAACATCTTTAGGGACAGAGAGAGGGAGCATTATTCTACCTACCCTTACACAGTAAATTAGTTACCCTTATATAGTGTATAATTCTCTGAATTTTGGCAAAGGTGTAGTCATGTTACTCCATCACAATCAAGCTATGAATCATTTCTATCACCCTCAAAAGTTCCCCTATGCCCTTTTGTGGTCATTCCCTTCCTCTACTCCAACAGCTACTGATCTGTTTTCCATAGTTTTGCCCTTTCCAGAAAGTCATGTTAATGGAATTACCCAGTATGTAGCTTATTGAACCAGTCTTTCAGAATAAAGCATCTGGGATTTGTCCATGTTGCTGCAGTATGTCACTAGTTCATTCCACTGTGTTGCTGCTACACACTTGCCATGTGACTTTGGGCAAGTCACGCTAAGCTTCAATTTCCTTATTTATGTAAGGATAGTAATTGTCCCTCTCATAGGGTTTTTATGAGAATTAAAATATTTTTGTCAGTTACTGTTCTAGACACTAGAGATACAGCAGTGAATAAAGTAAATGGGGGAAAAAAATCCTGTCCTTACATAGCTTACATTTTAGTAAGGGAATAGATCAAACAAGTAAGCTGTATTGGAATGTTACATGGTAGTAAGGGCAGCATGCAAGGCAGGGTAAGGAATGCTGCAGGCAGAGCTGCAATTTTAAATTGGTGGTCAGAGAAGGCTTCACTGAGTGACATTTGAGTGAAGACCAGAGGGAGAGTGAGGGAGTGAGCATGTAGGAACCTGGCAGAAGAGCATTCATAATGCACAAAGGAAGCACTCACTAAACATTAGCTCTTAGTAGCAGCAGAATCCTAGTCTACTGCTCTCTGCACAGTGATGGGGACTTATTTGCAGCTGAGAGCAGGATTCTATGAGAGAAGACCTAGTACAGTGCTGAGCCAGGCAAGTGTTCAACAGATGGGATTCAAAATATGTCACAGCAAAGGTAATAATTTCTCATGTAGGTTTTTTCCAGCATATTTGGAAAAGGAAATGTGTACCATCTAAATGGTCTCAGACCACTGTGCCAGTGTCAGCCTCCTCCTACTCCACTTCTTTCCTCATCTCTCTGTGTGTTAGGTATAGTGATTTAACATTTAGATGGAGATTGCTTTTTGTGAGCTCTCTTCGTACTGATGACATCTGTTCTTGTCATGGACAGCACACCATGGCTGTGAATGTCAGATCTTCTTGGGGCAGGAATTCCTGTGGTTAAATGTTCTTTAATTTCATGAGCTAAACCCCTTTAAGGGCCATATTGAGGGTACTTCATTTTGTACACTTGCTTATGCTCTCGTACCAATTATTTCAGAAAGAAATCAATTGTTATTGTTAGACCAGACCTACACTGGGGAAATTAATTTGGTACCAAAATCCAGATTAGTGAAGTTCTTACATTTCTTACAAAGGCTCATGAATGACTCTGAGCTCTAGTTCAGGGTTGAATTTAAAACTGTTCACTGAACTCATCCTTACATTGGCAATACTAAGAAAAAGAAGCTGGTTTGAGAATAGAAATATGAAACATAAAAGTTTAAAAACTTAATCCCAACTAATTTTCTCTTACTCCTACTCTATAGGTATGTTGGAAAAAAAATGAACAAAGGTGTTAAGAGCTGCTATCATCAAGACTAGGTGACAGAATAGTAGTAGAATCATTATTAGCACTGGACCTTTAAGAGATGGTGAAAGTGAGTTTGAGATGAAATAAGAGCTCAGATAAGGGAATCTGTCAGTGAATATGAATGAGGAGAGTTACAGAGAAAGACTGAAGATACATCACTGAGTTACAAGCATGTCTGATTTGGGTGTGGCAGGAAGGGAGTGTGTATATTTTAAAAACATAGCCTGGGCAACATGGTGAGACCCCATTTATACAAAAAAATAAAAATAAAAAAATAGCTGGGTGTAATGGTGTACGCCTGTGGTCCCAGCTACTTGAGAGGCTGAGGCAGGAAGATTGCTTGCACCTGGGAGGTCAAGGCTGCAGTGAGCTATGTTCATGCCATTGCACTCCAGCCTGAGTGACAGAGTGAGACCCTGCTCAAAAGGAAATAAAATTGGCTGGGCACAGTGGCTCACACCTGTAATCCCAACACTTTGGAAGGCCAAGGCAGGAGGGTAACTTGAGCCCAGGAGTTTGAAACCTTCCTGGGCAACATAGTGAGACCGAGCGCTACAAAAATAAATAAATAAATAGCCAGGTGTGGTGGCAAGCCTCCGTAGTCCCAGCTACTTAGGAGGCTGAGGCAGGAGGATGGCTTGAGCTCAGGAGTTCAAAGCTGCAGTGAGCAATGATTGTGCCACTGTGCTCCAGCCTGTGCAACAGAGCAAGACCCCATCTCTAAAAACAAATTTTAAAATAATAAAATAAAAACCAAAAACAATGAACTTAAATGTACTCATTTCTAACTATCCAAGAAATAATAAAGAATGTATATTTCACATATTTGTAAACTGTTCCTTTAAGATGACAGGTTTCTTTTTAAAGGTTAGCCTGGTTAAGAAAAAAACTGGTTGACGGTAATGCTGTCTTTATAATAAGAGTAAAGAAAATAAACTTGCCTAAATATTTTAAATGACACCTGTTGTTTTAAGTGTTTTTGCTAAGATAATATCTTTAGGATGCAAGACGAGATTGGTTGGTTTTATTTGTTTAGAAGATTTTTAAGATTTCGTACATTTCTACCTAGGAACATAAAATTGGGGATGCTAAAAAAAGTAAGTTGTTTTAGCTCAGTCACTTCCAAAGAAAACTGGTTTGATTGTCTTATATTTTTGGCTGGGTGCGGTGGCTCATGCCTGCTATCCCAGCACTTTGGGAGGCTGAGGTGGGCAGATCATGAGGTCAGGAGTTCGAGACCAGCCTGGCCAACATGGTGAGACCCCCCCCCATCTCTACTAAAAATACAAAAAATTAGATGGGCATGGCGGTGCGTGCCTGTAGTCCTAGCTATTTGGGAGGCTGAGGCAGGAGAATTGCTTGAACCTGGCAGGCAGAGGTTGCAGTGAGCCAAGATCGTGCCACTGGACTCCAGCCTGGCAACAGAACAAGACTCCATCTCAAGAAAAAATAAAATAAAATAAAATAAAAATATTTTTAAATATTGGTACTTTAAAGGAGATTATACTAGGTTGGTATTTTCAAAAGTTTAATTTTCAGAGCACTGACCCTTGCCTACATGCTTAACAAAATAAATTTGCAAAGTCAAATATGTTTTGGAAAAGCTGTATTTTTATAAACCTTTCTCAGAGCTTCACAATTCACATTGGTATATAAAGGTTCTGAGAAATCTTGTGATAAACTTATTTAACTTTGCTTTTCTCACTATTTCCCAAAGTCATTTAACTGTGGACTCCTTTGTATAACACCTATTAATATGCTGGAGAACTAGTGTTCCACAGAACACAATTTTGGAATTTTTTATGGGGGGGTGCATTATGAACTGCTTAAAAACATTTTTTTAAAGCACTCATAGCATCTATAGCAAAATAGAGATGAATTTAGGTACAGTGTAACCAATGTGACCTTAGCTGCCCTAGTGTTTGTGATAGTACTTCAATTTTTTAAAGCCACTGAGCTCTACCAACAAAATGCGATTGTTTATGTTTAGGTTTTGTCAAAAGCCCACATTTCCTTGGGAATCCACAAAGTATGATTTTATGTTCCACAGATGACCACCACCAGCCATCTTGGCTACGCGATTGTGGCTGTGGAGCTTGGCTTACGACCTCTTGCATTCACTTAACTAGTTCCTCTAGGATACTTCACTTGCTTTTTACTACTTCTCCTCTGAGGATTCTCCCTTAATTTCTCAAAGAATGGAAAATAGGTAATCTTTACTAAAACATCTCTGAGAGCTTAGGGATACTAGGAGTATAACATAGAGACTGCCTTACACTGGCTTCCAAATGTGACTAAGGGACCCACAGTGCAACAGCCCTTGGCCTTCCCAGAGCTGCAGGTTAGAAGGAGCCCCGTCATCCGGAATCTCCAGGCAACTCCTGACCATGGAACCCAGTGACTATCATCCTGGGGCAGGAAAGAAGACAGTCCTTAGACTGGTAGGGATAACTCCTCTCTGGGTCCAAAGTTTGAGTTAGGCAAAACCCCCTCTACAATCTGCAAGATATGATCTGTTCCCCAGAGCCTAGACAAAGCCATCACGCTAGGTAACTTCCCAGCTTATTTTGTCATAAATAACTGTGTTAACCCCCCACAATCCAATGTAAGTGATGGTACACAGAACAGTAAATTTTTTGTTAGTCTTTCCCTTCAGTATGATACAAAGGTAAAGACGAGGCTCCATCCATGTCTTTCCTTAATCTCATAATCTTTTATGAATAAATGCTTGGACCAAAAGGGCACGCACATGTTGCATGGGCACATAAGCACTTTCACTCTTCCAGGAACAAACCAAACTTTTTAGGCATAAGGAAGACTATCCAGAAACAAGAAAGACAACCTTTTTTTTTGGACTGTAAGATTTCACTCAGCTAAAGTGAAGATGCATCCAATTTATAACACTCATCAGAACACTTTCACAAACTGCAGAGCCTTAAAGTCACCAGTCACATTTTAGGAAAAACTGTTCTCTATTTCCTTTATGTTTGTGAAACAAAGACTATTTTGGCAAAATTCTCAGTTTAAAAGAAATTTGCTCAAAAGATGAAATTATCTCTCTGCTCTAAGGCTAGCTTTGCATTATGCTTTTAAGAAAAAAATATAGCCAGGCGTGGTGGCTCATGCCTATAGTCCCTGCTACTCAGGAGGCTAAGGTGGGAGGATCACCTGAGTCCAGGAGTTTGAGGCTGCAGTGAGTTGTAATCGTACCACTATGCTCCAGCTTGGGTGATGGAGTGAGACCCTGGCTCAAAAAAATAATAATAACAAATAATAATAATTAAAGTCCATCAGCCATTTCCTAGTGGTTCGCTTATCCCAGAGCCATTTTTCCAGTAACTTGAGTATTAGCAAAATAAGTTTTTGATCAACAAAAGTAGATGATATGAAGTGTTTGTGTATGCTTTACAATCTTATCACAGAAGAACTTTCTCAGAATATTTACTGCTATGGTTTGAATGTTTGTCCCCTCCAAACTCATGTTGAAATGTAATTTCCATTGTAACTGTATTAAAAGGTGGGACCCTTAAGGGGTGACTAGGTCATGAAAGCTCCACCCTCATGAATGAAATGAATGCCATTATAAAAGGGCAAGTTTTGTCCCCTGTTGCCCTCTTTTTGCTCTTCTGCCTTCCACCATGTGAGGATGCAGTGTTCAAGGTGCCATCTTAGAATCATAATTACCAAACCTGCCAGTGCCTTGATCTTGGACTTCCCAGCCTACAGAATTGTGAGCCAGTAAATTTCTGATCCTTATAAATTACCCAGTCTAAGGTATTCTGTTGTAGCAGCACAAAACAGACTAAGACGTGCACTTACAGCCTCTATTTTCACTTCTTAAATAATTTCATTTGGTTTGTACTTAGCTGGTTTTGCATTCCACAGCAGGTTTGATACAGCAGTGCAGCACAGAAATTAGAGGTGTGCACAAAGAGGTTGGGGTTTGAATTGTGGCAGTGCAGCAGTCTGCTGGTGATATATCTTGGGGAAGTTACTTCATCTCCTGGCAGTTTTCTCATCTGTAAAGTGGATGTGCCTGCCTCATAGAATTGTGATGAGCTTATATAAGTAAGACAAGACCTATAAATCCTAGACCTTGGGGTGTAATAAGCACTATTATAATTGTGAAGTGGAGTGGAGAAGAGCTGCCAGAAGCAGGCGCTCTGACAACAGTAAGATGTGACTATTTTCAGCCAGATAGTGAGAAGACACCATCTGTTTAGTAATCTGTTCTAGAATTTTCCTAGGATCTACATCAAGTAGTCTTAATTTTTTAAATTCACCTTTTAGCCCATTCTGAAAAGTGAAGCATTAGCCAATCTATTCTCCAAAATCCCCTAGTTCCTAAATTTCTGTAATCTCTGCAGAAATTACCCCAGTTACAATTACCAATTATTCCATTACTCCTGCTTACAATTTGTCATTGGCCTAAAAACTGGCACTCTTATAAAGTGACAAAGTGAAGTCCAACTCTCTCATCAGCTCTTCAGGGCTTAGTTCTTTGGTATGTGTTCATCCCATCTTTTTCAAGTTAACTGTAATTTTCCTTAACAACCTCAAGTTGAATGAATAGTTCTGACTTTCCTGAACCAGATTCTTCTCTCCAAACTGTTAGCCGGAACACAAAAGATAACCTTTTTTGGGGCTGTAGGATTTCACTCAGCTATGAACAATTTTTTCTAGAAAACATTATTTTTGCTGCCTTTGACAATTGTATAAATTATCAATTTGTAAAATTTTATAAATTTATAAATGTCTTCTAAGTTTCTTGACAATCTTCTGACAAGCTGACTCCATTAATTATTTTTTAAATCTAATGTTGTATATGTCTTTTATACATGCCTGTCTTTTTAGAAACTAAGCTCATTTGAGAGCTGACTCCCTATGCAGCCACATAGGTTTTTTTTTTTTTTAAAGAAACATCTCCCTTTTTGCATCAATGTAGCCTTAATTGTATTGTCAGTATTTTACCTATTAGAATTGCATATTTATCCCCCTTGAATCATAGTTTAGAAGTCTTTGGCTATGGAACCATAGTTGATTTTCAAAAGGCAGACTTGCTTCCTTATAGCCCACGGTAGGTGTTTGATTATACCGGAAGTTACTTTCATATCCTAACTGTATTCCAGGAACTCCTAGGTGTCATAGGGTTTCTCAAGCATTTTCTTACTACCACCTAATCAACCAGTTTTAAAATATTTGGTCAGAATTAAGTTGAGTAACAGTTCCCCTCTCTACTCTCTCAACTTCCAAGAAATCAAATTGTCATACATGCTAATGAAGAATCTCAGTTTTCCCTTTCTTGTGTACTTAGGTTTTAGTACCAAAATTCAGTAACATTAGAGAGATTTCCCCTTAGAACAAAGTTTATCAAACTGAGTCATTAGTGAATGACAAATCAATGAGTTGCAGTCAGCAACGTGAAATGAAATAGGAAAGCAATAAAATAGAATAGAAAAATAGTTAAGCACACTGCATATAGTAAGTATTTTGTGAAACTTTTGTTTCAGTTTTATGTATGTATAGCATTGTGTGCTCTTGTATGACATAAAATGTATTTCATGGTTCAGGCTAGGGACTAAAACTTCTGAAAACCACTATTTTTAGATGATAATACATTATTTGTATTGTCATAATGAAAAGATTACAACATAATTTTTTAAATTAAATATTTTATACATACACGTGTACATATATAATAAAATCATAGTATAAAACAAATACAGCTATTTTGCTGATTTTTACCACTTCATTTGTTGATAGAAGGAAGGTAGCTTAAGAATTCAGCAGCTGTATTTTAGCTAAAAATTTGACAACTCATTTTCCAGTGCCTTCAAAGAAATACATTTTTTGTGAAAAGATATTTCCAGATTTCAGAACTCCACATTAGTACTGGGATATCCACTAACTTGTTAAATTGAATTACTGAATATCCATAGACATCAAGCAATACATGAAAATGCCCTACAGTATCCAATATTGTGTTTCCAATTATTTTCTATAAAGGGTGACTGGTGGTCACATGGTAAAGCACTGGAACCTGTCTTCCTACCACCTTACGACTCTAAGAGCACCCAGAGGAGTGACTTCCAAAAACCATCGTGTCCACTGGTTTTGCCAGTCAAACACAGCAAGATGCAAAAGCCTTCTTGTGGAATAGGTAAGGTTTTGCAGTGGTAAAAACCTTTTATGTTATCTCAAATTATTGCTACCAAAACTAAGATGTATTAGATGTCCGGACAGCTCCTGAAAATAATTACTTCTCTATGAAGTTGAAAATACACACACAGCAAATACAGCCCTTGGGAAGTTTGTTATTTCTTCCTAGTGGACAGTTTGTCTCCAAATGCAGTTAATATGACATAATGAAAATTGTATTGATCATTAATAACACCAGCCTCAAAGTCAGAAACTTAGTAGCATCCTGCTCATTGTTGTTGCCACCACATTTTAAGAGTTGTAACTATTGTCACTTCAAGGAAGGTAGCTGATGAAGAGGGCTATTAGATAATCTGTAACAATGACTTGTCCTTTAGAAAGATAATAAAGTTTCCACTTCTGGTTCAGGATAGCAGACTGAGCACACATATCTAAATTCCCTGCCTTCCAAGACCCTATTACTATAAATAGTAGCAAAGCAATAAACTCTTAAGAGTGAAGAGAATAGAAGGAAGAACTTTCTGGAACGTAGCAAAGACTAGAAGCCTATTGATAGATAAAAGAGAATAAAGAAGCAATTTCTAGAAGGAGATGCAGCAAAGAAGAGACAATCTGCCTGGCCAAAGCCCTGACTGAGCTACACGCCGAGCCAGCAGGCATAGTGGAAGGCAAAAATGAAAAGCGGGTAGGAGAGAGTCAGAGAGTTACTTCAAAGCCTGTCCCTTAAATAAAGGCTCCAGTCATGAGCACTCCACCCTATCCCAACATTAAGACTACTAGAGCCCAGTGTCTTAGCCAGATGTCAACTACCACACCAGTTATTTCGGTAAATCAAGCTGATCCCCCGTCCCCTTCTTATAAATGGACAACCAAAGATTAGAATTATGCCAGTTAAAAAAAAGATTTGGAGAATAAAGTCACGGAAGTATCACACAGCATAAAACAACAAAACAAAAGCTTGGAAAATGAGAAGGAAAGCAAAACAGAAGATCTGTTTGGGAAATCCAACTTTTCTGGAGCTCCAGAAAAGAGAAGAGTAAAAATGAAGGTAGATAATTAGCAAAACATAACATTTATTGAGCACATACTATTTGCCAGGCACTTTATGGAACTTTCTAAATATTAACTCATTTAATTCCCACATGAACTCTATGCAATATAATAGTGTAGTAATACTATTAATATTCTTATTTTTCAGATAAGAAAATGTAGGGAGGCAAAATTATTTTTTAACATTTTAGTGTTTTTGGCTGGGCTTGAGAATTAAATTGACACAAAGATCAACAGGAGAAAAGCATACAAATTTATTTAATACAAGTTTTACATAGCAGGGGAGCCTTCATAAGGAAATGAAGACCCTAAGACACAGAAAGAACACATATACTAAATTGGACAAAGAGTAGTACATTGTAAAAATGGGACAAGGCAAAGGAGTTTGGGCTAGGGTAATTGGGTAGAGAAATGACTAGGAAGATAAGGGTGAGTTTAACAAGGTTTACTTGTCTAGATTTCCCCTCACCTCAAATTCCTGTGCTTGGTAAGAATGATGCTTTCCTTCTGGTATAGGGAGGATATCTTTTACGTAGGAATTTCATCTCCTGCTTTTGAGAAAGAGAAGGAAGGTCAAACTGTTTTTCTTGCATCTGCTGTTTTTCAAGTGCCTTTAACTCAATATAGTCAATATGCCAGAGTGGCATTTTAGAGTAGCATGTTCTGAACTCCTTTGAAAGCAAGCATGGAGTTGAAATAACGTGCCCAAGGCTAGAGTGAATAATTGGCATTTGCACCCAGCTAGCCTGACTCCAGTGCATATACTCATAACCAGTACTGTATAGTACTCTACACAACCTCTAAAATAATAACAAAGTTTCCCTACATAAAATGCATTAAAAGGGTCTACTGGGTGCTTCTAAGTGTGAAGGGGAAAAATATGCACACCCTACATATCATTACAAAATTGCAAAACAGTCATCATCAACAGAAGATTCTAAAAGTTTCCATAAAGGGATAGAAAAATAAGTCACCATCTAAGAAATAAGTATCAACATGGAATCAGGCAGCACTGATGCAAGAGTACAATGGAGTTAATATCTTCAAAGTTCTCAGGGGAAATACTTTTTGACCTAGAAAAGGGAATTTATTTGGCACGGATACTAAACCATTTTTTTTCAAGTGGCACTGGGCATTACACCCACTGAGAAGGAAATGAAGTCCTGGCACAACATTTGACCCTTAAATGAACAAAATGTATGTAATTATGTAATACTATGCATGCTGTTTAGTAGTTTTCAACTTTTAGGCTCAATCTATAGACACGAGTTTAAATATGGTTACACAACAGAATGTATCTTAGCAGCTTTAATAAGAAAAGTAAGTGCACAACTGATAGAAGATGAGAAGTAGAAGAGAAGAAGGGTGCTAACATCATTATTTGCAATATAGGTAATCAGTTGATACTATCCAGTGGGGGTGAAACAAGGAATAGATGTTTAAGGTGAAAGGTCAAAGGAACCAGTCTAAAAACCAAATTTCTCTAACCCTGGCTTATTTACTGAGCTTCAAGTTCACATATCCAAACACCTACTTAACATCTCCTCTTGGATAGCTAGTCACCTTTTCAAACCTGATATGGCTGGAATAGAATGTTTCATTTCCTCCATCCAAACTTATCCTCCACTAGTCTTCTCCATCTCAGTGAATGCCACCTCCACTCTCCCACCAGGTGTTCAAGTTTTGATAAGCTAGAAGGCATTATAAAACTCTCTCCTTTCACTCCCTGCCCCCACATTCAATCCATCAGCAAATTGTGACACCTCTATCTCCAAAATAGACCCCAAATCTATTCCTTTCCATCTTCACTGTAACCAGTGCAGTACAGCTGCTATTACCCTGCTTCCTTTCTTCTTTCTCCATATATGTTTTCTGCATCATTGTCAAAGGATCTTTTTAAAAACACATGTGATATTCTCCTCCTTTAGATTCTCCAGTTACTTCTCAACGTTCATAGAATAAATTTCAAATTCCTCACTATGGCCTACACGGCCCTTTTTGATCTGTCAAATTTACCTACATTATCTTCTATTGCTCATAATGTGAGGATTTAGAGACAGAGAATATAACTCAGACCAAGGAGGTAGAGACACTCTCTGAAAGTTAAGCTTGTTTCCAAACCAGATTTATGTCTATGTACTTGTTACTGTATTTCCATATTTTAATTATATATTCTTGTAAATTAAAATCTGAATAAGAAAAGAAAACAGTTGTTTCTATAAAACATTCAAAATTGAATGTACAGACTTGATAAAAGGTCAATTGCTAACTTTAAAAAATGCTACTTAGGTATAGGCAAAATAACTAAGAGGAGTTGGACTGAATTTTTAAAATCTTGAAGGATTTTGCATTCATTTTGCTTGAAATTTGTCTTTACATTTTCATTCTGTGTGAAAGAAATAGAAACTGGAAATGATGCATTAGAAGTGTGGTTTGTACAAGAAACACAAAGTGGAATTCCAGTCAGTGGACACCTCCTCAAAGAAAATGGCTTGGCATGCCAATAAAAATTTGATGAACTGGTTAAAATATGTATCTACATATGGCATATGATTTTTTGCTTTAACTTTCTTTGGTAGCCAACCAGTCCCTTCCACATAACGAGCAGTTATGGTACTTCAGCTACTCAAGTTGAAGGGATGTAGAAGAGTGGTGAAAGATGACACTGGAGCGATGGGCTTTTTCTGGGTTCATAAGGCAGGGCTCAGTCATTTCATAAGGGATCCCCCAAAATCAGGGTCTGTAGATCTACTTAATTTGCCCAGAGAGAAATCCTCCAAACCTCTGCCTAGGATGGAGGACAGAAAATCCAGGAGTCCCATAAGCAGTCCTCTGCAACATCACCTTGTCCCGCTGCCCCATGCTCCCTGCCTCAGAGGTATGTGATGCCTCCCGATTCCCAGGCACTCCTGGAATGCTGTGGCATTAATTGGCTTAATTTTTACCCCATTCCCTTCCCCCATAGCACTTAACTTCCAGTTTTCTGCAGTTTACTTGAGTCTATTGCTACTTATCCATCTGTTTTCCAGCTTCCAAATTTGTTAAAATCTTCACTCTTATTTAGTTCTTTTCTTCCTTAAGGACGTAAGCCCTCTTAAATTTCTGTAGTGTGATTGTACTGGGGCTTGGGGAAAGAATGGGGGAAATGCACATTGAATTTGCCATGTTTAACTGGAAATCACAGCAACTTTGTCACCATCAACACTTCTTTTATAATATTGGTTCAGTATTAAACTTAGTATTATGTGAACCTGAACCCATTAAATTTAATCATCCTGTTTTGCTCAATTTATGAAGTGAGAATAATTCCTACTTTGCAGGATTGTTGTGAGAAACAACACGTAAAGTGCCCAACACAGTGTTTGCTACATAGTAGACAATAAATGGTAACTGTTTCTATTATCAGTTATTGCATTGTACTAGGTTATGTGTTGAGTTGAAATTTAGCTCAAGAACCTGGCATGATTCTCTCTCTGTTCTTTTATTGGTATTTCTTTTTCTTTCTCTGTTCTTTTGTTGGTATTTCTCATGGCCAAGTTCATTATTGTATCCTAGGGTCTAGTACAATGCCCAGATTCAATAAATATTTATTAGTTAAATGATAATTATACATTCTTCAACAAAGTCATAATGTAATTTAAAGTAACATGTACTGCACAATATAGGCCTGCAATTTATTCATATTTCAGGTATTTGGATATTAGATGAAAGTGATTTTTAAAAAACAAAATATTTTAATGTAACATTTAAAAATATGTATATAAACTAGTCTATATGTGCCAGATTTTTTACCATAAGCATATGAACATGCACATAAACATGCACTAATATGTGCATATAAATATGCACTAATACCAATTAAAAGTCATCTCATAGTCATTCTGTTCCATCAGCCCACTTAATTACGCCTGGACTTTGGCATTTCAGCAATGTTATCTTGTGCCGACAATTCAAAGTGCTCTTTATGTCTTCTACCACACACAATTTCCTGGCTGCCATCCACAGTCAGTTAACAAACAGCTATGCTCCATCATATTTGAGTCCCTGTAAGAATAAGTGTTCACATTTGGTTTTATATAATAAAACTTTATAAATTGGAAAGCCTAATCTAATATGTGAAGGGGGTATTTCGTACTTAAATAAAACCTTGCTGATTATCAACAACTTGATATTTCAATGTTCTTTTGAATTGCAAATTCAGATATAGTGGTAAAATTAATTTTCTAAAATAGGTTTTAGTTTGTGTTGCTTCTTTTGCACCAAAATGTAACAACAATTTTTTGCTACAGTTATGCTTTTTTCTTTTTACTGTATTTTGAAAATCTATACTATTATTTTTATATTAATAGTCTTTATATATAAGATCAGAATACTGAGAAGAGTGGGATTTAAGAGAAAAATATTACTGGTGAATGATCTTTAAGCAGACACAAAGAATTAAGAAAAGAACATTTCTCAAAGTAAAACTCCTAAGTTCTCACCAATAGAAGCAGCAAATTGTATGTTTGAATAAATCCTGGCTTTGCTGATAAAATATAAATGGTTAGATAGCAACTTGTTTAGAAAATTCTAATTTTAATTAGATCAAGTTTCCAAGAAACAGAGAGTGGATTTCAAACATTCTTCATGGACTTTGCCTTATTTTTTGCAGTTCTCATCAAATGAGGCTTCTTTCAAGTAATTACTTTGGGTACAATTTGAATTCTTAAGTAGAGTAACCACTAACAATCTGAATATCTTCTTTGATGTTTTCATGTTTAGATATTCCTCACTATTGTGGGCTTCTGTAAATGTCTCATATGCCTGTATAAATGAACACAGTCATTATGTTTAATTTTAATAGGTGTAATGCCTGAATAAGGAATTTCCCTTTATAATAACTCAGATTCCTTTCTCCCCCCTTTATTTCCGTGATGAAAAAGAAATCTTTTTTTTTTTTTTTTTGAGACGGAGTCTCGCTCTGTCGCCCAGGCTGGAGGGCAAGTGGCGTGATCTCGGCTCACTGCAACCTCTGTCTCCCGGGCTCAAGAGATTCTCCTGCCTCAGCCTCCTGAGTAGCTGGGATTACAGGCACCCACCATCATGCCCGGCTAATTTTTTAAAAATATTTTTTAGTAGAGACAGGGTTTCACCAAGTTGGCCAGGCTACTCTTGAACTCCTGACCTCAGGTGATCCACCTGCCTTGGCCTCCCAAAGTGCTGGGATTACAGGCGTGAGCCACCATACCCAGCCAGAGAATTATTTTTAAAGTTATTATTTGTGAGATTATGGAAGGTTTTAGATTACTATTTAAAAGATTCATTTTAATTGATTTGACTTCCTTCTGAAATATTTGTTTTAGTTATTTGCATAACAAGCTACCTCAAATTTAATTGCTTAAAACAACAATCATCTTATTAGCTCAATGTTCTGCAATCTTGGCTGAGTTCAGCTGGGTAGTTCTTGGTCTGGTCAGTGATGGTCACTTGTGTGGCCACATTCACTTGGCAGATGGACTGAGGACGGGACTCAGCTGGGATGCAGGAATGACTGGGCCTCTCCTTCTCCAGGTGGTCACTCCACGTGGTTTCTCCAGCAGGGTAGCTGGACTTCTTACTCCCAAGAATGCAAAAGCAGAAGCTATAAGGCTTTCTTAAAGTTTATGGCTAGTACTGGCATAGTGTTACCTCTGTCATATCCTGTTGGTTAAAGCTAATCACAAGACCAGCCCACATTTACGGGGAGGGGACTATATAAGGATTTGAATACTGGGAGGCCTGATTCATTGGGGCCACCAATTTAACAGACTACCACAATACCCTTCAACAGTCATTTAAATGAGAGTTTAGGAGTAGCCAACTCTTCATCTTTCATTGTCTGAAAATGTCTTTAAGTTGCCCACACTCTTTAATGAATGAAAGCACAGCTAAATGCAGAATTCTGGGTTCACAATTAATTACCCTTTACACTTTGAAGATATTACTCCACTGTCTCCTGGATTTTATTGTTATGTCAAGTCTGCAGGCAGTTCAAATTCTTTGAGGGTAATCTGTTTCAGTATAAGATTTTTAATTTCAAAGAGAGCCTTTCTATATAAAAAGGTATTCATAGTTACTTATGATTTAAATATTCCAGTTTGAACATTATAAATTTGAAAAATATGTTTCAAGTCTTTAATTTTTAAATACTGTATAAAATAAGAACAGCATCTTTCACTTGTTTGACATTTAACTCAAGTTGAACAAATGAAATATACCTTAACAATGACTCATTTACGAAACAAAGTCAATTAAATTCTGTTAGCATTTTAAATTGCAAGTTTGTTGATTTAATTATGTTCTGTTTTCCAGAACTACCATTCAACCAGCAATCACATTACTGGGTATATACCCAAAGGAATATAAATAAAGACACATGCATGCATATGTTCATTGCAGCACTATTCACAATAGCAAAGACATGGAATCAACCTAAATGCCCATCAACTGTAGACTGCTTAAAGAAAATGTGGCACATATACACCGTGGAACACTATGCAGCCATAAAAAGGAATGAGATCTGGTCCTTTGCAGGAACATGGATGGAGCTGGAGGCCATTATCCTTAGCAAACTAACGCAGGAACAAAAAAACCAAATACCACTTGTTCTTATAAGTGGGAGCTAAATGATGAAAACACATGGACACAAGGGAACAACAGACACTAGGGCCTGTTGGATGGTGGAGGGTGGGAGGAGGGAGATAATCAGGAAAAATAACTAATGGGTACTAGGCTTAACACCTGGGTGATAGAATAATCTGTACAACAAACCCCCATGAGACAAGCTTACCTATACATAACAAACTTGCACATGTACCCCTGAACTTAAAACTTTAAAAAATAATAGTTACTATATTCTGTTTTCTTCTCAAATACTTCAAACATCTTTACAAGAAAAACTTAAAGCTTTGACAATCAAAACATTTCCAAATCCTTAAATAATTTCTATAAATTCAATAAATTAAACCTAATAAATCTTATAAAACCTAATAAACCTTGTGGCTACTGTGGGCTTACTACCTATGGAGCAGCCCTGTTCCACAAGAAGAAAAAAAAACCTAAGAAAACTTGCAAAACCTTGTAAATCTAATAAACTCAGATATCTTAAATATTTTAATACTGTTTATAAACTTAATCAGATTTCCCTAAAATTGTCAGCACAACACTAGTATTTGATCAAAATTTTTTTGACATAATGTACTAAATAACAAATTACAGGTTTAACTTTCTTTGCTTTCTCATCTCTATATTTAATCCCAAAGTTTCCCAGAATTAAAAAGGTTTACCAACCATTTACTTTAGTAGTGTGTAAATCCCAGAAAATTGGTTTTGAGTATTAGTAAAGCATTAAATTTGTTTTATATTGGTTTTGAAAAGAAGCCACTCTATAACCAGTCTTTACTTGTTACACTATAAGAAAAATTGTCTGATATGCTATTTGTATTTAATCTGATCCATGGCTAGGTATTATTGTGATTATTACAGACAGTGTTAACTGACAAACAAAAATTGTTTGTATCTATACAAAACATCCTTACAACATGATGTTTTGAAATATACATTGTGAAGTGGCTAATTAAGATGTTTATTACCTCACATACATTATTTTTATGGTGAGAACACTTAAAATCTATTATTTTAGCAATTTTCAAGAGTACAATACATTAACTATGGTTACCTTGTTGCACAGTCATCCCTCAGTAACCAGGGGATTGGTTTCAGGACCCCTGTGGATACCAAAATCCACAGATGTTCAAGTTCCTTATATAAAGTAGTGTAGTATTTGCATATAACCTACGCACATCTTCCCATATACTTTAATCTCTAGATTACTTAGAATACTTAATACAATGTAAATGCCATGCAAATAGTTGTTATCGTGTTTTTTATTTGTATTATTTTTGTGGTTTATTTTTCCTGAAAAGTTTTAATCCATAGTTGGTTGAATATGTGGATACAGAACCTATGGATAGAGAGCACCAACTGTACATTAGATCTTTTAAACTTACTGTTCCTTTCTAACTGAAATTTCGACTCCTCTGACCAACAAAATCTCCACTGTCCTGCTCCTTCCAGAGGGCTTTTAATGATGACAGATTTTGCTTTACGCAGTTCACTTACTAAAACATCACTATAACTTAAATTCATCTTATGTAGATCTCCTTGCAGTAGGTAGATGTAAACTCTGTTGTCTGAGGATTTTTCAGATGTGGAAATTGCTGTCATCTGATTTTAACCCAATAGAAAGCATAGCATATACATTTCCAGTTTGGGGCAGCTTATTTGCCCCAACTGTTACTGTCACCTTAGGCAGCTGTAATGTTAAACAACCGTCCCTGATTGTTTCGGATGAATACTTGGTCGTGGGGTGAGGCAAGGGCAGGGTGGCAGGGGTGCATAATTCACTTTTAGGGCTCTGAGTCATGTCTATAAAGACGAACCCTGCAGGCCAGGTTAAATAGTGACAGTTCTCTTGAGTTGGTATTTGTGAGACACTCCAAACCCCTTCCGCTTCTTCCAGTAGTTGATAGGCTTCTGGTTTTCATCATAATTGCAGGGCTCTTGGTTTTCAAGGCTTCTGCAGAGGGGAGATTGGGAGTGGGGGGAGGGGGAAACTGCATGAGTTAAAATGTCATCAAACTTGCTTTTATTATGAAGATTAAGCCATTTTTCTTGAATAAATGCTCCTTAGATTATTGCATGCCTTTCGTTAATCTCCAGAGTTCTAAAAAAGTTGATTTTGATGACTTTTGCCAGTGTATTCATTGCTTTTGTGGAGGAGCAGCTTTTTCAAAGGTCCTTAACTCTGAAATTACCACTGATGTTCTGTCCCATTAGTTCCCACGTTACAAATATCTCCTTCCAATCTGCCATCTCTATTAGCTTTGCCCATGGTGTCTTTCATCGAGCAGTTCTCCTATGTTTTTTAATATAATCAAGTTTTTACCTTATGGGTTGTGTACTGGCTGTTTTAAGAAGGGTTTTTCCTACCCTTAGGTAAAGAAAGTTTTCTCCTACATTTTCTTATCTTGATTTTATACTTTTACCTTCCATAATTAGGTCTTTAATCTTAGAGTCCACCATGCGCGCACTATTAAGTAGGGAATCAATTCCACTTTCCAGCATAGAGTGAACCACTTTTCTGAAAACCATTTATAAAATAATCTGCACTTTTCCCATTTACTTATAGGACCTCCTTAATTTTATGTTAAGATTCCATATATAAATGAGTTTGTCTGCAAGCTCTCTGTTACGTTACTCAGGTTAATTTTCAGTTCCTGGATCAGTACCAAAATATTTTAATTATATGGATTTTTAGCTGGTCTTAATATCTGATATGGAAAGTCTCAATTATTCACCCTTCCTTCAGAGCTGATTTATGGGATTTATTTTTCTATTTAAACATTGAAATGTATGACATTGCTCAAAATATCCAGCTAGAATTTTGATTAGGTTGTGGTGACATTATATATTAATTTAGGAAAAAGTCACCATTATAATAAAATGCTATCATCCTATTCAAGAGCATAGAATGTCTATTCAGTTCTACTTTTAGGTCTTTAACAGAATTTAAATTTTTTCTCTATAGAGATCTTGTGAATGCTTTTTTAATTTCTAGAAACTTCATACTATATAGTTTCTGTTTCTACTAAGAATATATGTTATTTTTCATTATATCTTCTAGTAGGTTATCACTATTGTAGAGAAATGCTCTTGATTTTTGATTTTTATACATTTATCCGATGTCTGTTTACTTTGCCATACTCTTATTCTCATAATTGATGGACTCTTGTGGTTTTTCTATTCAGGTAATTATATTACCTACAATTACTTTTTTTTTCCTCCTTTGTAATCATTGTACTACTTTTTTCTTTTTTATAGTATTCACCAGGGGCTCCATTAATGTTAAACAATAGAATTTTAGTTCTGAGTTTTTACAGGTATAATACTTAGAATTTTCTGTTCTTTAATCCTTATCTTTTTCAGGAAACAAAAATTTTTGTTATTTTCTTCCTTATATATCAGACATCCTCTTTGATTTATTTCTAGTCTTGAATTCTTCCTCTAGTTTTTCAAAGTAGGTCTGTTTTGGGGGGAAATCATCTGAGGCCTTCCTTTCCTTCCCATGTTTTTGAAATTTTGGCTTCACAGTTAAATGAAAATTTGGTTGGATATAAAAACTCTAGGCTTAAAGTGCTTTTCCTTTTAATATTAAAAAAATTAATTATCTTGTGTCCAATGTTGCTATTGAGAAATTTGATATTAACCTGTTGTTACTCCTTCATAATTTACCTCTTTGAAAGCATTTATAATTTTTCTTTGTCCCAGATGATGTTAAATTTCTCTATTAAATGTCTTAGATGCGAGTTTTTCCTTTATCTGTACTGCAAGATCGAGAGGAGAGTGAGAAACCCAACTAGGGTGTAAAATTTAAGGAGGCACTCACTCCCAGGGTCATGCAAGTGCCTCCTTAAAGTTTTGCATCCTTTGTGTCTCATTGCCTCATTTTTCTCCTGCCCCTGCTACCTGTTTGGTATTCTGTGAGCTCTTTCAATCTGAGGTGTTTGAGCTTTCTTTAATTCTTGGATATATATCATCATCATTTTCTCAAATATTTCCTTCCCTTCCCTCTATTTCTTCTTAGTTCTGGTGTTGATACTTCCACCTTCCATGTCTCTGAGCTTTTCTTTATTTCTTTATCCTTTCCTGCTGCCTTCTGGGACAGCTTCTCAGTCTGATTTTCTAGTTCATGATTCTTGTTGTCTAGACCATGTATTTTTTTGTTTCAACTGTTATATTTTTTATTTCTAACATTTTTTGTTATTCCTTTTTATGACCTGTTCTTGTTCGTATTAACAATACTTTGTTCTGTATCTTTGAGGATATTTGTTATGCTTATTTTAAATTCTTGGTATATTGGTTCTGATAATTCTCCTTCACACAGTATATGTTTTAAAATTTTCTTTTATGGTCAAATTTATGGTAGATCATATTCCCCTAGGGGAATCAGTAGGCCTGTGCAGACAAAGGCTGAAGACCAGGGTCTGGTTTGTATGTCTCCCACTAAATTTGAGGAAAGAAAATGAGGCTCAGGCCAGAGAGCTTCTGGTATCACAAAACCTATTTAGACCATTGTTAATTACTGTCACTCTACTAGGCTGGTCATGTAGTCAGGAATCCACCCTACCACCCTTAAACTGTTAAAAAAAAAAAAAAAAAGGCATCACTGAGATAAGTCAGTATCTTGATGTTTTTAATTCACCAGCATTGACGGTTGCTGGGGGAATGTTGGAGGAAGAAATGCCCAAGGGGGCAACATGTACCCATTTTCATCAGCTCGTTATCCTGGAGGGACTTCTGCGCGCTTCTGCTATTACTGTATTGACAACAACTGGCTAGGCAGTTGCTGCCAGTTTCTGTGGCCCTGGGCAAGCATGATCTTCCCAAGGCAATGTGAGGGAAAGTCAAGAGCAGATTTTAAAAGCTCTCCCACAACTTATTCTTCTTGGCTACATCTGACCTTCCTACCCTCCAGTCCAAATTGCCACCAACCCTTCGTACCAGTTCACTAAAGCCTTTGGGTTTCTCACAGTTTTTTTTTGGTAGCTCCGGTTCCTGCTTCCTTTTCCCTTCCATGGTTTCCCCTTTTGTCAAGATACAAAAGAGCTGGCCCTTTGCTAACTTTGAAGACTCCATAATTTGACCCTAGCATCCTAGAGACTTCACAAACACTGCCCTTAATTTTCACAATTCAAAAAGCAAATTATTGTTTTCTTCATTTTAGAGAGGAGGAAATAGAATTTCAATGAAGTTCAGTGATTTATTTCAAAGTCACACAACTAGGAAATGTGGTAAAGCCAGAATTTGAAAACATGTCTATTTTATTACCAAATGCATGCTTTGGATACTTCATTACCACCACCTAATTAATGCCTAAATTTAGAGCCGCTTCATTCTGTCTATACACGAAGTTATGAAACTGTGTCCGCACATACTAATGTTCTGTGAGTTGGACCATGATATTCATAAAAAAAATGGTCATCTTTTCCCACTTGGTGGAAAAAAATATAAATTATAGATAGAATTTTCTCAGTGTCATGCTTATTAAATCTTTGCACTACTGTTTTCTGTTTTCTAGCAAGTTCTAAAAGAAAGGTAATGATTAAGTAGAAAATGAGTTTTGAGCAGTTGATTGCAATTAGAAATCAAGAAAATGTTAACAGTTAACTTTTTTTATACTGCTAACTGGGAAAAGATTGCCATTTTGTAACATGTAATGTATAAGTATTTGAATATTAGTCATGCTTGCTAATAAAATTAGTTTATAACAATGTCTGAATATCAAAGTGAATTCATGAATGCTTAATACATGTAAATTTACTAACATTTTTTCTTATGTATTCCTCTAATTTTAAAGGTGTGATTTTTAAAAGTTAAATTTTATTTTTTAACAGTTGATATAAGCATATGGCACAAAATTCAAATGGTACAAAAAGATATACAGTGAAAACTGAATCTACTTCTCCCCACCTCTGTCCTCCAGTCACCCAGTTCTCTTTCCCTACAGTCACCACTGTTACCAGTTTGTTACATAGCATTTCACAGATATGTTCGTTGTACATAAACTCTTACGTACTTTTTTTTTTTTTTTTTGAGACACAGTCTTGCTCTGTCACCCAGGCTGGAGTGCAGTGGCGCGATTTTGGCTCACTGGAACCTCTGCCTCCCAGGTTCAAGTGATTCTCCAGCCTCACCCTCCTGAGTAGCTGGGACTATAGGCGTTCACCACCACGCCCAGCTAATTTTTTTTTTTTTTGTATTTTTAGTAGAGACGGGGTTTTCACCATGTTGGCCAGGATGGTCTCGATCTCTTGACCTTGTGATCTGCCTGCCTCTGCCTCCCAAAGTGCTGGGATTACAGGCGTGGGCTACTGCGCCCAGCCACATACATATTTTTTAAGGGAGAAATTTTTGTCCTTGATAGAATTTTACTTCACTAAACTTTTTTTATTGCCAGCAACAGTACTGAAAGTTGCTCTGATCTTTAAATAACCTTCTCTGCTGAAAGTAAAACTGAGTTTTAAAAATTATTTAAGATGTTAAACATACATGGAGCACAGACCAATATAATGAACTCATATACTCATCACCCAGATTGAAAGATTATTTAGAAGTGATTTTTAAAGGATTTCATACTCTTGCAAATTTTTCAGAACCCCTGTTATTGGGCGAAATGAAAAGAATTATGTGTTCAACTACAACTGCAGCAGCCCTAGAGTCTTCCAATTCCATTAGTGCTAGCTTCGGCATACAATTTCTACCCTGTGGCCACAGCCACTGGCCAAACTATAGATTCAACATAGAATTTCTCATACTCTTTCTAGTCGTGAAAAGTTAACAAATTATAGTTATGTTTTCCCTAAAATGTATTGGTATCTGTGTAAAAAGCATATCTAACAATTTTTTTTTTTTTCCTTAATGAGACAAGATCTCTCTTTCGCCCAGGCTGAAGCACAGTGGTGCAGTCATGGCTCACTGCAGCCTTGAACTTTTGGGCTCAAGCGATCCTCCCACCTCAGCCTTCCAAACAGCTGGGATTATAGGCACATGCCACCACGCCTGGCTTATTTTTTGTAGAGATGGGGTTTCACCATGTTCCCCAGGCTAGTCCTCAAACTCCTGGGCTCAAGCAATCCTCCTGTCTTGGCCTCCTCCCAGGGCATGCTGGGATTACAGGAATGAGCCACCATGCCTGACCATATTGTTGTATTAATATTAATTTTAGTTTTAAAAATTACTAATAATTCCACACGTGGGGCTAATTTGGTTGTTTTGATTTGGCTCTTTTCATGAAGAAAGAATGGTGAATCCATTCTATTTATTATTTAGATTGTGTAAATAATCTTGCATACTTCAAGAATTTAGTTTTGTTACCATATTTTATATTATTAATACTGATTATATGTCCATAAACAAATCTAATTTTTTGTCCTGACTTCACAAAATCTTTTTTTTAGTACCACTTGCCTCTCCTGGTACATCAGCAGAACTTCAAAACAATTTTATAGAATACATCTCTTTTATACATCAATATGATGCCAGAAAAACTCCGAATGAGCCTCTCCAGGGAAAGGTGAGGCAGTATTTAGAATTATTTAATACTTTAAGACAGAGTAGATTTGTAGAACTTTAAGCTTTTTCAAGTCATAATTATCTTTCTGTCTATTTAAACAAACTACTTCAGTTATTAATAGGATAGAATGTTAGCCACATACCATAGTAAAATGTAAGGAATAATACTATCCTGGTATGGTGGTGCCACCTGTAGTCCCAGCTACTCAGGTGGGTGAGGTGGGAGAGTTGCTTGAGCCCAGGAGTTCGAGGCTGCAGTGAGCCGTAATTGCACCACTGCATTCCAGCCTGGGTGACACAATGAAACCTCATCTCAATCAATCAATCCAAACATAATAATTTGAATCAGTCTTTGGAATTTGGTCTACTTAAATTATTGAAATAATTTGTGTAAAATAATATCAAAGCATGCTGGGCACAGTGACTTGACGCCTGTAGTCCCAGCTACTCTGGAAGCTGAGGTAGGAGGATCACTTGAGTTTGAGGCCAGCCTGGGCAACATAGCAAGTCTCATTTCTAATAACAATAATAATAATAATAATAATAATAATAGTAATAATATCAAAGCAGTTTGACAAATGTTTTGATATGCTTAATACATGTGTGTGGCAGGGAGATGCATGTAAGGTTTATAAAGCCAAATAGAAATGTAATTGTCAATTATTGGATTTTTTTCCAACTATAGATGTTTGCTTTCATATTTTATTATTACTTAGCTTTTCATCAGCGTTAATAGGCATTTGGGATGCAATCATAAATTCTTAGGTCTATGAACTGTAGTTTTTGTTGTATCCATAGCAATCTTTAGAGCAAGAAATGAAATTTGATGTGAATAGTCTTAAACAGTCCAAATGATAAAAAAGTTGAGAATGGGAGATGAGCTGCTACTTCTTTGACATTCTGCCTTTTTCCTTCCTGTTCATTTTCTGATGCACCCTATTTTATAATTTAAAAGGTTCACCCATATATGGTGGTGTCTAGTTTGGGACTGAGGTGACACCAATGAAGAGGCAGAGAAGTGCCTGCATCACTGACTAGGACTTGAGCTAACGCACAAATTCAGTTCACAGCTGCATCTTCCAGCAATCTGCGTTCTCCTGGTTAATGTCGACTTTGTTTTCTTTTCCAGAGACACGGAGCTTTTGTACAGAGAGAGATAAAACCAGGCAGTAGGCCAACAGTTCCTAAAGGAGCAGAGGTATTACTGAACACTCCAGGGTCACGTTCATCAGAACAGTCCAAAAAAACAGAGAAAGGAAACTCAGCGGAAAGCAGAATGATCTCACCAGGTCTCTGCCAACAAAATTCTCAGGAGCTGTTAGAGCCTAAAACTCACTTATCAGAAACAGACGTCAGACAGGCAGCCAAGGCATGCCCCAGCACTCCTGAGAGCAGAGAAAAGACCTCAGGCGCCACTCAAACAACTGTAGGAGATGCTCTTTTCACTAGGCACAAGCCTTTAAATCCACCAATTAAAAAATCAGAATAAATTACCTTCTTCAGATAAAAATCTAATCCCTGGAATATAGGGAAATTTCACAATCATCATCTTGGCCCTCACATTTACTTTTCTGTTATCAGTAACTTCAGAACATACAATTTATGTAAATGGAAAAAGAGAAAAAAGACAATTAAAATACAACCAAATGTTATTAATAAGAGTGGTCTCCAATAAGTGGAGTGAGACATTATTTCTATGTCACATTCTTTATGAACACAACTTTGTTTTGCACAACACATGATCGTAATTAACAAATATAATACTTTTAGAAGAGAGGCCCTGTTAGACATGAGTGGACAGCTTTGGAATCAAACAAACTAGAGTTGGAATGTTGGCTTCACTTCATTCCTTGAGCTGTGTGACCTTGGGTAAGTAACTTAACCTCTCTAGACTTCAGTTTTCTCAACTGTAAAATTAGGAAAATAGCAACTTCGTAAGATTATTGAGGATGTGATTATGCACATTGATCAGTAAGTGGTCAATGTAATCATATCATCACTGCTACTATAATTCAATTTTCAATTTAAGGATAATGTTCTCTTATATATTTAATTTTTCCTCATTATTCTAAAACTTAGAACTCCTCCATATATAATTAAAAGTGTGAAAATCTAAAAATACTTCTGCCAGTACAAGATGCACAGACACATACACACTTAATTCAAAGACATATGGGTACTTAGAATATTGAAGTATTTTCTAAATTGTTTTCTATTTTACTCAGATCATTTCTAGCACCAACTCAACCTTTGCTTTTTGGATGAGTTTGGTAAGGATTAATTCTACTTCCAATTTGGTGTGTTTGGTGTGCCAAAATGTATCTATTATAAGATATGTTATATTGCATACAAGTGGAAGTAGGTGGAGTATTCCTCTGTTATAAAGAGTATTTACAAATTTCCATTGGGAAATATCAGCTGCTCACTATTATCTGCAGTATTGATAAGACTACAGCTATATCTTTATCCATTTATTCTCCATTAAAGAAATTGTGATAAACTGCAAAATAATGAATGTCATTATATTTTTTTGTGTTGGGGACTTCTAGTTCTTGCCACATATATATCTCCAATGTATATCTTGGAGATCTTTCCTTGTCAACATATGTAGGCAACCTTGTTATTTTAATAGCTCCATAGTCTTCAACACCATAGGTATACTACTATAAAATTGGAAAAATTAGAATGCAAGTTTTGGTATGAAGACAGGGAAGGGAGAGGTTGTTAGCATGTTTGGAAAAAGGTCTTAAAGCCTAGGGACTTGAATTTTTATCCTCATTGGAACAGGGATGGAAACTTATGTCCTCCAAAGTAGAAAGATAGAATTGAAATCTGCATAAAGCTAGAACTCTCAAATGGCTGGCCTGTCAGTACAAGGCAGACTCCACTCCACTCATATAACCAGGAAGATAGCAAGAAAATTTGCCTCTGCCTGGAGCTATGGATAGTGAATAAACTCCTTGTGAAAAAGTAAAACCCCAAGCTTGTACCATGCTCCAGTTAGGAATATGAATTTACATGTAAGACTTCTCTTAGGACACAAAACCAAAAAATTCCTCTAGTGATACCACTGAAGTCCCTGACAAAAGCAAATGCAAACCCTCCCTGGAGAGAGTTTCATGATCAACACAAAAAAGGAATCCCTGTTAAAGATAGTCACAAACAAAAATTACAAATCACACCAAGAAGAAAACCAAACTGAGCAAGAGTCTGCAGTACAAAAGAATGACTATAATTTCAGAACTGGAGATAAAAGAATTAAAACATATAATTTCAAAACTGGAGATAAAAGAATTAAAACACTTTCAATTTGAAGATCCTTGGTTTTTTTCCACCTTAGAAAATTTTATTATGTTGCCTTTTCTGTTATTTCCATCCCTTCCATTCTTTCTCTTCCCTCTTTCTGGAACAGCTATTAGCTAAATGTTTGAACACTTGGATCTATCGTCTATGTCTCTCATTATCTGTCTGTGTGTGTATGTGTGGTTTTTTGTTTTGAGGCAGTCTCTCCAGAGCCAGGCTGGAGTGCAGTGCCTTGATCTCGGCTCACTGCAATCTCCACCTCCCAGGTTCAAGCAATCCTCCAACCTCAGCCTTCTGAGTGCTGGGATTACAGGTGTGCACCAACACACCTGGCTAATTTTTGTATTTTTAGTATAGGCAGGGTTTTGCCATGTTGGCCAGGCTGTTCTCAAACTCCTGAGCTCAATTTATCTGCCTACCTCAGCCTCCCACAGTGCTGGGATTACAGGCATGAGCCACTGTGCATGGCTCTCATTATCTTTCTCATGGTACTTCGCCACTAAGTAATGCAAGAATTCCGTGACACTTTCTACTAATTTGCTTTTCAGCCTTGTCTATTGGTATGCCAGTCCATTTATTGAAACTTAATATTTGACCATCTATTAAACTTAGTATATATTTAATATCCAATCTATACATGTTTCCTCAGTACATAAGACTCTTGCTCTATTATGGATATGATCATCTCTCCTAGGATATTGTAGTTATGCTTAAAATGTTTTGTTTGCTCTCTCAATTCTATTAACTTTTGTTTGTTGAGTGTGAACCTCGCACTCTGGGTATTGTACTTTTTCCCAAATGCTTCACGTCTCTTAATTGTCTACTCTTCTTGGATTATATGGTTTCCAGGTTATTATCAGTTTCTGTTGACTATAGCCTGACTTTGGGACAAGTTTGGGATGTAGACAGGAGCTGAACATGATTTGTCTGATGAGCTCTTTGGTCTTCCTGGGGGTCGGTAGCTACTTGGGCATTACCCTGCTTCTCCAGCCCCAGTGTATGATTTGATTCATGCCACAGTTACCCTGGCTTAACATAGCAGGGAAACAGAAAGGGAATGACTGGTTTGCTGCTCCACATGCAGTTCCCTAACTTTTCAAGTTGATAAATGGCCCAAGGCTTCTTCTACCTCTTCATATTCATTGACTCTAGGCTTGTAGTCCTATCAGACCTACTATCAGGTCATCTCTACACAGGTTAGGCTTTTGTTTCCTTTAGTTTTGTTCTTCTAAACGTGAGTTCTTTAGTAATATCTTTCAAAATTTATTTAAAAATTTTTTTTTCTGATCATAAGTTTCCCTGCTTTCTAACTCTATTAAAATGGATTTCATTATCTATATTTATCTACATTTTATGGACTTTAGAGGGCAACAGGGAGTGGCTGTGTGTGATCAGTCCACCATCTTGAGTCAATCTCTAATTTTCTAAATCATTTGCAAACTTAGTACTTTAACCATTAGGAAATAACACATTCTCTGCAACAGACCTCATGGTTGACTGACAAATGTCACTGAGGATTGACACAGTCCTTGTGTCCCACATAATTTAGAGGAGAATGGTCTGGGGTCATAAGCCCAGTGAGTGGTTCCTACCACAGGCTAGGTTGGTTCTCAATCTTTTCAAACATGAGGGCATCTTTTCTGCATTAAGATAAAAAGTTTATGGTTCCTCACAATGACTGAAAGTCATTGAACTTTCAGTATCCATTGTGTGGGAAATCTGTAATAAAATGCAATGATGATTTCCAGGTTTAAGTCTCTATTTTTTTAAATGCAAAGGGTGTGTCTCTCCAAAATGAATTCCATAGTCTATTAAAGTCATAACTGCCTGTCAGTACAAGTAGTGCTCTTAAATTTCACAAGAATATTTGAATGTTTCCAAGTAGTTCCCTTATTATTTCCAAAGAATGATAGCCTTTACCAGGATACAAGATCATTTTTCAAATTACAAAAAATAAAAAAGAAAACCAAACAAAAACAAAAACCATCATTTATTATTAAAGTCAAAAATACTTTAATGAAGGTGCTAATGGTTTCTAACATTGCTATTAATAGCATAAATTTGTATATGTTAAGTACTGAAGCATTTTAAAATCTATTATCTTATGTGACTCTTATAATAATCCTATGAAGCAGGGCAAATAATAATTGCATTTCACAGCTATTTACAGAGAACATAAATGATTTCCCCAAGTCTGCAGTTAGCAAGCAACTAGGACCAGATCCAGAGTTTCTCAATAACCGGTCCATTAATTCCCAGATGTTAACCAACAGGGCAATGCTGGCCCATAACAAATGAAAAAACAAGGATAGAATAAAGAAGTATCAAGACAAATAACTTCAATTCTTTTATTGAAGAGACTGCAACTTTACTGCATTTTGGGATTTAAAATACTCTTTGTTAGACTCCTTACTGCCTTAACGGACTACGTTGATGTTGGAAGCACCCATCATCCCGAACACAGATAAATGTAGGATAAAATATAACAGGAACATTTGAAATATACAACTAAGCACTAAAACAAGAAATTAAAATCCTCAGGTGCCAGAAATGGAGAGAACACAAACAAGCAATGAGCAAGAGGTGAGACTAAATAAGCAATTGCAGAGTTGGAATCAGAGGATGAACTTGTGGGCTGAGATTTTAATGCCTGAGCTGGAATGGGAATGGAAGCCCCAGGTGCAGTGGAGTTGGAGCTGTGCAAAGAGCCAGGATCCTAGAAGAGCTTTGCTGCTGTGAAAATAATTCTGGGTTATCTCCTCCCATTAGCCTGGGAATTAGGGGAGGTAGTAGATTCATTACCACCTAGATGACACACCTACCAAACTGAGCTATGCACAGGAGTGGGGTCCAGTGTGTATTCATGAGAAGGAAATGCAAACCAAGAAAGCAACAGAAATACTGGTTTGAACCAGGAAACTTGAAGAACCCTGTTAAAAACAAACAAGAAATTGCCCCATAGTGACAATTAATAAGCCTGCACACACGAGACAATGTGGAAAAAAATCCCAAGATGAGATGGTTAAAAACAAAAACACAAGAGGAAAGAACAAAAACTTCCCAGGAAAGGAGTTAGCAGAACTCATATGCCAAGAATTACAGACAATAGAACAGATAGACTATATAAAGTAAGTATACTTAAAATGACTCAAGACATAAGAGAATACAAAGTATACAGAAACCTCTTGCTTCTGCTCTCACCATGTGATATGCTGGCTCTGCCTTTGCCTTTGCCTTCTGCCATAATTGTAAACTTCCTGAGGCCTCACTAAAGCCAAGCAGATGCCAGTGCTGTGCTTCCTGAACAGCCTGCAGAACCATGAGCCAATTAAACCTCATTTCTTTATAAATTAAACAAAAAGTATACAGAAAGACCAGAACACCATAAAAATAGGCACATTTGGGAGGGAAGCTATAGAGATTCTACAGTTTAAAATGTCTAATTTTTAAAAAACTTAATTCAGTAGATTAAACATAGCTTAAGAGAAAATCAGTAAATTGGAAGATAGGACTGAAGAAATCTCACAAAATGCAACACAAAAAGATTTTTAAAATATTAATAGGAAGACAGAGAATAGAATGTTATTAAGAGTTCCAGAAGGATATTATACAAGGAACATGAGAAAAAATTTGAAACGAAAATGGCTATGATAGAGACTACTACTTGTTTCCCAATAGCCAGTCATTACCTCTGTCTTACTAATAAAATCACCCATTTTTAGCTGGAAATTTGGCTGACCAGAATAAAGACAGTATTTCCCAGCTTCCCTTGTAGCTGGGTTGACTATATTACTATGTTCTGGGATATAACCAGAGCAGCATGTGCAACTTCTAAAAATGTCCTTGAAGGGAGGATGTAGGCACTATTTTCTTTCTAGTAGCTGGAATTCAGCTGTGATAGTTTAAGGTTTTAGCCATCTTGCTTAAAATGGAGAAGCAATAAAATGCAAGGATCCTTGAGCCCCTGACATCATCAAACACACCTGGATGGCCTAATCTGTATGAGAAAGAAATAAACTTCTATCTTGTATAAACTACTCTGATTTAGGATTGTTGTTTTCTTTAATCGCTTGTAGCAAATTCTACTCCTAACTTATACAATGATTGAGCATTTTCTAGGATTAAAGAAAGATGTGAGTTTTCAATCTGAAGGGGAAAAATCAATTTTGAACTAGAAAAATGAAATCCAGACATAGACGCATAATAGTGAAACCACAGAATATCACATCTAAAGAGAAAAACCTTAAAAACAAATCAGAGATAAAAGAGCTCTTACCTATAAAGGAAAGACAACCATAATGTCAGCAGACTTCTCATCCACAACAATGGATGCAAGGCAGCAATGGAGTAATATCTCAAAAATACTGAAAGTAATAATGGTCAACACAGAACTCCATGCTAAAATAAACTATAAGAATGAGGGTAAAATATGGACATCGTCTGACATACACAGATTAATAGTAATTGCAAGCACTTAGATAATACTTATATAACTGTACAAGGTACTATTCTCAGTGCTATATAAATATTTTAACTCAGTAATCTCCAAAACCTCTGAAGTAGATAGTGTTAATATAACCATCTTAGAGATGATGAAACTAAGATACAGGGAGGTTAAGGTAACTTACCCAAGGTCACCCAGCTAGTAAATAGCCAAATTGGGATTTAAGCCCAGGCATTCTAAACTAGACTCCATGGTTTGATTAATCACTGTGCTTCATCATTTCCATGACTAATCGAGTTAGTTACTCACAGATCTTCACTGAAATATTAAAAGATGTCATTTAAAACATTTATATTAAATCTAGACAGAAAAAGTTAGGATGTAAGCAGAAAAGCAAGGCAAATAAATCAGTAAATCACACTGATTAACCTATATATTAACTATGAGGATGTTCTTTCATGAAATTATTCTGATAATAGATTCTAGGGGACTTTTTCCCTTATAGTTTCTTCATTTGGCAAAATATATATATCTGACAACCCTATGTCAGTTCCCCCAACCTCCAAAAAAAATTGGTAATTTTCCTGGTCTGTGAAATTCCAAAATCTGGAAACTATTGGTTTGATCTATTGTGAAACAGGATTTTTTTTGAAAAAGCAAATTTGCAAGGTTTATTACTGTATCATACAAAAATATATATATTTATTGGTAATTGGGTATTTGTATTCATGATGTAGGGAGGACAGGCAGCATGAAACCATTAGTCAGAATTGCTATTCTCTAAGGAACATGGCCCTAGGAAAGGGTATGCTATAAATCAAATGTAAAAAAGGAGAAGAAAAACCCTTTCCACCACAGAACTTCATTGCCAACTTAAGATTTATGGAGAAAATGCTTTTGGTCAGTAAAATATATCAGGATGCTCTATAATATTTCAGCCAGGAAGGCAGAGTCCGGTGCTATTCTATGGCCACAAAGCCAAAGATGGATTTCAAGAGATAGAGAAAATATGTTACTTTTTACTTACTTGCAATATTTTCTTTATTACAAAAATTTCTTCAAATTACTCTGTAAACTTTTTGAAGTCTGTAGATTGAGAAAACATTAGTTTTAATCTTAAGTAACCTTATAGGTCACATAATTTCCTCATTATCTAGTCAACCTTACACTAGGAGACATCCCCCAAAAAATGGTCCCCAGAGTTCTAGCTCTTTGTTTCACAATCATAAGCAAAAAGAGTTGAAGAAACTTATGACCTAACACAATTTTCATGACTAGAATATTAATTGTAGCACTAACAGAAATTGAATTTCCACATTTGGTTCTTCTGTAAAAACAATTTCATTTGTTTGCTTTTGCTTTTGTTTCTTTACAGTAGTTTCATCAGCAGCTTATGTATTTTGTTGTGGTAGGAGTTGTGGATAGTGGGAAGGTACTTTTAAACATCAGTCAATAAAGTTAAAATTTCTTTGAAAGCCATTAGATAGCCTATGATGTCTGGTATACATGGCTTTGTGTACAGTAATTCTTATATGCACTAGAAAATAACACTGAGCTAGAAGGACAAAAGGAAAAGCCCTGTCAGATGTCTGCTTGCAGTCTCCTCCATTGGGTTTCAATATGAGATTTCCATAACCCTAGTGCATGCCTATGCAATAAAGGATTAATCTGGCCCAAAGAGAGGTCTGGCCTTTGCTCTTGGATCCTGTGAGGTAACTTCTAAGACCTTGGAATGTCCTGCGTGAGAAGAGTGTCTTTGTTTACTTGGGGGCATTGAGCCATGCCAGATAGTCAGTGTGATTTATGGTGAGGGGTCTTGGGCCACATGGCATCTGCTTGACCTCCAGAGGGACTGGAGACTGAAGTCAGCCACACAGCTGTCAACCATGTCTTATATGACAAAGTCCAATAAAAACTCTGGACACCAAGGCTCAGGTAGTTTCCCTGATTGGCATTACTCCATGCCATGTATCATCACACATTGTTGTTGACAGAAGTCAGCACTGTCCACAATTCTGCTGGGAGAGTACAACTGGAAGCTCATGCTTGGAATTCTCTCGGACCCTGCCCTATATGCCTCTTTTATTTGCTGATTTTTAATCTGATTCTTTTACTGTAATAAACCATAATAATGTATACAAGAGCTCTGGAGTGAGGGAGTGAGTTCTGGGGTCCTTCTAGCAAATTATCAAACATGAGGGTGGTCTTGGGGACCTCACGCTTGAATTGGTACTGCATGCATCGTATGCACAAAGCATACCAGGCCACAGGAGCCTGCAGCCATCACACTGGGTCACAGGACAATTTTCCTCTCATGACAAGCACTTAACTCCTCAGTTACCAAAACACTGCGAAAGGCAAAATGTGTCAGGAATTTGTGTGTGGGGGTGTGTGTGTATTTGGTGTGTATGTGTGTCTGCCTGATGTGAAATGAACCTGGACTTACAGACATTTTGACTCATACCATCTAACAATAATCTTAGGAGGCTAAAAAAAAAATCCTTTACATCACTGGGGAGACAGCTTAGACCAAACGCTGAAAAATCTGGTTTCTAACCCTACGGCAGGTCTTGGAGCAGTTCATCTCATCTACATGAACATCAGTTTTCTAGTCCATGAAGCAAGAACAATTAGAGCAACTCTACTTGGGTTGTGGGTCATCTTAAGGATCACATTAAGAAAGAAAACTGATTTGAAAGTGCTTTAGAATTTGTAAAGCAACCAGATAGATGTACAGTTTCATTATCTCTTCACGAGCCCATGAAAATTTTCACTGGCAAATCAAAATGGTTGTTTAAATAACCAGGCCAATTCGTTGGTTACAGCAAAGCACTGTTTTGAAAGGAGGAAGAAGACTACTGAGTGCATTTGTTTTCTGATATATGATTTCCCAGGCCACAAGGTAGTTTGTAAACCAATGCCATGCTGACATTTTTCATCACACCAATCACACCAAAGTTGCTAGAGTTATTAAAAGAATTCAGTGAGGGGCATGAAGGGCATCCCCACTGCAGAACAGCCAAGTGAGATGTTCCTTCCTTCACCTTGCTTCTAACATTATTGCTGGGGAATTCACACAGTACAAAAACATAGAGTAATTCCATACTACTTTAGTCCTATATTTTGGTCTTGCCAACTATTAAGAAAAAGAAGTCAGCCAGGTGTAGTGGCTCACACCTGTAATTCTAGCACTTTGGGAGGGCGAGACAGGTGGATCACCTGAGGTCAGTTGAAGACCAGCCTGACCAACATGGTGAAACCCCATCTCTACTAAAAATATAAAAATTAGCCAGTTGTGGTGGCTTGTGCTTGTAATCTCGGCTTCTCGGGAGGCTGAGGCAGGAGAATCACTTGAACTCAGGAGGTGGAGGTTGCAGTGAGTCAAGATTATGCCACTGCACTCCAGCCTGGGCAGCAGAGTAAGACTCTGTCTCAAAAAAAGAGAAAGGAAAAAGACAAGAGAAAGAAAGAAAGTCAAAATTACATTTTCAGAGAAGGAAGCAGGAAAAAAGTTAAAGCTCCCTGCCACCTTTACAAGAGTGTTGTGGAAATTATAAAATGTTACTCATAAAAAGTACCTTGCAAATCCACTCAAAGGTGTATTACAATTATTTTTAGTACTAAAAAAAAAAACATGTAAAGACGACTAGTAAACTTGGAAATACAGAACTTGCCATACAGTTGACATGTTTTTTGGTTTTGCCATCCAGAGTTCTCTCAAGAGTCTGAATTGGGCAAGAACCGAAATAACTTCAAACACACAAATCTGAGTAGTTCTGCCTAGTGACTCCTAAGCTGACACTGGTTAGTTTGAACTGTGGGAAAAGTTGAAGCAGCCTGTTGATCTTTAGGAGAAAGTTCTGTTGCGGGGGCCTGCTTCCCTTGTGACATGCATGGAGAGGAAGCCTGAATGGAGGGGTGGGCTGTGACCCACCAAGGCCAGGATAGCAGAGTTCCTGACGTTCTCCTGAACTTCCTGGAAGTCTTGAGAGGTGAGACAGTCCCTGGAGGGGTAGTCTGCCCCCGTCAACTTTGGCCGTACCCAGGGTCGCCTGCCAAGTGAACTGTTTTTATTGTTAGCAAATGTCACTCCACCCAGGGCAGGATTTTCAAAGATTCCTTAGATGAATGGGAACTTCTGGTTGCTCCTTGTTTTCTGAAGTGTGTTATGACAGGCATTTGATCTGTTCCTTCTTTGTAATTCAGGAAAAATTCCTCAGGGCCTAGAGGGTGACCTTTAACAGAAAGCTACAGACACTGTTATTCCTTTCCAGGCAGTTGCAGGGCCCGATGGGTTGATAGATTAATTTTCTCACAGATGTGTCCATGTTTTTAGGCTGTTTAAGAAGAAAGAGGAAACATGTCACTGCTCTATTTCCTTGCTTGATTTTTGAACCCCCCACATGGGAAGATGGGGAGGGTTGAGAGAGGGAGGTGAAGTGCAGAGCTCAGTCATAGAGGAGACCCCAGGAAGCAAGAGGGTGTACCCTGCAGGTGCCACCACTGGGGCTGACACCCTTCACCAGGGTGCTGGCTCCTATTGGGTCTTTAGGGGGAAGGCAGGCCCATCCTTATTCCACATTCACCCACAGTCATCTTGGGCAGGCACATCTAGGCCTGGCTTCTGTTCTGGTGCGGTCCCAAGGGAATGGCCATGCATTGATGAGTTTGGTCCTCAGTTCTGAGTGGCCCTGGGGAAAGGGCTATACCCCACCCCCACTCCACACCAAAGGCAGCTGTCTGGAGTTTTCCAGCAGGGAGGCTGGGTGCCTGCAGGCATCACACCTGCTGTTGCAGTTCTCCACATCTTGCTTCTAGTAAATTTCAGACATGCCAGTGGTGGGCGAAGGCAAGGGCAGCCCAGGCGGCATCTCCTGGGAGGACAGCTTCAGTGCCAGAAACACAGTGGGTTGGCCAGGAAGCTAATCCCACAATGTGGGTGGGCACAGGAGTGGTTCCAGGCATGCTCCTGTTTGGGGAGCAGCTGCGCAGCTGTGGGAAGAACTGAGTCTATGGAAGCAGGAAAGCAGGTTTCCGAAGTCACGGCTCTGTCACTTGCTGGCTGTGTGACCTTGAGAATGCTACCTAACCCCTCCGGGTCTGGGTCCTTTATCTGTTAAATGATAATGTGAACAGCTACATCAGATGTCCTAGGAAGGAATAAATGAGATAGTACATGTGGTGGTGCTCTGACAACAATAGCTGCTAACGTTCATGGAACTATTCTATGAACTGTGTATGTTTTAGCTAGCATTCTCAGCAACCTTTTAAAGTAGGTCACTATTATTATAATCATTAAAATGGGACAGCAGATAAAGAATGTGGGGTGGAGCAGAGAGATTAAGAAACTTGCCTGTGGTCAAACTGTAACTATGCAGTGGAGCCGATCTTCAAGCCAGGTCGTCAGATTCCATGCCCACCCTCTTCATCACCAGCAATGATATTATGACGCAGGAAATGTCAGTGTTCATATTTATCATAAGGCTTCCTTCCTCCTTAGCCTCATCTTCAGTCGGTTGCTGGCATCTGCAGAGTGTACCTGTAGCCGTATTTGTCCCCTTGTTTTTATTATGTCACTCATCGTGGTGGTTGTAAAACACGGCCTCAGGCTTTTTGAAGCTCCTCCTATTGAGAGGTGGAGTCTGTGTCCCCTCTGCGAATCTGGGCAAGCTTGTGACTGCTTAGACCAACAGAGCAAGGCAGGAGTGATGACAGGAGACTTCTAAGAAGAGGTCATAAAAGTCCACCATGTAAGAAGTTTGACTACTCTGGGGCTGCTGTGCTGTGAGGTCATGCCAACCAGCAGTCTTGGCAGAGTCCAGCCTGCACTCTTCCCCAGGGTGCCAGGCACATGAGTGGAAAAGTCATCTTGGAAGTGGCCCTTGCAGCTCCAGCTCTTCTTCAGACCCAGCCACTTGAGCCCAGTCTTTTTAGCTAAGGCCCCAGATTAAGGAGGAGGGACAAGTCATACCTACTGCATAACAAAGTGGTGGTGTTTGCTGCTCTGTTTGGGGTCCTTTATTGTACTGCAATAGCTAACTGGCACTCTTGGTATGTTTCAAACCAGGGTCATCTCTACCTCCTACGTTTCCCCTCGTATAGTTCTGCTTTCCAGTTAATGGTGTCTTAGGTCACCAATGGGTCCCTCTGAGTCCTCTTTTCCATTCCCACTGCCCCGCCTTCCATAGTTCAGGACCTTACCACTCCCCTCATCCACAGGCAGTGGTCTCCTACTGACCTGAATTCACCTTCTCACACCCTGTCCCTTCTCCGTACTGCAGCTGGAACTGGTCTTTCCAGATGCACCTGAGTAGTATCCATCTCAGCCTTGCTTAAAATTGTGTAAGGGCTCCCCATGGCTGCTTGAAGGAGTGACACAACCTTCACAGTCGGGCAGCCCCTCTCCAACCAGCCACGCTCCAAGCCCAGCGCTGGCTGCTCAGTCTTTCCGGAACCTGCCGCGCATGCTTGTGTTTCTTTCCTTCCTCATGCTGCCGCCTGGGCTGCCCAGGCCTTCACACCCCCCATGGCTGTAACTTCTTACTCTTTCTCCAAGGCCTAGTGCCGATATCACCCTCTCAGAAGCTCCCCCTCCAACCCCGCAGCACAAATAAATGCTCCTTCATGGCCATCCTATCCTTCCCTGGTTTGTGTGTCGCTTTTGCAACACTTCCTGTCTCTATACTTGTTCCAGGGCTTGCCAGGTAGCCTTCCTGGGATATAATACGTGCCCTGCAAATGCTTCTAGGAGCTCCTCTGCTGCTGCCCTCAGAGAGTAATCTTCACCCTAGTATAATTAGTCTTCTTAAATTACAGCCCCAACACTTTGCCTCCTCCTCAAAAACTGTAGGTGGCTGCCTATTCAATAAAGACACAACTCCTTGGCATGGCATCAGTGACCTCCACCTATGTCCTTGGGCTGAAGGAGGCTTGAGTAATGGCCAAACAGTGGAAGTCTCCCAAAAAGTCAGGTGAGTTAGGGCTTTGCCTGCTTCTGTGCTGCTTCCAGCCCTCCCATCTCTTCCCTGCACCTGTTATTCTCCAGCAGGGCATCATCCTTGGTTTATGAATTTCTGCTCACATATTTATCTTCCTAATAGTCTGTTTCTCTTAGACAGAGTCTATTCTTCCCTTCCTTTATTCTGCCATTAAGTCTCCACATCAAGTCCCATGAATGCCCATGAGGTCATATTTATTCCTGGCTATTAAAATGACAAATTCACTTTCGTTATTATGTACTGCCTAGCCAATGGCACCCAGACTCCTGAGGTCAGCAGTGCCGTTTCTTACCTCCTTAGCCTGTACCGTACTGTGCAGCATGCCTGCCATGTTCCTTTCTCTCTTCTACTCCATACTCTCCATAGTAACTGATTTTCCCATTTTATCTGAGCATGTCTTGCCCTACTCTTTAATTCTTACAGATGGAATCCTAACATGCTGAAAATGGAAGTCTTTTTTTCTTTTCTTTTGTTCTTTAATGAGATATTTTAAGTACTGGAAAAGTGCTGGAAGTCCTTTTCAAAACAAGGTATTCTGAGTAATTAAATTTGAGTGATCTGATTGAGAGATGAGATTATAAAACTTGTTTGGACTTTCCTTTAGTCATGGATGGCATTTTAAAGTATAAAGAACAAACTATCTCAGGGGAAAGGAGAATTAGGATTTTAAAATTTTAAGTAAAGGTAAAATAATGCTTACAGAACCAATAATGAATCTTTCCAAATTAACAGGATAGTTTGACTCCATTTAAAGAACTTAAATATCAACCAGGTCTTCACATTTTGTTCCCTTCATAGGAATTTTATGCACATTATCCAAAATGGGTATCGGAAAGAAAAGGCTGGGATAAGCCTGAACTTGGATGTAACACAGAGGACTTAACAGATTTCTAATTCTCTTTTGTGTCTTTTTTCTTGGAAAAATAAAGGCAGAATCAGCCAGTGCTAAATTTTGCTTCTAGAGCAAATGATGAAATACACATGTCAAGGCCCCCTTTCAGTTTTCCGCTGGCCCCTCGCCCCACTCCCCTGCGTGTTTGCAGTGCACAGAAGGCTCCGTGCAGCCTTCCCCACTGCATTTTCTTCCCTGATCTGCAAAAAGCATTTATTAATCTTACTGGAGAATTATTTTTCTGTTTTGCTTCACACATAATAGAATATCTAGTGCAGTATTAATAAATGCTGGGTACCTTTTTATGACATTAATTCTTCAAACTTTTAAGGCTTCTTTTTCTCAAGGGTTTCCAGCTACCTTACCAGCATTTAAAAATATCCCAAACAAGACCCCAAACCCAGAAGCTGTGAAGGAACAGAACAGCAGGTTTATCTACAAAAGAATGTAAAGTGTTGACATAGCAAAAAATGTAACTTTAATAAAGTTAAAAGATAAAGGGAAGAATGGGAGAAAATATTTGTAAGATAACAAAGTATTAATATTCCTAATATATAAAGATATTAAAAGTTTTATATAAAGAGCTCATACAAATCAGTAACAAAGTTATCAAGTTAATAAGGAAAATAGCAAAGGGGCTAAACAGGCAATTCACAGAAGAAATACAGAATAAATACTGTCAAGTAATTGCAAAGGATGAACAAAATACAAATGTTCCCCTATAGTTGGGTAAAAACTGAAAAGATTGTTTATATACAATGTTGGTAAGGGTAAGGGGGAAAGCAGGTACTTTAATGTGAGAGAATAGGTACAACCTTTTAGAAGGGCAATTTGACAAAAGTTATCAAAATTGTACACGTGTATATGTTTTTACTTTACAATTTTACTCCTTGGTGTCTATGCTACAGAAATAACTATACAAGAAAACAAGAGCATATTTACAAGGACATCTATTTGCTATATTAAGTGTAAACAATTGAAGAAAACTTCAGTGTCCACAAGGGAACTTTTAAAATACATTATGATACATCTGCACAATGGAATTCTCTACTGTGCATTTGAGCATGGGCTAGATCTTCTCCAAGATACATGTGAACTAACAGCAAGTCACAAAGCTATTGATATAGGTAGTATGTTCCAATTTTTTGTTTTAAAATTTTCAAATCATATAGGGGGTGTGTGTGTGTGTGTGTGTGACGTTTTGGAAGGTTACTCACCATAATGTGACTATCCCTGGAAAGTAGAGATAAAGAAGCAACTCCCTTTTTTAGCTTTATACTCTTCAATGTTGTTTAAAATTTTTACAGTGACAAAAATTGTTTAACATTTTTGGTTTTGTTCTTGAGACAGTGACTCACTCTGTTGCCAAGTCTGGAATGCATTAGCATGAACACAGCTTACTACAGCCTCAACCTCCCCAACTCAAGCAATCCTCCTGCCTCAGCCTCCTGAGTAGCTGGGACCACATGTGCATGCCACCATGCCTGGCTGATTTCTACCTTTTTTTTTTTTGGGTAGAGACAGGCTCTCACCATGTTGCCCGAGCTGGTCTGCAACCCTCCCAAAGTGCTGAGATTACAGGCATGAGCCACAGTGCTCAGCCTGTTTTTTAATTTTTTCATGCAAACAGTTGAAGAAAAATAAAATCCAAAGACATCCTTAACTATATTCCTGTCGTCGTAAGTACCAACTCACTAAGTCTTAAGGATCCCTAAAATATCACAGTTACCTTAAAATCTCAAGTTCGCTTTGTGGCCCCTCTCTTGGGGTAGAAATTCCTTCACTGGAATAGACATGATTTTACATTTGAGGCTATGAATTTCATTTCTGACCCTCATCCCAATTACTCCATCTTACTCATTTCCAGGCAATTATTCCCATGGACATAAATCTGACCTTTGGTGACAGTCACCCAGGATAACGCACTATACACTCATTGGTGCAGTGGGCTGGCAGTGCCCAGGATGAGGAGTAACATGGAGTGAGTTAAAGAAAGCCTGCCAGACACCACATGCCACCAACTGCTGTGAATGGTGTTCACACACCTCAACAGCCAGGGCCACCACTGCTTGACCATTTGCACTGAGGCCCAGGAAGCTGAAGTATTTGGAAAAAGTATTAGCTACACACCAGGGCTTCTCCCAGCTGGGCACTGTTAGCACAAGAAATTAGTCTTGGTTTTCCTGGAGGGCAAAGGCACTACCTTCCAGGATCACTGTGAAGTTCACACAAGAGTTTGCATGCCAGGATTTTGTGAATGACCTAGTGTCCTTCTGAAGAACAGTCTTTACTTCTCACCTTAGCAGTCCGTTTTCCTGACTTCGGTTCTCTCGGCCAAGTCTCAAAGGAGAGGCTAGCACTCTTGGGCTTACAGAAGCTATTCATCAGCCCTTGTGGACTGTTTATTCCCTTACAAAGGGAATTTACGGCTCGTGTCTGCATACTCTCCATGGTGTGCTGATAAACGTTGAACCCACGCTCCCTGAAAAACAACAGCCTGATTCGTAATATTGACCAATTTCCGTCGTGTAGCTACAACTCCCATGGCTGATGTCAAGCTACCAACAAAACTTAACTGAATATCAATTGGGAAGAGATGTGTACAGTGTATAGCACCATTATATAGTATTTCTACCTCAAGAGAAGAGGCAATAATCAAGGGCAGTAAAATGATTAGGAAATAACTTGTGAATATTTATGACATTTATTTTTAACATAATTTTATTTATATAATTTATATAGTTTATATAGTTTACATACATTTATATAATTTAACTTCTAATGATAGATTTTCAGGAATTCTCAGCTGGTTGTAAAACCTAACAATTGGCTCTTGCAAGCCAATACAAGTCGGCTCCAGCACACCCCTGAGATTGCTACACTGCAAGATACTACAGACACTATTTTTCCCAGGAAAATCACAGTCATTATTTCCTTAATGAAAATCCAGCTCTCTCTGTGTTTTCAGCAGTCCATAGGTATGTTTGTGTGGCAACAGTAGGTGTCTGTATTCACAGCTCCTTGGGCTTGGCGTCGGGGCTGGAGAGTGTGTAGATGAGGAAAGGCACAGATGTTGGAGTCAAATAGACCAGTGACTGCTCTGTGTCAAGGTGTAATTTCATTAACCTTTAAGCCTTCATTTAATAATATTTATTAGCTGTGGGATTGTTGTAAAAAGAAAAAGATAAAGCTGGTAGCGAATACACTTAAAAATAGAGCACGTGTGAAGTATAAGGGTTGACATACGTGAAACACCCAGCCCAGAACAGGAGCTTAGTACATGTGAGTGCTTCTCTTTAACGTGTGCCCATAGATTCCCCCGTTAATTGGTGGGAGCTATTTAGAGAGCCCTGCAGAGCCGGGAGCATCAGGACACAGCAGGCTGAACCTAGTTCTCCTTTCCTTTTTACCAGATTTGGGAATCCAGCTGGGAAAAACATTGACTTTATCATCCTGTTACCTGGGAACAGTCAGTAGTTTAACCTTCTTAATTAGAGTTGCCATTGTGGGGCAGAAGGTGAACAAAACTGACCTGGGTTTGTGGTGATAATATTCCCCTGGGTTACCAACGCAGGATAACCAGTGCTAGTCTTTCCTGCGAAAAATCCCAGCCTCACACGGCTTTGCAGCCTCCGGAGCTTATCCAGGTGCAGGCCTGCACCTAAGCTCAACCAACAGGAGTTTAAAATAACATTTTTAAACAGGAAGTCTATTGCAGCAACTTAAATTCTTCCCTAATTAATTGGCCAAATCATATGTTTTATATATGTTAATGCATTTTTTTTAGAACATCAAAATTTTGTTTTGAAAGATATTTGGGAAAATATGCATGTGAAATTACCAAAATATTGTCTAGAAAGGAAGAAACAGAAATGCCCAGCTTTCTCAGGAAACAGAGCATATTATAATTAACAATAAAATGCAGAGGTACCGGTTCTAACAAAAATAACTAAAGCATATATAACAATTCACAAAACCATACAGAAAAAGAAGTATTCAACCAAAGGAGAAAACTGGAATGTTGTCCCCTCTACTCTGTTTAAATCAAACTCCCTTTTCAAGTCCCAGCTCGGTTCCCAAAAGCTCAAATAAGCCTCTTTGGACCCGCATGTCCTGAATTCTTACAGCTGTAGACCTTGTTATCTCTACTCCTAAGTTTGTGCTTTCGTGATGAAAGTACTGTACTACTGTCCTTTGCAGGGATTTAAAATGTCTTATTTTCACATCTTTGGTTTTTGAGGGCAGAGAACATGAACTGTAAACCTCATGTGACAGGCACGCAAGCCTCTACTTAAGCTTCACACGCAGCAGGCACCCAAACCTGTGAATGAATAATAAACCAACGAAGAAACAAATGAACGAAGCAATAAATGAATGATATTAGATATCAGCAAAAAGTAGCTTCTAGGGCTCCAGTTTCCTAGCCTGGCTTCATACAAGGAAATTACACTGATTCAACTTCAAAACAAGGCTTTTGCTATAAATGTGGTTTATTGGCCTGATCCGCTGTGACTGACATCTCTGGAAAGTGACCTGGCTGCCCCTAACAATGCCTCCTCATCCATGTGGATCATAAAACAGGCAAAAAAGGACGTCTGGGAAGCATTTCACATTTTATCCTTTGGCTTCTATTTTTTCTCCAGTTCTCACTCTTCTAGTGTTTCATAATGTGTGGTTATTAGATCACCTCATCAGATCACCTGTGGCCCTAGTTCATATGCAGATTCCTGGGCCATACTTGCAGGCTTTTGAATCAGATTCTTGGGGATGAGGTGAGATCTGCATCTCCTAGGTGATTCTTAAGTAGTCTAAGTTTCGAGAATCCCTTATTTAGGAGGGCAAAGAAAGTCCAGGCATGGTGGCTCATGCCTGTAATCCCAGCACTTTGGGAGGCCAAGGCGGGATTCCTTGAGCCCAGGAGTTTGAGACCAGCCTGGGCAACATAGGGAGACCCTGTCTCTACAAAAATTCAAAAAATTAAGTTGGCCAGGCATGGTGACTCATGCCTATAATCCCAGCACTTTGGAGGCCAAGGTGGGTGGGTCACCTGAGGTCAGGAGTTTGAGACCAGCCTGACCAACATAGTGAAACCCCATCTCCACTTAAAAAAAAAAAAGGAAGCCGAGCATGGTGGCATGTGCCTGTAATCCCAGCTACTCAGGAGCCTGAGGCAAGAGACTCGCTTGAACCCAGGAGGTGGAGGTTACAGTGAGCCGAGATAGCACCATTGCACCCCAGCCTGGGTGACAAGAGTGAAAGTCCTTCTAAAAAAAAAAAAAAAAATTAGCTTGGTGTGGTGTTGTGCACCTCTAGTCCCAGCTACTCAGGAGGCTGAGGTGGGAGGATCGCTTGAGCCTGGAAGGTTGAGGCTGCAGTGGAGCCAAGATCACTCCACTGCCCTCCAGCTTAGGCAGCAGAGCAAGACCCCATCTCAAAAAAATAAAATAAAAAAGAAGGAAGGAAAATAAATGTGTTCTGTGCCTCCTATATGCTCAGTGCTTGTATTTATGATACCTCCTTTGACGTTTACAATACCACTAAATGTATACTTTATTATTCTCTTTCACTGATGACTCTTAGACACTAATGTATTGATGAGACAAATTGCCAAAGGCTCTTCAGTGAGTTAGTACAAGCCTGGATTCCAAAGCAAATACATCTGACCGCCTCCCCATGCCGCATCCCCCAACCCCCCTGCACTGCCTCAGTTCTTCCCATGACATCACACTGCCTTCTCCCACCTGGAATGTCTTCTCATTTGCATGTATTCAAGGTTCCAGGTTCCAGCTGATTGATAACTTTCTATATTGACCCAAAGTGACCTCTGAGATGCTACTCCACAGTTCATTTGGCACAAGAGTTAAAACACTCAAAAAGCTCCTGGGAATTCCTTATCTACCTGTCGACATTACAGGGAGACCTTGTGCTGATACGCTCTCCCCTAACTGCAGGGCCACATGAGCCAGGGCTATGTGTCCTCCACACCTAGTTCCCACACTTGCCTCTGACATACACAATGTGTGCACGCACACACATGCCCACACAGACATACACATACGCATGATTACACCCATGCCTTACCAAGCATTCTGTACAGACACGTGCTACCATGGGAACATGGGCACAAAAGACGTAGTTGGTTTTCCTCTTTCCTCTACAGATATTTTCAAAACAGTGTTTCTGTGGCGATATCTTTTTTAGTCTTCTTGTTTCCTTGACTACGGGTTAAGAATGCCGAAACGCCTTGGGTGCCTTTTAGGAGGTCTTTCTCCACTGGGTTTTGTGGCTGAATGACTGTATTCCTATTTCTGAGTCAAAGTCTATTGTATTAATTATATCATTCATCTCTTTGCAGTGAAGTCTCAGAATATGCTTGCAAAAAACATCTCTCTGCCCAGGAATTTGAGATCACATTTCCCTCTTTCCTGCATCAAGCTCAAGCTGCTCTCCTGCTTTCAAGGCCTGGTCCTGCCCCACCGTTCTCTGCCCAAACCTTCCCTTGCCTTCTCTGTTCCAGACCAATGTGATATGATATTACCAACCTCTATGCCTTTGTTCATGCTGGTTCTAATCTGAGGTTCTACTCCAATTCCTAACTGACCCCCAAATGATGTTGAGCGAGTTGTTACAACTCTCTAGGCCTGTTTCTTTACTTACCATAAAAAGGCTCCACAAATCAAAGGCTACCATTTACTAAGGCTTACTTTGTACATTGCCCTAAGTAGTTTACCTATGTTTTCTCACGTTTTCTTAATACCCCTTACAGGGAACGTTACTGTTCCCATTTTCCAGATAAGGAAACTGAGACTGAGAGATGAAATAAACTGTCCAAAGGTATACAGCTAGCGAGGAACAAAGAAACGATTAGAACCTGGCTTTGCCTAATTTCAAACCCCATCCTTTCAACTACTTGCTATGCTGTTCTTCAAAGACCTTTCCAATCCTGAAATCTATGATTTTATGAGCCTATTCAGCCTTCCTCATCCTTTCACTCCTGTGCCATCTGCCCTTTTGAGGCTTGAATGACTTTTCCATCATGGGCACATTTCAGAACTCCATCTGATTTAACGCTTGATTGTAAACCATCAGACTTTTTCCCATAATTTTTCAGTGGGTGTTCTTGTCTTCCTTCCAGATGAAACCTTGAGAAAAGGAGCCAAGACTGTAACAGTGGTCCTGTGCCACAGTGCAGGAAGAAAAGGAACAGAGAGATCACGGGCATGTTTTTTTAGGTGGTTTCATGCCATCTTATTTTCTCCTTGAAATACATTCACAGTAAGTATTAGCAGTTTCATTTTTATAATGAGGAAGCTAAGGCCCAGAGAAGTTAGGTAGCTCACTCCCTAAGTGGCTGAAGAGAACTTAATAAAGTCAGTCTGATTACAAAGCACAAATTTCCTACTATAGAAATGTGAACAATGAAAGACAACAAACATTCTAATTTCCTTTCTCTTTTAGCCATTTCTCTAAATATCAGTACCATTTGGGTACTCAATACTACACAATATTCTAAATCACTATATTGTTATCAATGTCCAAAGAGCTCTAAGAGTAAATATTCAAGAGAAATTGAGAACAATAAAACTGAGCCAGTGCAGTAACATGTTTACTTATGAAAATCATTGATAATGTGGCCATTATAGATATGCCCTGAAAAGCAATATAAACAATGAAGAATTAATTATAAAACATTGCAACTAATCGAAAGATTCCATTTTTACAGTTTCTGGTGGTCCCAGCATGCCTTTCCAACCTGATCTTTAGCTACTTCATTTCACCCATGCTACAGCCATCTCATTTCCTGCCTCCATGCCCTTTTATTTTTCCACTTGAAATATCCTCTCCAGTATCTCTACCTCTTCAAATCCTACCTATATTCAAATATCACCTCTTCCCTTCAGTCTTAACCTCCTCCTTTGCATCTACTAACTAGACCCTCCACATGCTAATAAACACAGATGTTTTCTACCCCATATTCCATTCTCCTCTCCTTCCTGTGCTCACAAATAAACCACATTTCACATTCACTTAATTGGACCATGTGGCGGATTTATGCCAACAGAATGCAGACAGAAGTGATATTCATCATTTCTAGACTGTAGTGGTTTGAAAATATGTTCACAAATTCTTTGATACTACTTCTTTCAAGAAGTGGAACTTGATTCCCCTTCTTCTGAGTGGGGGTTGGACATAGTGATTCTCTTCTAATGAACAAATACGGCGGAGATGGCAGTATATGACTTCTGAGACTAGATCATAAAAGCCATTAAGCTTCCGCTTTATGTGTTCTCTCTCTCCCCTCCCTCTGCCCTCCCTCTCCCCTCCCTCCCTCTCAGATGAGGTGACTGGCTCTGTGGGAAGCCTATGGCCATGTTGTAATGACACTCAATCAGCCCAGTGGAGAGGGCCACATGGCAAGGAACTAAGGCCTCCCACCAACAGCCAGCAAAGAACTGAGACCTTCTGCCTACAGTCATGAGTCCTCTTGGAAGAGAATCTTCCCATCTCATTCAAGCCTTCAGATGACCATGGCATGGGCAAACTTTGATTGCAGTCTCATGACAGACCCAGAGCCAGAACCATCCAGTTAAGCTGCTGTTGAATTCCTGATCCCATCTAAATCATGTTAATACCTGTCATAAACAGATAACTAACAGATTAATAAGCAGCTTATATACAGGCTTAGCTACAAATCATTCCATATAATGTTTTACACAAACTGTTTTTTCCTAGTTTTGTGTTGAAGTGAATGAAGCTCTAGAAAGCCAAAGGACAGAAGGAGCCAGGACCTCTGAGTCATTTGGAGGAGTGCTACCCTAGAAAGCCACCCCTATCATGTTAAACCACAAATTTGGGACTTGTTTGCTATAGTAGATAGTGCTAATTCTATGTAATATACTCTCGTTTTTACTTCTCATAGCATTTATTGTTCTCTACCATAAATAATTATTCGCGTAAATATATTTTTTCATTTTAGTCTATTAGTTGCTTTAAAAAAAAAAAAACTACATTGCCATGGTTTGACTGTGTCCTCCAAAAGCATGTGTTGGAAACTTAATTGCCATTGTAACAGTATTAAGAGGTGGGACCTTTCAGAGGTGAGTAGGACATGAGGGCTCTGCCTGCATGAATGGATTAATGCTGTTATTTCAGGAGCGATTTTCTTATAAAAGGACAAGGTAGGCCCCCTTCACACTCTCTCTGTTGCACACTCTCTTGGCTGTCTGCCTTCTGACATGGGATGACACAGCAAGAAGGCCCTCCCCAGGTGCAACCCCTCCATCTTGGACTTCTCAGCTTCTAGAACTATGAGCCAAATACATTTCATTTCTTTATAAATTACCCAGTCTTTGGTATTCTGTTATAGCAGCACAAACCGGACTAAGACAAACATGAAATGAGAAATTACAAGACGCCTGGTGGTATGTGCTTTGCCAATGTATCTCAATTAATTCTCGCAATAAACCTCTCAAGTAAATACTATTATTACTCTGATTTTTCAGATGTGAAATATGGGCCTGGGAGAGGTAAAGTGACTTGCTCATAGCCCAGAAGAGGCCAAGCTGACAAATCTGATGATTCCTAAAGTCACGTCCTTAGCCACTCTGACATGCTCCCTCCCAGTTAGCCTTGCATCTCACATGGTGCCTAACAAAGTGTCTTACGTACAGTTGTTGGTTAATTTATGTCAGTGACTGCATGAATAAGTGAATGAAGAAACAGCAATATGTTAAAAGGGGAAATGTCATAAAAGGTCACAAAGAATCAAAAAATCCTGTTGCTCTCCAATATTTTTTCCCTCATACAAATGGCCCTTTTTACTTGTATGTCTTTGAACTTTAGGGTGCCAGTGGCTAGAACACATAAAGAGACTCATTCACTGGATGGAAAGCATGCTTAGAGAATACTAAGAAATTCTTCATAATGTCTACTTTTAGATCAAGAGCCTCAAGTGCTTCAGGACATCAAACAAATTTAGAACTTTTCTGAAAAGCCGATTCATTAAGGAAAGCTGCTGAAATCTACAGGCACCTTTTAAGGAGAGGACAGGGACATAGCGATGGGTGCCGTTTCACTAGAAACCTGTGCCCATTCACGGCCAGGCGGGGAGACTCAGAGCATGACAAAGGCTTAATTGTTCTCGCCAGAACAACATGGTAATGGAGTGAAAGAGTGGGTGCCCTGTGTACCGAGGAAAAAAGGCAGTAAATGAGTCCCTGGCAGCACCACAGCAGGTCAGCCTTAACAAAGATGGGGACGGCACTCTCTGCCAGAAAACCAGTCTCAGCAAACTTGCTGAGTTAAAACTATCAGATTTAAGCTAAAAACAACTATATTTCCAAAATATGCAGCCTGTGCACCATGGGAAAAGGAAGACTATCCGTACCTAGGGAGTAGATAAGTAATAAATAGTCTCATACTCTTTTAAGGAGAGCAATGCCCCAGGCTTCCTTTCTGATTTGCTCAGAATTGGCATTAGTCTTAAGTCATCACCCTGTCTCCACTTCAGGTTCACATTTATGTCTGTTCCAATTCTCCACAAAGAAAGCTTAAACTTTCCTTACTGAAAACTTTTTTTTTTCCTGAAATGAAAAATATTGTACTTCAACATTTAACTTTGGGGACTGAAGCAGAAGGAAAGAGACATTTGTTTCCCATGCTCACTTTTGTTTGTTTGTTTGTTTTTGACAGGGTCTTGCTCTGTTGCCTAGGCTGGAATGCAGTGATGCAAACATAGCTCACTGCAGCCTTGACCTCCTGGGCTCAAGCAATCCTCCTGCCTCAGCCTCCTGTGTAGCTGGAACCACAGGCGTGGGCCACTATGACTGGCTAATATTTTGGTTTTTTTGGTAGACATAGGGTTTCACCATATTGCTCAGACTGGTCTTTAACTCCTGAGCTCAACTGCCTTGGCCTCCCTGAGTGCTGGGATTACAGGTGTTAGCCACCATGCCTGGCTAATTTTACTTTTTTAATGTTAGAGGAGTTCATCAAGGTGACGATTATGACCACTTGGATCTTTGGGTTTTTTTTTCTATTATTGTTTCAAATAAGTTAAATATTTTTAAAAACTTTTGTAACTATAAATCTCCACCCCCAAACAACAGTTATTTTTCCCATAAACAAAACCCTTACTTCTCAGGGGAAAGTCCATTCCGTATGTGTTCCTTGGAGTAGAATATTATAGAACACCTTCACAAAACAAGAAAAGACCCCAGATTATTAGAGTTTTTTAAATTTTAGTATTGCTTAAAGTGGCATAACCATGTAATATTATTTTAAATAGATCACTGATTTCCAACTGAGGGTGATTGCCCCCCAGAGGACATTTGGCAATGTCTAGAAACATTTTTGGTTCTCATCACTGGTCGGGGATGGGGGAGGGTTGTGCCTAGTGGATAGAGGCTGGGGAGCCTGCTGCTAAGTATCCTACAGTGCATAGGACAGTCCCCACAACAAAGAATTAACTGGCCCAAAATGTCAGTGGTGCCCAGTTTGAGAAACCCTGACATAGATATAATGACTCTGTTATAGAATATACAGAAGAAGTTCACACTGAAGTTATGCTCAATAAGATGTTGGCAGGGGAAATCATTTTTTCACTGGTTGGATGACATACCAAGTGTGAGGTTGAAAATGGCCAGATTTGGGGGCACAAGTTTGTGCCCTTTCTTCTTGGACGTGCAAGGTACTTGATAAACACTGAAACAGAACTGAATCGATCCTTGATCCTATTTTCCTTTATCTAATATTTGTTGAATCTCTGCTATGCTATCAGATACATAAGGTTTTTGGGTTTTGTTGTTTTGTTTTCATAGCTCACTGCACCCTTGAACTCCTGGGCTCAAGCAATCCTCCCGCCTTTACCTCCTGAGTAAGTGGGACTACAGGCCCACTTTTAGAGACAGGGTCTTGCTATGTTACCCAGGCTGGTCTTGAACTCCTGAACCCAAGCAATCCTCCTGCCTCAGCCTCCCAAAGTGCTGGGATTACAAGTGTGAGCCATCACAATGACTAAACACAGCTTTTAAGACAGATGGTGCCTCAACCATAAGCACACCTGTTCTTTATCGGAAAGAAAAGGGCCCAGGCCATGTCTAAATACTGCAATCAGTATTTTGGTCAGGCTATGTCTCTGGAGAGCTAAAATGAAATGAGAACGAAACTGAAATGTTAAGGTACTTTTATACTAAATGTACATAAAATTAATTTCCAGTATGGGCGATTTTGTTGTGCTGTAATTATAAATAAATGTCTACCCCTTTAGGAAAGCCAAAGCCTAAAAGGGCACCAATTCAGGGGACTTACTGAAGCTAAACAAGCCAAGCAAGTTAGATTTTAGGCCTGGGACATGGGTGGGAGGGCTTCTGGTACTTTCACTTTATAATATAATGTCTAACTTGTCCCCACCCTAACCAGTTGTCTCAGGACAGGAGGTGCTCTGGGACTTCCCTTCACATATAAAATAGCCGGAAGGATGTGAGTGTGTGGTCCCAGGGGCTGGACTTGGCTCATCACTTGGAAAGGAGTCACTGGGAAAGTTCCCAAACTATCCCTCCCTGAGCAGTCATGAATCCACACTTAATTCGCCCCATCAAAGTAGGCCTCATGAAAATATTTTCCCTGAAACTTAAAAAACCTCAGCAGCATGAATTATCTCAGAAGTTATAATAGTTGTAGCATTATTGATCCATGAACAATCGAATTCTTTGAATTCGTGCCTAAGAATACAAAAGAAGCCCCTGCACTTTTTTCACAAGTCTCTGTGGAATTTCCCATTCCAACGAAATCAAGTTAGACTTTTTTATTTAGCAACAGTACCATTTCCAACCACCAATGCAACCGCTTAATAGAGTTTTGTTTATGGTTTAGCAAGATGTTTTTTTCTAATAACAACAAAAAAAAAATGCAGCTACAAAGCACTAAGCTCAGAAAAATACATTTGCAAAAACATATTGCAAATTTAATTCTCTCCTATTTTTTAGTTGCCTTTAAGGAAAGTCTTAATTGGAAGAGCAGCATTGTCACCAACTACTGTGCCAAAACCAAAGCTGGTTCAGGGCTGGCTGAACTCACTGAGCTGAGGTCAGGGCAGATGCAGCCTGTCCTCCATGCTGGGCAGGAGTCTGTGTAGGATTCTGTGTCGGTCCATCCTGGTTGTGAGTGCTCCTAGTTCACCCTGCCACCCACTTCTAACAGTCTTAGCTTAGAGCCCACCTCCAGTCCTACAGGTGCCCAAAGCCCTAGTCAGGGTCCAGACCCTACAGTCTTTCTCAAGGTTTGAGGTGCGCGGGTCTGACCCAGAAATACCCCAGACCCTTTGGAGCTGTGGGAGTAGTTGCAGGGTCCAGGACCCATCAAACAGTCCCCGATCGATCCACTAGCTACTCACATCCAAGGGCTTTGACTAGAACCAGAAAAATTACAGGAATGCAGCAAACCATCTGCCTGGATGCATTCAGCCCTGGGTCAGTCACAATAGGTGTTCAGAACCCCTGGTTCTATGCAATCAATCAAAGACAGACATCTTCCACTAAGAACTGAAATCTCGGCAGGCTCACTGGCTTTAAATCACGCCTGTGTCACTCTGGAGCTATGGAATGAGTTAAACCTCAGCATGCTCCTTGACTTTAACTCATTCCAGTTTCTCAAATGAGAACAAAGAAAACATCAGAAGATATCCATCAACAGTGGAATACTCTCCACACTTGGCTAAGCATTGTATCTTCACACTTAACTCAGAATTTCCCTTCGCTTTCAGGTTTAATGCAAATCCTTTGTTTGGTTAAATGATGGCACACATATTTGGTTTTTTATTTATAATGTACTGGGTCTACGGTGGGGGAGGCAGTGTCTGAAGTTCTTTATAAATACTAATGTATTTATTTGTGTATTTATGTGTATATTTATAAAATATACATATAGTATGTACACTTATGACAAAATGTACACATCAAGGGGTTGCATACATTCAAACACATTAGATTCTTTGTGACTGAATTTATTTTGTAATATTTTTCATTGCTGAATATGTGCCTATTTTAAGAAAGTAAAGAAAACAAAGTTTTATAAAGAAAAAGTGAATAATCCTGTTGTTCCCTTCCAACATCCTCCTGAGGTAACAGCAATGTTTTCTAGTGTTTACCAATGTGTGGGATAAGCCTTCTGAAAGGAGTTATTTTTTAAAAGTTTTAAAAAAGAGGCGGGGCACGGTGGCTCACGTCTGTAATCCTAGCACTTTGGGAGGCCAAGGCGGGCGGATCACAAGGTCAGGAGATCGAGACCATCCTGGCTAACACGGTGAAACCCCCTCTGTACTAAAAATACAAAAAATTAGCCAGGCATGGTGGTGGGCGCCTGTAGTCCCAGCTACTCGGGAGGCTGAGGCACGAGAATGGCGTGAACTTGGGAGGCAGAGCTTGCAGTGAGCCAAGATTACGCCACTGCACTCCAGCCTGGGAGACAGATCGAGACTCTGTCTCAAAAAAAAAAAAAAAAAAAAAAAAAGTTTTAAAAAGAAAAGTGTCAAAGCAAACTGAATACAACACGATAAAAAAAAAAAACATTATTTCAAGTAAAAAGAGAAAGAAATAAAGTAGGAGACAAAAGATTCATTTCCTCAACATAGAAAAGGGGTAAATAGCATGGCTGCAGTTGAATTTTTACATTAATGCAGTTGAGGAAGGAATGAAGAACAAACTGCAAGTCAGTGTAGACCTGGGAGGATGGCAGAGAGAACGATTTGAAATTGTAGGACTTTCAGAATTGATTGGTGACTTTTCATGGTTATCTAGAGATAGCAAGCACCTAGGAGATCCTTTCAACAGACATTTCCTCTCAAGAGTTTTTAGTCCATGCCCTTTTGAAATTAGATCAATGAACTTCTGTTCATATACCATAAGGACCCCCGAGATTGCATTTGAACATTCTGCCAAAGCGAAAAGGACATCTCGTCCCTCTTTCCTGGAGAAAGGAACTGAGTGTCCTAAAGGGAATTCTGGAAACTGTTTGTCCACTAAAACCCAGCATCTTCCGAGAGCCTATGTTCTCCCCTGTGATGCACGCAGGCAACATTTGGCTCAACCTTCAAGAAGGCTTCAAAGCTGAGGGAAGCTCACAGGTGCACTGGAGAATGGCTCTAGAGTGGCCAAAGAGTCCCTTGTGGGACTTAATGTAGCACAACATAGAGAAGATTCTGCATGGAGGGCTGCAACCCAAAATAAAGAAGGGAGCAATGAGGACTAAAAAATACTCTAAACCCTGTAGGGTCACACTGTAGCCCTCAGAATAAAGTGAAGGCTTCGGACTCCAGGGACTATCCTTCCAGCTGCAAAAATGTTGCAGACTGAGCATCTTTGTCTTCCACAGAGACCAAAACAAAGATCAAATAATCAAGAGGTGGAAAGGGGGAATAGTGAACTCCCTAGCTTACTGACCTTAACTTAGCACGTGATTTTGAAGTTTTGTTGTATCACATGGTAATCAGTCTCTTGGCCTTTTAAAAATATATGTGTTAATAGTTATCTCATGTCTGCACAGAGCTCTCTTAACCTCTCCCCATAGCTAATTAATGATTCTTAAAGAGGGAAGATGCTTGACTTTAACTTGTGTCGGAAATAATATTGGGACGTTATTAAGATGGTGTTTGCCTAAGGTGGTGGTTTGACACTCTGGTTGCATATTCGAATCACTAGGAGAGTTTTAAAACACTGATACCTAGAACCCATCCTCAGACATTCTGATTTGATTGTTCTGAGTTAGGGGCAGGCTATCCATATTATTTTTAGAAGTCCCCCAGGTGATTTGAATACACAGGCACACGTGAGAAACACAGGTCTAAGTGATTCAGGCTCATTGGGATCCTAATCCCTTCCTAAATAACCACCCTTTCAACAACACAAGCAACGCTTTATTACAAGCCTGGGTTCCAAATCTCACTGCAGCACTGTGGTGAGTCAGCCTGGTCCTAACGAATGCCTTTGCATGCATCTAAAGAGCCAAAACAACTGAAGGGCTACTTCTTCCTCTCCATCTCCACGTCCAAACCCAAGCCTCTGTTCTTCACCACCCCAACAAGATGAATAGCCACATCTGTCAGCAAGAAGCAGAACAAACACCAGAGAAACCAGAGAATCACTCTTCAGGCCTGGAGGAATGCTGGCCTGGGCCTCTGTCAGGTCGACAGAGAGAAGGATGTGGAAAGGGGAGAGGGATGCTGGTCCTCAAGGAGGCTCCATCTCGACCTGTTTTACTTTATCCTGGAAGAAGAAAAATGTGAAGACACAGCTGGGGCTTCCCTGAGGAACCTGAACTCTCTAGGTGCCTAAAGGAATAAAGAATGAGGTTGAGGGCAGTGGTGAATAAAGGGCGGCCTAAGCCTTCTCCAAAGAGGGCAATGCCTCCGACCTCTCAGTCCTCTGGCTGAATGAACAGTCAGCAGACGCCCCTGAGCAAGCAGGGTATGGAGAGAGATGGAGATCTCCAGCTCTGCGGCACAATGAACTGAAGTCGACCTCAACATGGCTCCAGACACATAGGAACACTGGGCAGCATACAACCTGAAGGAGATTCTGATACACAGCCACACTCAAAAGAAAAAATATTGGAACTAGAAAACAAGAATGTCTGAAGCCAGAGGAGCAGGCCCATGAACTGGCACCAGGGTGACCCTGGGGAACGACTCTGGCAAACCAAGAGATGGCACTGGCAATACGTGATGAAGGGTCAGGAGATGTGGCCCCAGGCCTCAGAGGGGTGGGGAGCTGTAATCAGAAACACACAAAACTAGAGCCCTCAAAGAGCTGCCCTTCCTTCTAAAAGGCTTAGGAAAACAACCTTCTCTGTCAGGAAAGCAACAAGGAAGCGTACCATCTGCCTGGAACATTAATTGAAAAAAAAAAAAAAATCAAGACTACAAACAAAAAGTCCCTACTAAGAAATCAAAACCACAAGTTTATGGGGCTGGGGGGTCTGAGGTCCAGATTATGTCATTTGTATAAGAATCCCAAGCCAAAGAATAAAGGTAGAAAACCAGATTTGGAGCACCTAGTCCACAGAAACAAATGCAAAACCGTCCCAAAGTGACATTTCCACAACTCAGGAGGCACAAACATTTCAAATATGATAATGAACACCTGCTAAAAATGGCTCACAGTAAAAATTTATAAACCACACAGGGTAATGAACTGTAACAAGGGAAAGTCAGGAGAGACAATAAATGGGAGAAATCATACTGTCAGAACAGTAGGTCATAAAATAACCTTAAAGAGATTACATGGCTGGGTGCAGTGGCTCACATTTGTAATCCCAGTACTTTGGGAGGCCAAGGCAGGAGGATCACTAGAGTCCAGCAGTTTGAGACCATCCTGGGCAACATATCAAGACCCTGTCTACAAAAATTTAAAAATTAGATGGGTATGGTGGTGCATGCCTATAGTCCTAGCTACTTGGGAGGCTGAGGTGGGAGAATCACTTCAGTCTAGGAGTTTGGGATTACAGTGAGCTATGAGTGAACCACTGAACTCCAGCCATGATGACAGAGGGACACCCTTCTCTAAAAGAGAAAGAAATATTATATATATTTTAAATGATTAAAAAGTTTATTTTAAACAAATAGATCCTAGGAGAGAGCAGGACAAAATGAGTAAAGAAAAAGGCATTTCTGAAAATGAACCAAAGAGAAATAAATATTGACAATGAAATGAAGAATTTAATGAACTGGTAACAGAAAATGCAACCTAACAGAAGAGACAAATTCTTGATTCAGAATATAGAGGCAAATAAATTTTCTAAACTGCAACCCAGGGAAGCTGGGAGATGTAAGAATAGAATGAAAAAGTGTGGCGTACATAACGGCAATTCTAGGAAGAGAGAATGGAGAAAATGGAGAGCATCAGACAGAAGGGATGGTAACTGTGATTCTCACAGGATTACAGAAAGACATGAGTACTCAGATTCAAGAAGCATAATGAGCAGTATAAATAAAAATAAATCCACCCCTAGAAATATTGTAATGAAATAGCAAAGTGCCAAGGACAAAAAGAAAATCTTAAACCAGCCAGAAAGAAAATATGGATTACTCAAATTGAATTACATTTAGACTTGTAAGCAAATGTTCAAAGCAGCACTACTCATAATAGCCAAAAACCTGAGACAATACAAATGTCCATCAACTGCTGAATGGATAAATAAAATCTGGTATGTCCATAAATAGAATACCATTCAGCATAAAAAGGATTTAGTGATAACATGTTATAACATATGAACTTCAAAATTACTAAGTGAAAGAAGACTACATATTGTATGACTCTACTTATATGACATTTCTAGGAAAGACAAATTTATATCTGCAGATTGCCTGAGGCTAGGAGAGGAAGCTAAGATTGACAGCAAATGGTCATGAACTTTTTGGGATGATGAAAATGCTCTAAAACTACACTGTGGTGATGGTTGCATCATGAATAGCTTTACCAAAAAAAAAAAAAATACTGTACACTTTAATAGGTGAATTGTGTGGCATATTAATGATAGTTCAATAAACCTGTTGAACAAATCAACAATGACAACAACAAAATGTACAGGGCACAGATGACTGTATAAGTTGGATTTTGACAAACCTTTAAGGTCAGATAACCCTGATCTGATACAAACTTTTCCAGGAATTAGAAAAGAGCAAGGGTTCCCATCATTTAAGAAGCTCATGTGAGATTCAAATCTAAGCATTCCAAGTGTAGACTCTCCACAATACAACTGCCTCCATCTCTGTGTCTGAAGGGTTTTTTGTTTTTTTTTTTTTTTTTTTTTTGAGACGAGTCTCACTCTGTCACCTAGGCCGGAGCGCAGTGGCGTAATCTCGACCAACCTCCGCCTCCCAGGTTCAAGCAATTCTCCTGCTTCAGCCTCTTGAGTAACTGGGACTACAGGCATGCACCACCAGGCCTGGCTAGCTTTTTGTGTTTTTAGTACAGACAAGGTTTCACCATGTTGGCCAGGTTGATCTTGAACTCCTGACCTCAGGGTATCTGCCCGACTCGGCCTCTCAAAGTGCTGGGATTACAAGCGTGAGCCACCACACCCAGCCTGAAGGGTTTTTTTGAGATGGAGTCTCACTCTGTCGCCCAGGATGGAGTGCAGTGGCGCCATCTCGGCTCACTGCACCCTCCGCCCTCCTAGTTCAAGCGATTCTCCTGCCTCAGCCTCCTGAGTAACCGGGTTTACAGGTGCCTGCCACCGCACCTGGCTAATTTTTTTTTTCCTTCTTTTTTTTTTTTGTACTTTTAGTAGAGACGGAGTTTCACCATCTTGGCCAGGCTGATCTTGAACTCCTGATCTCGTGATCCACCCGCCTTGGCCTCCCAAAGTGCTGGGATTACAAGCGTAAGCCACCAGACCCAGCCCAAAGTGTTTCTTAACACAGAAAATGTACCAACCATAAAGGAAAAAATGGATTTTGACTACATTAGAATGTAAAATTATTGTATGACAAAAGACACCATACATAAAGTGAAAGGCCAAAGCATAAAATATTTGCAACTCATATTTTCAACCAAGAAAAGATTAGTATCCTAAAATAGAAGAAAATACTACCAAAGAAAAAGGCCACAACCCAACGAAAAAAATGAGCAGAAGGTATATACTGTCAGTTAATAGAAGAGCAGCCTCTAAAGACCAATAAACAGATGAAAAAATTCTCTAGTTGTTGTATTAATCCATTTTCACACTACTATAAACAAATACCCGAGACTGGGTAATTTATTACAAAAAAAAAGAGGTCTAATTGACTCACAGTTCCACAAGGCTGGGGAGGCCTCAGGAGACTTACAATTATGACGGAAAGTGAAAGGGAAACAAACATGGTCTTCACAAGGCTGCAGGAAAAAAGAAAACGAAGAGGAAGAGCCCCCTTATAAAACCATCAAATCTCGTGAAAACTCACTCACTATCGTGAGAACAGCATGGGGGAAGCCTCCCCCACAATCCAATCACCTCCCTCCCTCCCTCCACACATGGGGATTACAATTTGAGATGAGATTCAGGTGGGGACACAGAGACAAACCATATCACTAGTAATCAGGAAATGCCAGTTAAAATCACAAATGAGATACCATTTCACACTCACCTAAATAACTAAAATCTGAAAGTCTGGTAATACATTAGCGAGGATATTGAACAACAGGAACTCTGATACATGACAGGGTGTGTGCATTTGCACAACCACTTAGAGCAATTTTGCGGTATCTGTTCACATAGAAGATGCTCGTGGCCTTCAAGGAAACAACTTCACCTTCAGTTATATGCTGCTCAGACAGGTACAGAATGAGATACACATAATTCTTTGTAATGTGAATAGGTTAGAAGGTTGATGTTCATCACTAGTAGAACACATAATTGTGGTTTCATAATCACACAATGAAATATTATATCTCAGTTAAAATGAATAAATGCCTACATATTTCAACACAGATTAATCGAAAATGTAAAGTTGAATAGAAAAGAGCAAGTGACAAAAAGTCATTTCCGGTATATCTTTTATGTAAAAGAGAAAAACACAAACAATATCTTATTTATTCATGAATAAATATGTAGAAAAAGTATAAAAACATGGACAGGAAAAATGTATATCAACGATAAGAAGCTATTACCTCTGGAGAGAGGTAACATCTCAGTTGAGGCTAGGAAGGCATTTCAACTCCAACTAAAATTTTTTTATTCCTTTTTTTGTTTGTTTTTTAATTGAGGCTAATGTAGCCAAATGTTAACAGTTTCAAAAATTGTGTATAAATAAATATATGCTGTTATACTTTTATCTGTGCTTTACTGTATATTTGAAGTATTTAATAATTAACTTTCTGGGCCTGGTGGGGTGGCTCATGCCTGTAATCCCGGCACTTTGGGAGGCCGAGGTGGGTGGATCACTTGAGATCAGGAGTTTGAGACCAGCCTGACCAACATGGTGAAACCCTGTCTCTACTAAAAATACAAAAATTAGCTGGGTGTGGTGGCCTGCGCCTGTAGTCCCAGCTACTCAGGAGGCTGAGGCACGAGAATTGCTTGAACCAAGGAGTCAGAGGTTGCAGTGAGCCGAGATCGCGCCACTGCACTCCAGCCTGGCAACAGAGCGAGACTCTGTCATAAATAAATAAATAAATAAAATAACTTTCTGGAAACTTTCTAAGGGGGGAAAAAAGCAGCCTTGAGCATCTCCTCTCTCTTCCTTTAATTCTGAGATGGCAAAGCAGCTGAGACGCTGGTGGCCAGGATCCACTTACTGATGGGAGCAGAGCCGTCAGGGATCCCAGGTGCTCTGTCCCATAGCCACCACGTTAGGCTCTAATACACATCAACGTCCATTCAGTAACTTCCCTTTGGAACGTGGGCGAGATTAAGTCTAATTTCCACAGTTAACACGCGAAAGCTGGAGTCAAGGAATCCTTTGCTTATATAATTGGTGTTTTACATGGGATAGCTGTTTGAGTTGTATCTAACCTACATTTGATGTATCGCAAATGCCCTGGCTCCTTTAAAAGGACAGGTTATGACTCATTCACGAGCAAGTTGAGAGGAAATTGGAAGCAGCTGGGGAAACTGTACTGCAGGGTCTTTTTGCTGGATGAGGAAACCGAGGTTAGAGAGAGTTGGGGCTTGTGCCAAATCTCCAGGTTTCCCATACTGGAGCCAGGGCCCTGGTTTCTTGACGCCCTGTGCAGGGTTGCCTATGTATTTCTTTTTACGGATAGATTGAAACATACTCAGGGAAGAGAACTAGAAAAAGGTTTTATCCAATTCTTTTTCTCTCTGTGCTGTTGTCGTATCTCTACATTAAAAGTTTACAGAAACTGTGGCGAGGTGCGGTGGCTCAAGCCTGTAATCCCAGCGCTTTGGGAGGCCGAGGTGGATGGATCACCTGAGGTCAGGAGTTCAAGACCAGTCTGGCCATCATGGTGAAACTCTACCTCTAGTAAAAATACAAAAATTAGCCAGGCATAATGGCGCACGCCTGTGGTCCCAGCCTCCCAGGAGGCTGAGGCAGGAGAATCGGTTGAACCGGGGAAGGCGAAGGTTGCATTGAGCTGAGATCTCGCCACTGCACTCCAGCCTGGGTGACAGAACGAGACTCCATCTCAAAACATAAAATAAAAAAATAAAATTTACAGAAACTATGTAATGATACATCTCTGGTAACCAGTTTATTTAAAGAAACTCAATTCGTAGAAGGAAATAACAGAAAAGGGCTCGATACATAGGTTTTTAATCACGACTTTCATCCGTGTTTTGTCAAATCATCATTTCCATCCCTTAGTGTCATTTTAGGCAGATTTGATAACTCTCAGGTCACTTTTAGTTATTAAAATTGATCTAAACTAATCTCGTAAGGTATTCAAAGCTCTTCTCTTCTTCCTCAGCATAAGTTTGGATTGTATATGAGCATGTATGTATGTGTGTACATACATGAGCTCTGAAATACCATCTCAGGGCCTAGATCTCTTTTGGGGGGCCGCAAAAGGGAGAGGAAGCTTAAGAGATCTGCTTCCATGGCTGGTGGTCTTCTGTTGGTGATGGGGGTCACCAGTATCACACTGGTGTCTTGTGATTCTCTCTGAAACTAGGGCCCTCTATTAGTTTTAGGCCACCAAGGGGCCATACAGTGTCTGGGCCTATTAAAAACCAGTACCCCCAAGGGCAACTTCTGGGATGCCAGGAATGTTTTATACCTTGTCCTGCTCTCCCCAAGACATCCATAGTCAAGCTCCTCAAGGCCAGGGAACCACAGAGAGCAGACTGTTGGAGAACCTGTGCTAAACACATGTGGATTTACAGGGCTCAGTTGCTATCCAAGCATACACAGGCACCAGGATGCCTTCCCTGATTCAGTGTAGCCTCTGTTGAGGCCTTGCTTTTGCCCCGAGATGAATCTGTTCTGCTCTATTAAACTAAGGACTGGCCAACGAATCCCAATGAATAATTGATCAGTAACTACATCAATGCTCTTTCAGTGGTGAGCTAAGGAAAGAGGGAAAAGGAGAAATGAGCCTCTCCCATCTGGGTTGTAATATCTAATGGTGAAAGAAGCAGCATGCAAAGCCTTTATTCACATAGCTATTTTGTTCTGTTTGGTTGGTTGTATGGAGGAAGGAAGAGTGGAGGGGAAGGAAGACATGCCTGTTCTAATCAAAGACTTTTTTATTTTGTAAAAACAGAGGGTCACCCAGAAGCTACTTCTGGAGCTGGGGTGGTCTCCTCATCTGACCATGTCCACTCCTCGCAGCTTTACCTGTCCATCCGTACTCACTTTTATTAAGCCTTTGGGTAGTGGTTCTGTCTCACGCTGACCTGTATTGTAAAATGGTTCCTACTCACCAAGGTAGCTGTGAGCATTCTACCTCCAAGAGGAAGCTGTCCTTAAAGAGAGCATCATTCGTGCCAAATGGCAGGTTTGCTTGGCTCTTTGGACCTTGTCAGGGACCTTCCATTTCATAGGAAATTTTCCACATCCTAATTTCATTCAATTCAGAAACTCTAGGCAGTTAAGACTCCATTCATTAGGGACTCTTATCTGAAATTCTGTTTTCAGAGTCAAATATCTGTGGGTGGTAATTGATTTAAATTGTATGTATTTTGGAATAATTCATGGAATACTTTGATTAAGCACTACAGCCCATATATTAATGCAATTTCAATATTTTTTATGTTGCTGAGATGTTCAGTAATTGATCTGTGTTCTGTGCTGCTAAGACATTTTCAATTTGTATCATACAGAAGTTACAGAACTGAAATATAATTCATATGAATCACACTTACACCTTGTAAATGTAGAGGCCCAGCTTCTGTCAAACGTTGAAAATGACATTTTGAGGGTCATGTAGGATATCCAGGGGGAGATTTTATTTATTTATAGGTCAAAAAGATGCCCTTCTTTTTATCAATTGCAACATGTACTTATTTTATGTTTTTCCCTCTTAGTTTAAATTTTCATGACACTAATTTCCCTTTCAAATATGCAGTCATCATTTGCATCTTATGTCATTCACGTTAGCTAAAATTCGTCTCCCTTTAAAATATTATCATACAAACCAGAATAAAATGATCCTTGGCTTTCTATTTGTTTAGATTGTAAGGATCAACCTGGTTTGCAATCCACAGAGGAAAGAACAAATAAGTCATCTTCTCAGACAAGAGGCACATGGATCTGAAATATTATAACATGCAGGTCAAACATAAATGCACTTGAGGGTGATTGTAGACATGCAATTAGTACGACGCACAGCTTCATGGTATATAGTAAAAGCAGCAGCTTCAAATCACATAAAACTCTCTAACTAACTAGACACCTTGCAAAAGTTCCTGAAATGCTTCAGAATGTCTCTCACGAACAGTGATCACAGTGATGGCTTTAAAGAACTGCCATGTCCCTTCACAGAAGAGAGGGGCTGGCTCATTTTTCCCAACTGGTTGTAAGGCCCTAGTTTCCCTTTAGAAAAAATTATAGAAATCAAAAAATGTGAAAGAGAGATTACTAAGAATCCCAGGAACCTAACTGAGCACAGTGGCTCATGTCTGTAATCCCAACACTTTTGGAGGCTGAGGCGTGAGAAGAATTGCTTCAGCCCAGGAGTTTGAGACCAGCCTGGTCGACACAGTGAAACAACGTTGTCTCCAAAAAAAAAAAAAAAAAAAAGAAAAAAGAAAAAAGAAAAAGAATTCCAGAAATCGAATCAGAAATCTACCATTAGCATCCTTGAGCCACTAGTGATGCAAAGATATTGACAAATTGACAGATCATGTGCATTACCTCACCTTACCCCTTTAGATGACTTAACAGAGGCACTTTCTCTAGAGATATTGAGAACTGACCAGGATTGCTGAATCTCTTTCCTTCACAGGGAGTTTTAAAGAACAGAACCTTCCCAGTTTTCTAACCTTCACATCCCTGCTTCCTACTCAAACGGATGTTGATGAAGACCTAAATGTCTCTCAGCCAGAGCTATTACTACTGTTGCTACAGAGACCCCTCAAGAAACCTTCTGTGTGATGGGTCATATACCTTTAGCACTCTTATTCTGTTCAAGGTGTCTATTAATTTTCCTTCTATCTTTCTTATATATTGAATAGTTTATCCTGGGCTTTAGCTTTTATGTGCTCTATCTCAGATTCTTTTTGTCATGCAAAGATAAAATGCTTACATTTTCCTACCCTCAATTAATAGATCTGGCTACTTGGCTGTAAAGCACATTCAGTTTTCCATCTGGAAACATCAAGAGGTGAGACATTAATATCTCTGCAGTCTACTCAACCACCTTCTTCTCTGTGGTGGATGCCTATTATGTCGATTTAGCTCAGCTGGGACTACAGTTCCAGAATTCTCTTCCTTGCACGGGACTACAGTTCCAGAATTCTCTTCCTTGCACAGCAGACTTGGATCAGAAGAGAAATGTGGTTTGAGATTTAGAAGGCAGGAATGAAACAATCGTATTTTTTTATGCTCAGAAGGTTGCTGCAGGCTGGGCATGGTGGCTCACACCTGTAATCCCAGCACTTTGGGAGGCCAAGGCAGGCAGATAACTTAAGGTTGGGAGTTTGAGACCAGCCTGGCCAAAATGGCAAAACTGCATCTCTACTAAAAATAGAAAAATTAGCCAGGTGTGGTGGCGTGCACCTGTAATCCCAGCTACTCAGAAGGCTTAGGCAGGAAAATCACTTGAACCTGGGAGGCAGAGGTTGCAGTGAGCCAAGATTGTGCCACTACACTCCAGCCTGGGTGACAGAGTGAGACTGTCTCAAAAAAAAAAACCAAAAAAAACCAAAATGGCAACAACAAGATTGCTGCAGGCACAGTGTGCTGTTGCTGCTCACACATGTTATCACTGCTCTAGCTGCTCCACTGGCTGGCAAGCGGTAGTAGCTGGGCCCGCAGCTCCTCCAGGTCCCACCAGGTCTCCTCTGTCAGCTTCTATGATTCCAGGGTGAAGGGCATCACTCTCCAAAGGAGAGGCCGCCAGCTTCCCCTGCAAGTCACCTGCATCAGAGAAGTTGTAGGATTGCAGGGAGGTAAGAGTCCAATACGAGGCCAGCCCATCCTCATGGTTCCACCTCACCCTCACATGCTCCAGTTTGTCTGTGCTTCCCCTGCTTCATACCTATCTTTCCTTCCTGACGACCTGTCCTTCTGACTTCAAGCTCCAGTATCAGAGGAAGAAGTAATAGCTTCACAGAGATGGTTTAGCCAGCTCCTACGTATTGCATACGGTTAAATCCCTCATTACTGAACCATCCCTAGTGATTCTGCTTCTCTGATAAAACCATGAAGGATACACTAACTTTACTTGGTTGGGTACATTTTGGCAAATGAAGGAAAAATGTTTTAGGCTACCACTGTTAAGGTCAAGATTAATTGTTCCTTAGCCTCACCGAGATGGGAAATCTCCAATCACATTCAAACATTTCTGGTTGGGTCAAACACCTGGAATTTGAACCAATAGTGTCATCAGCTTCCATCCTGGTGCTCAGAGCAGTTTAAAGTTTTCTGAGCAACCTAGCTTTAGGTTCTCTGACATGAACAGCCCCAGGATGGGCTAATGGAGTACTGAGTGGCCAGGGTATAACCTTGATCTTTGGGAGTGCCCTGCTGCCAGTCTTCCACCAAAGCGGGGAAGCTCAGGACACAGAATCACTCTGACCTGCCCAATCAGCCTCCCCACCACGTTATAAGACATGTGAAGAGGCCTCCTCAGGGAAATAGTAATGTCACTGGCGGACAAGCAGTGAGAATTTACTTGACTCTTCTACATGGGTGGGTCTGTTGATTTTAAAGGATATGTTTTAAATTATGAGAGTTGCCCAGAAGCCACAAAAATACATTTTCCTTACATGCATGCATATGTAGGGAGCTGATGAGGTCTTGAAAACACTTCAGGAAGTTTTCAATATTGTTCTGATGGCTGAACTTTCCTAAAGATAATGGCTTAAAAAATTAGAGTTTCTTTTGGATTAAACTTAGATATACCAGTCATAACTTGTACAGGATCTTAAATAACCCCAAATCTAGACAAATAAGAGAAGTTTCCAAACACAGCTGCTTGACAATGAAGATTGCCAATGTTCTTGCTATGGGGAGAAGGAAATGATATTTTCAGAAATCTGTTTTCTTTCCTCCAGAGTTTGTTTTTCACTTAATCCAAGAATGAAGACTTAATGTTTTGTTAACTCTAAATATCCATCCCTGAAGTAATTTTGGGGCAATCTTATTGCCTTAATCATCCTTACACCTTGGCTAAATTATGCTGGACTCTGCATAAGTTCAACCAAATAGAGTAATATGAATCTAGCTGGGCCTACAGGTGATCAATGACATGATCCTGCCAGGAAAATGTCATAGAAATGGAAACCAAAGGTAACCCAAATAAAGAAGATCACATATTTTGATATAAACTCCCACATTCAAGTTTGTCAGTATGGATCGTTAGAGCCTTGGGTTTCCCCAGGTCGTTCTAGCCTGAGGATACACATGGGCTCAGGCATGTGGGGCTGTTAGGGTGTTCACATATGTCACCTCTTCTTTATCCATCTGAGCTCAATAACAATTAAGAGCTAGACAGAGGTGTCAGATAAGTGAAAATCAAAATTATCATCTTTATTACTAAGAATGGCTTAGTAATAAAGACAGATTACTTGTACAACAACAGGAGACTTATCCGTATTATCCCCAGTCACAGGCACAGCTGGACAACCTCAGTTTTCACCCGTAAGGTCAAGGTCTGCCCCGCTGAGCTTCCTGTATGATCAGAAACAGATGAGTCAGAAGATCCCAAAGGAGAGGAGGAAGAAGGGGAATGAGGTTAGCATACCCAGCTCCTCCCTCCCAAATCCCCCATCAGAGAAATCACTCCTCCTCCCATGGGGAGAAGGGAGAAAGGGGTGGGGAGAGAGGCCACAGTGCTGCTCTAGGGCGGCTCCTCCATGTGACACTGCTCTCCTTCCTGGGCTCTGTGGCTGCCTCCTGCCAGACCCGAACACAGCTCTGGAGCTCTGGAGCCTTTAAGGAACTAAAAGTGGCTGAATGATCTTTAGCAAAGCAGGATAGAATGTTTCTACTCTTTGGATCCTATGTTTTCATGGCAGCATTTTGCTAACAGAACCCCAATTCTGCTCAGGCTAAATATTAAACATAAAATATTTAGCAAAGTACCAAGCCAAATATTTTCTTTCCCAGCTTCTCTTGCACCAAGGGATGGCCATATGACACAATTTGAACAATGAGACATAAACAGAAGTCTCCTGAGTTTTCCTGTGAAATATTTTGATTTCTAGATTTTAAGAAAAAGACAGTAGTGTCCTCCCTTCACACTCCCTTCTTCCTGCCTTGGATTGGAAATGATGGAGTTATGGCAATCTTACAATCAGGAGAAGTCAAAGATGAAGGCAAAAACTGGCTAATTAAGAATGGTGCAGCAGATATGTAGAAAGAGACTAGATGCCTGGTGACACTTCGCTCAGCTGAGGTGAATGAACATCAGCCTACTTTTGGGATTCCTTGTCATGTAGGACAACAGAAACAAAGTAGAAAGATATTTGTATAAGACACTCTGAGATGGGTTTTCTGTTACTTACAGATACTTGCCACCTGAACTGCTAACAACCTTGCTTCCCCAAGCAGCTTCAGGGGAGCCCTTCCTAAAGCAGTAACGAATGAAGGAGGCTGCTTACCCTCTCTCTCCCCACAAACCCCAGCCAGCCAACTCTGGTAGTCACAGGAATGAAACATGCTGCAGACATTTCACTCCATCTTGTCATCATCTATTCACAGTGTGGAGCAGAACCTCTTCCTTCACTCTTACCACTCACTTGCTATTTAATTTCTACTCTCACTGTGTATACTAGACTCACCTTTTCATCAATAGTAACCACAGAGCCCATTCTCCTGGCTTTCTTTTTTAACCTAAGAGTCAGCTGATTTGCTACATCATCCACCATTTGGAAAAAACAGGATAAGCGAGAATTGTGTCTCTAATAAAGAGTCCATTTATAACAAGCTATTTTGTCACCAACTTCTCCAGCTTGTAAGCAATCAATTCCCTTCTCAGCAAATTCAATAACTCGTTATCGTCTTCAAAACCAGATTTGTAGTGAGTAGAGACAGAGGCTGAATTGAAGAGACTCCCAATACTAAGTCGATAAAGAAATCACATTCTCACCACCAAGGTAGTGCATCCTTAAATCCCAGAGAGCTCTATCTTACATAATTTAGTAGTATTCTATGTTAATGAAAGAAAGTCAGAGGATGTGGGGAAAGAGAAAAACAACTACCATATCATACCCTAATTGGCTGCTTCCTGAGACACACAAACAAATGTTTATCAGCCAAAGAAGATTACGAGCCAAAGAAGGTGTCTGGATTTTTGCTTTATTTTAATGAGAAATATTAAATACTATTTTTTTTTACTAAGAAACATTAACAGATCTAGGGAACTTTGCAACAAGTAACCACAAACTGGGTTATCTGTTTTTCACTTCCTTCTATAAAAGTATAACATTCTTTTAAATTAATCTGTATATTTATTATAATGTTTCCTGTTGCTTTGTGGTTTCTGTACGCTTGCCTAACTCCGTGTGTCAATGATTCTTATTTTATCAATTAAAATGCATTAAGCTGCAAGTAACAGAAAAACCTATCAAAGGGTTCTAACCACAAGAGCTTTTTTTGTGTGTTTAGCTATCAAGAAGTCTTGAGGCAGTCTGTCCTTGAGGTTGTTTAATGACTCGGTGATGTCATAAAGTACTAGATTTCTTTCTATCATTCCACCCTGCCTTCCCCAAAGAGTTGGTGATGTTGCAAGATGATTGTTACAGCTCTCAGAAGCAATCCTCATAAGCAAAAAGGCAGAGCAAGGTTGGGCATGGTGGCTCAGGCCTGTAATCGCAGCACTTTGGGAGGCTGAGATGGGAGAATTGCTTGAGGCCAGGAGTTCAAGACCAGCCTGAGCAACATAGTGAGACCACCTTCTCTATCTATAGAAGAAAAAAAGGTAGAGCAAAAAGACAAAGACAAAATGGATTCTCTTCATGGGTCTCACTTATTTAGTGAAGAAACATTTTTGCAGCAGCATTCCAACAGACTTCCCTTTGAATTTCACTGGCCAGGAACATATCACATGGCAACCACTGGCTGCAAACAGGGCTGGGAAATTTACTATGGCATCTTCAACCTTTCTGTAGAAAAAGGAAGGGAGCTGGGAACACTTGCTAAGTAGGCCACAAACATTGCCTGCAAGAGGATAAGCTTTCAGAGATCAGCAATTGCATATTTTTATTTGTTGTCTGTTTCCTTTTGTAATAAAACAATATATAAAAACAATAATAACAGTAAATATACTCAAATAGTACTTTGAAAAAAAACACCCATAATTTCATCCCATTGCAATGATTTTTTGTGTTTGTATTATCTTCCATTCACTGTCCATAGTCCATATTCATAAATATTTTATCTATTAGTAATCTAATTTTGTATTCTTTTCCATTTAATACTACATCATAATCATTTTTTCTGTTGTCCATAATTATAATTTTAAAGAAAAATAATTTTTCATGGAGATTTTAATGTCACAGTTTACTTAGCCGTTTCACTGTTATTGAACCCATAGGTGATTCTCCATTTTTTGGCTAAAATAGATTATACTATAATATTACCTTTGTGTGTGGAAAGCTTTTCAGCTAGTAGATTATTTTAAGGGCAAAAAAGGTTATAAATATTTTTATAACATAAAGTGTTATACTCTCACACAACCATAATGACTGTTGTAGTTTAAAATTTTACTAGCAACATATATATAATATATATTTTATACATATATAATAACTTACATATATTATATATATACACACTTTTGCAAATTTAATCAGAACCTCACCAACATGATATTTTAGATGACTTTTTTTCTGATTCATCAACTATAAAATGTTACTTTATATTTTATTTCTGACCTTTTCCTTTTTCCTGGTGGGAAGACCAGGTAACTAGTCCAGCCAGGGTGAATCTTATAGGACCATAGCTGGGGCAAGATAGTTTCTTACCTAAAGCTAAGTTAAACCAAAATGCTATAGTTATTATCTTTGAAGGGTATATGTAAAAGAGATTTGGGCTGATTTTTATTTTCCTCCTTGTTTTTTTCTAATAGGAAAATGAATTGGATTACTTAAGTAATGAGTATAATGCAAATGCTGCTTAGGTAATGACTATAATGCAAATGCTACTTAGGTAATGAGTATAATGCAAATGCTGCATTATACTCATTACCTAATAGCATTTGCTATTTTTCTGTTAATGAGCTGAACTGTGGTATAGGTGTGTAAGCTGAAGAGGAGGGTCCAGGCAGGTCACCCAAACATGGAGAGCCAGGGAGCCGAGCAGGAATCCAGGGAGGTAAGGCCAAGGCTCAGGATGTCCACGGAGACCAGAGCAAGGAACAGCACATCCGAGTGGGCGAGGGTTCCTGTGTGCTCCTGAAGCAAGGCAGGAGACAGACCAGACCATTAAAAGGCCCAGGGAAGAACAGATTGTTTCTTTGATTGCTGCAAAGGCATTTCCTTGCTGTTCTTATTAATCTGGAGTAAATTATCTACACACATTCTACAACATGGCTTTGTCATTATAATATTGATTTATTCATTCCTTTCACAAATATTTATCAAGCACCTCTCATGTGCCAAGTACTGCTGTAAGCACTGGGAAGCAGCATTAAAGAAAAAAGACAAAAGTCCCTAACCAGAGAGGAAGGTTACTTGTTATAAAGAAATAAAAAGGGGCCGGGCACGGTGGTTCACGCCTGTAATCCCAGCACTTTGGGAGGTCGAGGTGGGTGGATCACTTGAGGTTAGGAGTTCGAGACCAGCCTGGCCAACATGGTAAAACCCTGTCTCTACTAAAAATACAAAAATTAGGGAAGGAAGGAAGGAAGGAAGGAAGGAAGGAAGGAAGGAAGGAAGGAAGGAAGGGAGCCAGTTCCCACAGGATCTCACAGGCCATGCTAAGAACTAGGGATTGTTACGTTCTCCGTATGAGCAAATGTAGTTGGGTTAGCAATGACTTACACTTTATGTATTTATTTATTTATTTTTGAGACACGGTCTCGCTCTGTCAGTCTGTTGCCCAGGCTGGAGTGCAGTGGTGCGATCTCAGCTCACTGCAACCTCCATCTCCTGGGTTCAAGCGATTCTCCCGCCTCAGCGTCCCGAGTAGCTGGGATTACAGGCACCCACCGCCATGCCCGGCTAATTTTTGTATTTTTAGTACAGACAGGATTTCACCATGTTGATCAGGCTGGTCTCAAACTCCTGATCTCAAGTGATCCTCTCACCTCAACCTCCCAAAGTGCTAGGATTACAGGTATGAGCCATTGTGCCAGATCAATTTACCCTTTAAAGGAATCACAAGTTGCTGTTTGGAGAAGAGATTTGTTGGGAGGAGGGATGTTGTGTAGGAAGCAAGAGTGAAAGCTAAGAGACCAATTGGAAGTTGCTGTAATAGCCTAAGTGAGGAATGCTAGAGGTTTGGACTAAGATGGAGGCAATGGAACTGGTGAACAATAGTCAGATTCTGAATCATTTTTAAACATAGAGATGACAGAATTTGCTGATAGATTAAGTGTGGCATGAAAGAGAACAGGAGACAGCATGAAAGAGAACAGGAGGCAGCCACCATGAATCCTAGGTTTTTGGCCTGAACGGCTAGGTTGTGAATCAGTAATGCCTTTTACCATATTTTAGAATGCTGGAGGAGGAGGAGGTTTGGAGGAGAAAATCAAAAGTTCGCATATCTTAAGTTTGAGATTAGATACCCAAGTGAAGATGTTGAGTTGGCAGTTGACTATATTTGTTTGGAGTTGAAGAAAACCAAAATATTTCACCCAAAATACATGGTCCAAGCCCCTATTCTTTCTGTAAACCTCAAGATGGTATATAAGCTTCTGAATCCCATAGGAGGTTCAGGAGTAATTACTCTGTGGTTCTCTCCCATGCACATTAATAAATTTATAGCCATTTATCCTATTAATCTGCCTTTTATCAGTTGATTTTTCAGCAAACCTTCAGGGAGTGAAGGGGAATTTTTTTTTTTTTTTGGCCCCTACAGAGTTCAGAGCAGAGACCTGGAGGGGAGGTTTAATTTTAGAATCACCAACATATAAAGCCACAAGCCTGGATGAGATCACCAAGGCAGTCAGTGTAGGTGGAGAAGAGAAAAGGCTCTTCAACAAGCAGAGGTTGGGGAGGTGAGGAGAGTTCAGCAAAGGTCACTAATAAGTAGCAGTGGCTGGAGAGATGGGAAGAGAATCAGACGAGTTTGGGGTCCCGGAAGCCCCGCAAGGAAATTGTTTCAAGAATTGCTTCAATTAACTATGTCAAATGCTGCTGAAAAGTCTAGTAAGATAAAGACTAAGAATTGATCTGTAATTATGCTCTGGAGCTTGCTAAACTCTCAAATGCCTCAAGTAGATAAAAAGCCATGAAAAAGCAAACCCAGCAATTGTCTCTCCCTGTACTATTCCAAAATGACATCGACAGGATAGATTTGTCTTTATGTAAATAAGGATCCATTGGCTGGTACCTGGAAATCCCAAAATTTGTTGTCATTCCTTGTTTGAGATGTAGGTTATTGTACTTGGGCATGCCTGAGGTTGCTTTTCAGATTAAATGGATAATAAATGCAAAGTGTAAGGAACAGGGTCCAGTGTAGTGTAGATGTTGGCGGCGTTAGCTATAATTGTAACTCGACAGTATTGAGTCTTGCTTCATTTTTAGCTCTCATTTCAGGCTGTTGCTTAGCAGTGTTCCAAAGATAAGCACTAAGTTTTCTGGAAATGATTGAAAGTAATCACAGCATCTTACAGCTGAAAGGACTGTAGAAGTTAATTACTCCATTCTCTTCAGTTGGCAGATAACAGAGATCCAGCAATATTAGATGACTTTCTGAAGGTTAGCTACCACATTAGTGGAGGGACTCAGACTAGAGCATGGGTGTCCCAGTGCTGAGTCCTTTAAAATTAGTTATAGTAGAGCTCACAATTGGAGAATTGAGCATTCCATGACAAGGGACTTTTTTCAGATGACTGAAGCTTATTCCTTTTAACCACCAAAACTTAATAACAACCATTATCACTTTTTTTTTTCTTCCAGACAGGATCTCACTCTGTCTCCCAGGCTGGGATGCAGTGGCATGAACATAGCTCACTGCAGCCTTGACCTCCTGGGCTCAAGCAATCCTCCTGCATCAGCCTCCTGTGTAGTTGGGATCACAGGCGTGCACCAGCATGCCCAGCTAATTTTTTTATTTTTTGTTGAGACAGGGTCTCACTTTGTTGCCCAGGCTTGTCTTGAACTCCTGGGCTCAAGCAATCCTCCCACCTCTGCCTCACAAAGTGCTGGGATTACAGGCATGGCCCATTATCACTTTTGATTAAAATCCTCTACTGCTTTTGATTAAAACATGTCTATACAATGAAGTCATTCTAATCTAGAGGGTTTGAAGTCCTCAAAGTCAGTTTTTCTTGTTACTTTCTTTACCAGTTGCTTTAAGGTTTGAGCAATCCCTTTGACTTGTAAAGCAAATGACAACTTAATTCGATTGTGTTACAATATTATCAGATTGATCCTTTGATATTTTTTGAAAAGACAGAAATCCAAGAACAGCAACAAGCATGTGATTCTGCCTCTAAGAGCATCCACGATTTTAAGTATACATTTATTTATATTATACATGCATATAGAACTATAAATGTATTATTGTGGAGATCTCAGTGCACAACGCAGACCTGTAACTCATGAAGAAATTAACCTTAAATGAGTCAGTATTACCTTTCCTTCAGTGTGTCAGAGTACATATGGAGCTTTATATATATATATATATTTACTGAAATAATTTTTGTCTCTATAGCATTTTTTCATAGAGAAATTCTGAATCACTTCATTAAACTCCTAAATACTGCATGAGAAATGAGAGATCAGATATTATTATTCCTATTCTAGAAATACAAAACTAACGTCCCCAAATATTAGATATGCACAGGGGACCTATACAAACAGGAACAAAGCCCCTTTCTCTCTTCTGCTTCTCATCAGTCAATCTTTGAGTCTCATCCAAGAGTCTGAATTTAGCCTTCAGTATTTTCAGCTGTTCCAGGAATAGACCCTGCCAGAAAACAAAGCCCACTGATTCCTGGTGCTCACAAATCCACCCTCGACTCTTCCCATCACTAGTGACCACAGGCTCCGCCTCTGCCTTCTCTAAGGTCATGTGATCTCCGTTGCTACAACAACCGAGAATCCATCACATTTTGCTCTGGGGTAGCTCTTAAGTGTAAATTGCTAGTCACACTCTATCCAGTCTTACTAGATCAACTGAGCTGTGCACGTCCAGAGAATGGGGGAGCAAGAAACAGGCCAGAAAAAGTTTCCTTCCTTCCCTATCTCGATTTTGGTGCCTTTGATTAATGATAGATGTTGTTGGATGCTGGGTATGTGGTATGTCCTAAAGGAACAGCTGACATCTGGATAATTACAGGATGGTTGGGAGGATTAAAATTAAAGGAAGTAATTATTGTGACGTGCTTAGCAAAGGGCAAAGCATCTTGCTCAAAGGAAATGTTCACTAAATGTTCGTGGTGTGATTATTAGTATTTGTAGCTTCGTTGGTAAAATGTGGGAAGAGCTAATAATCATAGTTGTGGTTTATTTAATTTATAAATAAATTAAATTTATTTATTAAATTATACTTACATCTCACGATAAGATTACAAGGTCATTATCATTTTCCTCATTCCACACGTGAGAATGTAGCAGACTTGGGATGTGACAAAGGTTTCTCTGACTTTACCAAGCTTGTTCATTCATTTATTCATTCACTCGACAAATACTCACCAAGTTCCTGTGTACTAGGCACTGAGCTAGGCAAAGGTGAAAAAGACAGACCTGGTCCCTGCTTTCATGAGATTTAGAGTCTAAGGAGGGGTACAGGCAGGTGAAACCCAAATGTCATCACGTTCCAAGGTCAGCCCCCATTCTTTTTTTTTTTTTTTTTTTTTTGAGACGGAATTTCTCTCTTGTTGCCCAGGCTAGAGTGCAATGGTGCGATCTCAGCTCACCGCAACCTCCGCCTCCCGGATTCAAGCTATTCTCCTGCCTCAGCCTCCCGAGTAGCTGGGATTACGCATGCGCCACCACACCCAGCTAATTTTTTTTCGTATTTTTAGTAGAGACGGGGTTTATCCATGTTAGTCAGGCTGGTCTCAAACTTCTGACCTCAGGTGATCCACCCGCCTTGGCCTCCCAAACTGCTAGGATTACAGAAGTGAGCCACTGTGCCCAGCCTGGCCCCCATTCTTGCCCTGACACTTTGAATGCAAACCTTTTAAAATAAATCCACTCATATTAGGCAAATAAGAAAAGCTATTTCACTGAAGAATGCATAGGGAAAACCTCAGGAGGTACAGAGTTTACACTCCACAACACATAGCTCTCCTCTCCCCGTAAGCATCTTTGTCCTCTGCATCACCTCAATCCTTAAACTCCTCACCCCACCCTACTCTACCCTCAGTCTCTCAGCCCAGGTAGAGGCTGCTGGCCCAGGATCGTCCCTTTCACACTATGACTCTCCCCTCTGTATGCCAGACCACTTCAGCCTTACATCTGAACTCTTAAAAGGGTCCTCCCATTAGCCAGATACCCCCTCCTTAGAAGATGACCACCGAATTATAAAGAAACTATTTTTTCTTCTTGTTCCATAAGCAAACAGGCAGTCCTACTGTGCTGAAAAGACACAAGGAAAGACTTCAAATCTGGACATAGGGCAGCAGGGCAGGTGTCCTGGAAAAAGTGATATCTAAACTATGCTAGGGAGTATAGTTGCCTCCTCAACATCCATTGTTCAACTCTTGGTAACTATTCCAATTTGGTGGTGGAGGCAGGAGTAGGGGATATGCATACCTTCTACATGACGCCTACCTGCTTTGGGGAGAGGCAATGCCGTGGCTCTTAGCACAAGCCTAAGCTAAATGGTATCATTTCATACCCCTAGCCATACTTATTGGGTCAGGGGTGAGTAAGGACCTAATCTGGGCAATGAGACTGAAAGAGATGTTTGTGGGAAAGGGGGAGGCAGCATGGGGGAAGGGGCAGTCTAGGAAAGAAACAATTTCTTTCAAAGAACACAAATAAACAAGAGTGCCGGCGTCACTACCGCTCACCATCTGATCACCACGTGGACCACCAGCCTCAGCAGGAAGGCTATGCTGCCCAGCAGAGTAAGAAGCTGAAGAGAAACTGAACTCTTCCTGACCTGGTAGAGCTGCTAAACCAACCCTGGTAATGTGAGCCTTTCTTATCTAAGGCAGTAGAGCTTCAGCTGACTGTTACTTGCAATCAAATCCAACCTAACTGATACAGAAGGTGAGATCTGATCAACAAGTGGCCAATAACCTTGAGAAGGGCGTAGGCAAGTCTCAGATCTACAACTTAAAGAAGTTGTCCATTTAAATGAGGCAGTTTGATTTTCAAGAAAATCATAAAATACAGGACAAGTCCTACATACCCTTAATTACCAGCTAGATAATACAACAAGAAAAGATATCTGATTTATAGTCACACACACCATATCACAAATTTCCAAACTTAATTTTTAATTATTATTATTATTTGAGATGGAGTCTCACTCTGTCACTCCAGGCTGGAGTGCAGTTGTGTGATCTCGGCTCACTGCAACCTCTGCCTCCCAGGTTTGAGTGATTCTCCTGCCTCAGCCTCCCGAGTAGCTGGGATTACAGGCACATGCCACGTGCCCAGTTAATTTTTGTATTTTTAGTAGAAACAGGTTTCACCATGTTGGCCAGACTAGTCTCGAACTCCTCACCTCGGGCGATCCGCCCACCTAGACCTCTCAAAGTGCTGGGATTCCGGGTGTGAGCCACCATGCCTGGCCAGATTTCCAAACTTAAAATGGCTAGGAACTATGTGATGTGACTTTTAAAAAGAAAACCTTCAAAACTTTGTTAGAACATTTAAAAGATGATTCAAGTAAGTGGAGAAATAGAGCCAATTCCAAGATAAAAAGACTTAATAACACTAAAATGTCTATATGACCAATAGAATTAAATTTGAATTAAATTGAATTTATAGATTTAATACTATTCTGATCTAAAGCCTAGTAAGTATTTTTTTTTAATGGAGTTTTGCTCTTATCTCCCAAGCTGGAGTGCAATGGCATGATCTAGGCTCACTGCAACCTCCACCTCCTGGGTTCAAGCAATTCTCCTGCCTCAGCCAGTAGCTGGGATTACAGGCATGTGCCACCAGGCCCAGCTAATTTTTGTATTTTTAGTAGAGATGGGGTTTTGCCATGTTGGCCAAGCTGGTCTTGAACTCCTGACCTCAAGTGATCTGCCAGCCTTGGCCTCCCAAAGTGCTGGGATTACAGGCGTGAGCCACTGTGCCCAGCCTAAAACCTAATAAGTATTTTTAATTTCACAAAATTATCCTAAAATGTATGTATGAAAATAATAAGAATACCATCAACAGGGAGTATAAAAAAGACACAGAAAAGTTTCTACCAATATCAGCCATTAAAACTTGCTATATAATAAAATAAGAATTAAAATAATGCACTAACTAGATCATAGATTAATGGAACCAAATGAAGAGACTAAAAAGGCCTAATAATTTACAGTAGCATTTTTGTGAAATAAAGTTTAACTATAAATAATTAAATATATGTACACACTTAAAATATATCTATCAAAAATAGCTTTTGAAAACAGCAGGAGGGAAGGAAAGTGTGTACAGACACGCCTAGTTGTCTGACTAAATGGCCTTTCCCAAACGCCTTCTCTCCTGCTGTTTTTTCTATAGAAAGAGAAATATGAAATACTTTCCCAGCCACCATTGCGCTAGGTGTGACCTTATGACACAGTTCTGACTAATAAGACATAAGAGGCCTGGGCACGGTGGCTCATGCCTGTAATCCCAGCACTTTGGGAGGCCAAGACAGGTGGATCACCTGAGGTCAGGAGTTCGAGACCAGCCCGGCCAACATGGTGAAACCCCGTCTCCACTAAAAATACAAAAAAAAAATTATCTGGGTGTGGTGGTACGTGCCTGTAATCCCAACTAATCGGGAGACTGAGGCAGGAGAATTAGTTCAACCTGGGAGTCGGAGGTTATGGTGAGCTGAGATCTCGCCACTGCACTCTAGCCTGGGCGACAGAGTAAGACTCTGTCTCAAAAAATAAATAAATAAATAAAAATAAAGACATAAGAGAAAGTCTGCTGGTAGGTTTGGAAGAAAATGTTTGTTTTCCTGATTAAAAGAACTGACGTGGCTCTTACTGCCCTTCCTTCCTGCTTTGAATATAGAGGCTCAGCAGCCATCTTGGAATCATGAGGAGGTAGCATGAGAGAAGGGCCCAGAGCATTCCAGTCTCCAGGACCCACATCACAGAGACACCAAAATGCTGCCAACCCTACCAACTGCGACTTCCTATAAAGTGAGAAGAAAAAGCCCCTTTTTGTTTAAGCCACTGTTAGTTGGATTTTGTTACTTGCTATCAAATAATATAACTGATACAAGTTTTATTTGATAAGAGGTTTTGGAATTTGTGATAGCAATTTTAAAAGTAACTAAGTACTTAATATACTCTAGGTGGATTAAGTTAACTTTTTATGTTGAAAAAAAGAACAGAACATTGAATAAAATATTTAGCACATCTGTGAGGAAGAACTTTTTCTTGAAATTTTATAAGGAATTGTAAAGAAAGAGATAGGTACACACATGTATACATTTTAAACTTCTGTACAATGTAAAAAAGCAAAAACAGAAGAAAACAAAATATAAAATATGAAAAATATATATCAAATACGATAGACTATAGGATCATAAATAAAATATACAAGGAGCTTATTCAAATGTATTAGCTGTATTTCATCATTTTGATAAATGGGCAAAGACTATGAACAAGCAATTCCCCCAAGGAGAAACAGAAACAGTAAATAAACACCTGAGAAAATGTTCAGCCCTAGGAGTAATCAAAGAAATGCAAATTAAAGCAACCTTGAAATATCATTTGATACCTACTAAACTAGCATTTTGAAAAATGATGGGTTGGCAAGGTGACAGCGCTATTGGCGCACTCATCCATTTCAGGTGGCACTACAAATTAGTACCACTTTTGAGAAAGCAATATGGCAAGCATGGAGAAACATCCATGCCCTTTGGCCCAGCAATTCCAGTTCTTGTAATTGGCACTAAGGATAGTAATTCAACCGAAGCAAAGGGACAGACTCCACACTGTTCTTCAGAGCCTCAGCAATTCAATTAAATCCAATTAACATATATTTTACACCTTCCTTCTGCCAAGCAAAGGCAACAGGGAGTCAGAAATTAATAAGACACTGTGTGTGACCTCAGGGGGCTCACAGTCTGGCAAAGGAGCCAGGTGGGTAAATACATTACAAAACAGTGCTGTAAGTCCAGCAGTGGAAACATAGATGAGGTCAGAAGAGCTTGATTTTCATGATGAGGTGGGTGAGGTAGGTAAGCAGAGAGCTGGCAGAGTTGAGAAAAGATTATGAAGGAGACCATGTAAAACTATGGGGAAAAAGGCACCAAGAATTAAAATAGCAAACAATTTAACTATATATTCACAGTAGTGTGGGAATATAAATTCCAGAGAAGGTTTGTGAAAAACCAAGATTTGCGGCAGAGTGAAAACAGAGCTCTATTGCCCTTGTTTGACACCTATAACAGCAAAAAAAGAAACATTCCTAAATGACCAACTTGGAGATATCTCTTTGTGAATTGTGGTACACAGTGGACCATAATTCCACTACAAGAATGAAAATTATGAAAATATATGACACTTAAAAATGTTTATGAAATGCAGGCAGGATACCTGGGGGAGAGCAGCTGGTCCTGACAGCACTTAGCATTGCTCCAAAATTCACCATTCCTTCTTTGTTATCATCACATTTCTTTTATTTAAATGTAATTAACACACCATAAAATTCACACATTGAAAGCACACAAGTCAGTGGTTTTAATATATTCATGAAGTTGTGAAACTATCACCTCCATCTAATTCCAGAATATTTTCATCAACCCAAAAAGAAATCCATTACCAGTCATTCCCCATTCCTTCCAGCCCTTGACAACTACCAACCTACCTCTTGTCTCTAGAGAACTGCCTCTTCTTCCCCTTCTCTGCCCTAATCCCTGCTGTCCTCCTGAGCCTGAGTAAGCAGGGGCCATGCCCTCTCTAATGCCCTGGCCCCGCATAGGGACACTAGCCCTCCCCAGAGTGCAACAGACGGAAGGCCAGTAAACACCACTCTATTAAAAGTTCAGACATACAAATGGGAATTCAACACTGTCATGCAAAACTAAGGAATCTGCCTTACAGAACACGTAGCTCACTCTGTGAGACCCAACCCTTCTAATTTAGTCCCTCCCTTCCTGAGGTGAGTACCACCTTAGCACCCACTTCCAGCTTCCCTCCCTGACATTTAGAGCCAAGACCACAGGACCGGTGGAACCGGTGTGAGGAGAGAGTGGGGCAGGACCAGGAAGCACCTCTTCCTCTGCTAATGCACGCAAAGGAAGTCTGGTGCTGCCTTTAATTTTTCCACTAAGGAACTTGGAGGAGGCATTGTGTGGTGGCTGGGTCTCTGGCTGCTTTCACCAAGCTTATTATCTGTTTTCCTCACCAGACTTATCTCCTGCAGGACGCTGTTTTGTTCTTTTTCCAGGGACATTAAGCGGAAGTGTAAAAGCTGTGGTTCTCTGTGGAAATGACCACAGATTATTTTCCTTGCCATTTGTATAGGCCTCCTTTTCCTGACCAGCTAGGGAGGACACTGCACATTTGATGGTGACATTTGACCTTTTTGTTTTATGTGCCGTGGTGCATTCTCTCTGGTAGCCTCAGAAGTTACAAGACCTTACCTCACTCTTCAGGAACAAACTACAGCAATGATTCATCTCTCTGTATTTCCCAGCCTCCTGATAAACTGCTAAGTGAAGATGGGGAGGAGCCATCACGTCGCGTTGATAGAATAGACACAGAGGGGACTTGGTGATGTATTAGGAGGAGCACTGACCAGAAGTCAGGGTATCTGGGTTTGGGTTTAACCTCCTTGGTTCTCAGTCCTCTCATGGATGAAGTGAGAGTTGGAATAGAAAGAGGTCACAGCAGGTCCTTCCAGATTTCAGTCCATAGTTTCTCTACATTAGTAAGGTGAAAATAAGGTCTCACTATTTAGGAGATTCTGGTCTCAGGATCCTTGAGGGAAGAGAAAGAAAAGGGAGGGAAAGGGAAAGGGACAAGAGGAGATGAGAAAGCACAGAAGGGAAGGAAGGGGAGAAGAGTTGGGGGCACAGGAAGAGAAGTGGGGATCCAAGGAGGGAGGGGAGGGAAATGGAGGGGATAAGAGGAGAAAAAAAGATGGGAAGGAGATGGGAAAGGAGGGGAATAGAGGAAAGGAAACAGAAGTAGGAGGGGCCAGGAGGAGAGACGAATGGCAAATTAGTAAGACTTCTTTAGAAAGAAGATGGGAAGTTCACAGGTTCTACAGACTGGAGAAAAAATTATAAATAAATAAATAAATAACAAAGAAAGAAGATGGGAAGAACAGAACTAACATTTCTCTTTTTTCTTCTTTTTTTTTTCTTTTGAGACAGGGTCTTTCTCTGTCACCCAGGCTGAACTGCAGTGGCATGATCACAGCTCACAGCCTCCCAGGCCCGAGCAATCCTCCTGCCTCATCCTCCAGAGTAGCTGGGACAACAGGTATGTGCCACCATGCCTGGCTAATTTTTTATTTCTTTAAATTTTTGATAGAGATCTTGTTATGTTGCCCAGGCTAGAACTAACATTTCTGATGTCCTACTAGATGTCAATTCTCAAAATACTTTGAAGGTAGATAATAATATTGTTCTTTTACCAACAAGGAAATGATTCCCCTTCCCTGCTTCTGAATGAACATTATGTTCTCCCTCAAGTGATTTTGGTGCAGTTGGGCAGGTTTTAAGATAAGCTGGGCTAAGTGATTTGCTCCAAGTATTAACATTAGTCAATCATGATGCTGAAATTCAGCCTCAGGCCTGTCTAGCCCGGAGACCTGTGTTCTTTTCACTCTACTAAGCTGAGAAAAGAAAACACAAAGAAAAGCGAGGAAGGGTTTCATAGTGGATACCTCTCCATGCATTTAATCAAAAATAGGCCAAGAGACTCTCTTAATGAAATCCACCCTCCAAAAAAAAAAAGAGAGAAAAGTAGTCTGAGTTAAGTAAAACCAATTCAGCTCAAGGGAACAGAGTCGAGATAGTCTCATAGGCATTTCCAGGACAGCCGACCTTTTCCATAATGAACACTGCTCCCTCCACAATGATGCAGCAGTAACTCTCACTGCCTTACTCTTTAGTAGTGATCTAGATTTAACAAGAGCGCCTTGCAACTTATAGTATATTTGCAGTCTTTAAAGCACTTTCACATTCTTGATTCCTTTTGACCTCTAATAATAATAATAATAATAATAATAATAGTATTAATAACTTAGGAACTGAAACAAAGATTTTAGAGTCAGACCTCAGTTTAATCACCACTCTTGCCGCTTAGCTCTGCGACCTTAGGCTGGTTAAGAAGAGCCTCAGTCTTCTCTCCTGTAAGATGGGGATAATAAAAATGCCTACCCCATAGGGTTGTAATGAGTATCCAAAGAGATAGAACATGTTAAGTGTTGCCCAGCACATAGTCGTGTTCAAGAAATGTTAACCACTATTATTTATATATATATAAAAAACACATATATGTCAGAAAAATTATCTGACATTTGAAAATAGGCAGAAAATATTACTGATTATTGGGTCTTCTTTCAGTGCAGTATTGAGCTTAATTTTCTACTGACTTTACACTCCATAGGTGCAGAGGTTAACTTAAAAATTTTTGTCTGGTAAAGATGCAAATAGTTTCTGTGCAATAGAGCCAATAAGCACAAAGATTAGTTTACTGTCCTGTTGGACACCAACCAGTTTTAACTCATCAATCTTATAATATTTTTAAATTAAATTTTACACACACATAATCTCAAATGCTTTTTGAATCAGTTTTAACATCTTAACGTTCACCTCAATAAATACATTCTTTGACAGGTATTCATATTCTATTTTCCTGAGAGAGATGATTTTACCCTTTTGAAAATTACACTTAATAACATGGAACCAACCTAAATGCCCATCAGTGATAGACTGGATGAAGAAAATGTGGTACATATACACCATGGAATACTATGCACGCATAAGAAGGAATGAGATCATGTCCTTTGCAGGGACGTGGATGAAGCTGGAAGCCATCATCCTCAGCAAACTAACACAGGAACAGGAAACCAAACACTATATGTTCTCACTCATAAGTGGGAGTTGAACATTGAGAACATATGGACACAGGGAGGGGAATAACACACACCAGGGCCTGTTGGGTGGGGGGTGAGGGGAGGGAACTTAGAGGTCCATAGGTGCAGCAAACCACCATGGCACACGTATACCTATGTAACAAACCTGCACGTTCTGCACGTGTATCCCTTTTTTTTTTTTAAAGAAATAAAGAAAAAAAATAAAGAAAAGAAAATTACACTTAACATTAGACAGCTAATATGGGTAGGCCTGCCCCATTTAGTAGAGGGACTGAAACACAAAGAGATTTTTGACTTGTCGACAGCTAGAAGCAGAATTCAGTTATTTCAAATTCTAGTCCGATATCTTTGTTCTATTTTATGCCTCTGACCAAACAATATCCAAAAATACAATAACAACAATAAAGAATGTAATCCGGAAGGATATAAGGCAGTACTCTTCTGGCAGGCTTGAACAGTTTCCAGGCTGTCTTCACAGCCATCATTCAAAGAGGAATGTGAGAAACATCATTTGAAGCTGATTTCCAAATGTTCTGCTTCTCTAAATGCATTTTTCAAACCCTTAGAGGAAAAGGGGGCCCTCTTTAAAAACAGCAATGATCTAAAAAACGGGTGAGGTAGGGAATCTGGTAGTTCACTAACCTGGTTAATAGGAAATCAAAACTATTCTATGTAAAATCAATTAAATCCATTAATACATTGATTAGGTAGATGGAAACTGAGTTACATCTACCTTAGAATTTAAGCAGACCAGGGTCTCTAAAAACTTGATATTCTCTTTTCTTGGCATGAGAGGAAAGTAAGGTTTCAGAATTGAAAGAGTAATTAAGAGGGAGCCCTGTGTCCAGGGACTGAACTCACTGTTATGCTCTGGATGGGACATATGCTCAGAGCCCAGTGGCCCAAGCTGTTGTAGAAGACGGCAGAAGCAGCCAGGAGAGCTCTGAGCCCACCACGCACATGGAGGATGGAACCGGGGTTAGTTTAAAGTAAGCAGTGCCCGAATCATGTGACAGGAGCCACCTTTACACTTATAATCACTGCAGGCTTATGAAAATCATAACATAAATGAAAGGTTTTTTGTATTGAAAAAGTTCCACCCACATTGTGCCTTGGCCCCTCATTTTTTAAATACTTTCATCTCTAAATTCCCCGGGTTTCCTCCGGCGTCTCCAGCTGCTCCTCTGCTGATTGCTCGTCCACGATTCCTCAATGTCTGAGTGTCTGATTCAGACATTTCTTGGCCCTGTCTTTTTCCCTACTATCTGGTTTAAATGTCATCCATATGCTGATGTTTCCTAAATTTTATCTGCAGCCTCAACCTCTTGCCTGAACTCAGAACTAATATATCCAGTTGCATATGTAAAATCTTCTCTTGAATGTCAAAGATCAACTTAATATGTTCAAAACAGAATTTGTGATTTTGTTCCCTCCCTCCACACTCTTATCCCTGCAAAGGCCAAGTTCTACCTTAGGGCCTTTGCACAGTCTCTGGGCCTGGAACACTCTTCCACCAGTCATTTCATGGACAGCTCCCCTTGGTCATTCAGATCTCAGTTCAAACATCACTTCCTCCTTAGCTGTCCCTGGCCCCCATCTGAAGTGGCCCATTCCTTTCCCACGGCCACCACCAGTTATTCTGGTAATTATGCACATAAACTGGAAATTTCTCCATAACCTCATATTTATCACAATATGGAATTCTGTGGATTAGGTGTTTACTTATTTATTGTTAATCTCCCTGCCCTTCCCCCACAGCTCTACCCCCCAATGCATAGAAAATGAGCCTCGAGGGAACTGGGACTCATCTGTCTTAGTCATTGCTGTTTCTCCAACACACAGGCACTCAGCAGATTTTTACTGAGTGCATATTTGCATATGTGAATGCATCTCTGGGGGTCTGTTTTCCTACAAAACCTGAGGGTAATTATCACAGAAAGCATGCATGGTAACTGGGAAGGATGAACATACTAATTCCAGCATGACCTTGAATTTTTAAATTGATTTGGAGAATAGTAAATGCCATTGGGATGCCAAAGAGAGCAAGAGATGTTGGTGCAGGGGAAGGGTGTTGTAAACAAAGAGAGGAATGCAAACAATAATCCCTAAATGTCCAGAAAAACTTTGGGAGACTGATGAGGAGGAATCATTTTATTTTTATTTTGCCAAGGAAGGATATTATGGAGAAATTTTATCATCTACTGTCACATCACCATCATGTCATAAAATAAAGGACATTTAACTTCCAAAAAGTAGAAAAGATATAAACTTCGTTTTTCAAAAAAATTGAATAAACTGTGCTTTAGGAAAACTCCCTATATTGACTTATTTCTCTCATTGCAGCACAGTCCTTTGGAAACATTGTCCTAACACTGTCAGGAACCACTGACTTAAGTGACTGACTCTAGTCGAGGAGCAATCACTGGCAACTTTCCTAAGTCTTTGCTTCTCAATATGTCTATGGACAATTAAAGCTCTCTGATAAATATTCACTACTAGGGTATTGTAACGTTTAGATGACCTCAGAAACCTGGCATTGAGATGTTACTTAGAATTTTCTCCCTATCTCAACCAAGTATAAGGCCAGGCCTACAAATAAAAAGGTGTTTTAAGTGAATAAATGTTTTTTTGTGTGTGTGTGTGTAAAGTGTATGTGTATGATGCCTTAAGGAAGAAACTGACACATCAACAGAGTTTTAAAATGTTTAAAAGACCAGTAGTACCAACTGAAACTAATGGCCAAGACATCTAGTATCATGGTTACGTTACATAGAACACAATGTAGAATTTCCTTTCGTTTTACTGTAAATTGCTTTAAAAATACGTATTTTTAAAAGTGTAAGATAAAAATGTAGCCGGAATTTATTCCTTCTGGTGGGTTCTTGGTCTCGCTGACTTCAAGAATGAAGCCGCAGAGTCTTGTGGTGAGTGTTACAGCTCTTAAAGATGGTGCGTCCGGAGTTTGTTGCTTCAGATGTGTCCAGAGATTCTTCCTTCCTGTGGGTTCGCTGTGTGGGTGACTTCAGGAGTGAAGCCTCAGACCTTCCCAGTGAGTGTTACAGTTCTTAAAGGTGGCGAGTCTGGAGTTGCTTGTTCCTTCCAGTGGGTTCGTGGTCTCACTGACTTCAGTAAAGAAGCCGCAGACCCTCGCGGTGAGTGTTACAGCTCATAAAAGTAGCGTAGACCCAAAGAGTGAGTAGCAGCAAGATTTACTGTGAAGAAGAAAAGAACAGGAGGTTGCTGCTGCTGGCTAGGGTGGCCAGCTTTTATTGCCTTATTTGGCCACGCCCACATCCTGCTGATTGCTGCATTTTACAGAGGGCTGATTGGTCCATTTTACAGAGTGCTGATTGGTCCATTTTACAGAGTGCTGATTGGTGCATTTTTACAGAGTGCTGATTGGTGCATTTACAATCCTTTAGCTAGACACAGAGCACTGATTGGTGCATTTTTACAGAGTGCTGATTGGTGCATTTACAATCCTTTAGCTAGACGCAGAAGTTCTTCAAGTCCCCAACAGACCCAGAAGCCCAGCTGGCTTCACCTCTCAAAAAGATACAAATGACAGAGACAATTGAAAAAAAAATGTTTAATCTACTGGGGAAACTAAGAAACAAAACCAAAGGAGGCAGATGATATCAACCATTATTCAAATTTACTGCTGAACCAATGTATTCAGGAATAACACCCACATGAAAGGAGAATATATATTGAAAATGGAAATGTGAATAATTTCCTTAGATGACTGACTTCATTTGCAAAGAGGAAAATCTGCTCCCAGAGAATATGCAAAATGCAAGCAACAGTGATGGTAAACAAAGTTTTAAAGGGAGAAGTTGATGAAGATTCTGGGCCATAGGGGCATTCACCAGACAGCATCTAAAAGAAGTAGAGGTGGCTGGGACCTGTGTCACAGCCCATTAGATGCCATTTTAAGAGATTAATAATTCAGGGCCTGGGTAGCACGGGGTGACTGCAGTCATACATATAAGCAAATAACAATGAGGACTAAGTGTTTGGTCTTTCCATTGACTTATTGGTTCCTGGATGGCAGTAAACAGGGTCTTCAGTGTCTGGCTCACTAGATAAACAAGAGTAATAAGAGGAATCATACTGGTCCCAATTTGGAACTCCAGCTCTGCAGAGGGCATCCACACCCACCTCAAGTCAAAAAGTAAGAAAACTCAATTAGCAGCTGTTCTCCCTCCGCCCCCTTCTGAGGAGGGAAGGGAGTGGAGTTTTCTCCCACACACTTTCTAAGCCATGGGGGAGTCTCCCGAGCTTCTGAACAGCAGTCAGGAAACAAGGCTGTTCAGGAAGCTGGTACTGTGAACCACAAGTCCTCTGAAGAGCTTCAGTGGAAAATAATACTAGTGGATAGATTTAAATTCCTCATACAACCAAAGTTGTTCTTTGTACTTCTAATAGATGTTATAATTTTTTACATAAATACTGTACAATGTCTGTGAGTTAAAATCAGATTCAAAACCTAATCTTTTGATGCAATAAGCAGTCAAATCTTTTCCTGGTTCTCAGGACAAGCGAAGGAAGTCAGTATGAAACTTCCCTTACCAGAGAATGTCTGCTCAACATGTTCTTCCTGGAAACACCTTGAAAATAAAATGGCTCCCAGACCCTCCAGTTTCCCTTGGTTGGGGAAGTCAGAGCCGATCATGGGCTTAAATCTTGTGTGTTATTGGGGATATATCACCTAGCTGAAGAAAATAGACCTAATGACCCTGATTTGTCTGAATTTTCATAAAGAGATTGCAAAGACTCCAGACATTTTTGCCTCAAGACTCAGCTGAACTCATATTAGTCTTGCATTTATAAGGAGAGCCTCTGCCAAGAGGTAAGGATAGCAGGAGAGAGGAGTTGGGAGACCTGGATTCAGTCATGCCTATTCCAGGAGGCAGCCGCGTGTTGACTGTGATCATGCCATGTCACTTAACTTCTCTGAACTTTAATTTTCTTAGCTGGATAATTAGAATATATATGATCTTTATAGTCTTCTATAGATCCAAAAAAGTATGATTTGATGTGTATAACTAAGTCTGGGTGGCTGGACAGAAAGTTTGAATAGGTCAATTGCCCAACAATAGACTGGTTATATCATTCAGTTGTTGAAATGACCAATATAACCAGGTTTTTTTTAAAAAAAAAAAAAAAAAAAAAAACCCTGGCTAGCTATTTTCAGCAACCTTAACTACTTACTGGCTTGACTATGAAGCAGTCCTTTTGATTGCTTAAAATTAAAAATAGTTAAAATAGCTTTTAAAAAATAAGAATAACCACCCTTTGATCAATTGAACATTTCAACAACTGATCAATTGATCTCTGTCACCTAATCTGGCCTTATTTATGAGTGTCTTGAGACACATATCCCACAGGGTTACTCTACAAACTCTCCTCCCTTAGTGTCTACAGCACAACTTTTCACTGCCTCCTGGATAGTTTTTCTTGTTCTATTTACAACTCCTCTTTCTCTGTCCATTCCCTAAATATTTGTTCCTTGGCGTTCCCTCTCAGATGTTTTCCTCTCTTGCTGTATCTGCCCTCCTCGGATGATTTCACCCTCACCTACAATGGTGTGCTGGCAAATGTTTAACAAGCAGCGCTTCCAGGGTGAAGAAAAGCCCTGACTTGCAGTGTTTGCTGATTTCTGTGGTGTAAATACTCTCACTATGGCCAATATCAGGCTCCCAGACATTATGGAGTTGGGAAGAGAGGCATATAACTGACGCTTAACAGCTGAATGAACTAGCTCTAGCACACCACTGCATCCCTGACTTCCAAGACCACCCACATGCTGATCCACCGACCTTTCTCTCTCTCTCTCCCTCACTGCAGACTCATATCCACTTGAATGTCACACTTCCACAACATCATCAAGGGTAAAATGGACACACGATCTTCCTGTAAACTTTTCCCTGCATTCCCTGTTTACCAAGGTAACTGTGGACAAGAGTGAGTGACCCAGCTTTTGGAAAATTTTGACTTCGTTTGAGCTATTTTAGACTATTTTGTGATTGCATCTTTTGAGCGATGGAACAAGACTACCTGCTGGTAAATAGGAATGGAGTTTTTTTCTGCAGAGAAATAGATGTTTCTGCTGTCAATCATCCTGTGAAGTGGTTTCTCTGGGACAAGGAATGGGAGGTGAGAAGCGATTTGAACTGGAGGAGAGAAAGATCTAGGGCCTAAGACCAGCTGAGTCTGAGTGACATGGAGAAGGCTAGAGTCATTCTACTGGCAGAGTAGCTACTGCTGTCCCATGAACGCAGTGAACAGTAATAGCAGGTATCTAATCGAGCAGCAACATGGAGGCTAAAAAGTCAAGGCAAAAAAAGGGGCCAATTTCTAGAGATGCCAAACTGAGACAGCACTTGTGGACCTGGTCAGTTTTTAGAGGGCACATCCTATTTCCAAGACTGGAGTGGTGATCCACAGGTGGTGGTTACCCTCAACCAGCTGATCCTGCAGGGTAAGAATCTCAGAAGGGTTTCAATATCAGCAGCAGCAACAGCAGCACCAGCAGCAGCAAGATGAGAAGGCTAGAGAAGAATAACCCAGTGGAACTTGTCTGCAGCTCAAATGAGAGGCATTCTAAGACACTCTCAGAAATAACTGATGGGACAGTGACAGTAGCTGATTTCTAGTAGTGCAGGCTCTATAGTATAATAATTTAGGTATACCAAGGAAGAATATGTTATAGTCACAGGCTAGAGGGCCAGAGTATTCCCTTGCATTACATTTATTTCCATCTATATTAGGTCATCTACCCAGATGCCTAAACCCCAAAACTAAGAGTCATTTTGTCTTCTCTGATGTACCACATACAATCAGTCACAAAGGCCTGCCAGTTCTATCTCCTAACTTTTTCTTGAATCCATCAGAATGTAGGCATGAAGAGAAAAGATGCTCTCATACTTACAGTCATCCTCTCAGTTCAAGCCCTTGTCTTTTCTCACTTGGATTTCTCTGAGAGCTTCCCAACTAGTCTCCCTGACTTCCATCTTGCTCCCTCCAATCAGTCCATCAACTGCATTGCTGCAGAGGAATCTTCCAACAAAAACCTGTTCAAGTTACTCCTTTGTTAAAGTCCTTCAGGATAAAACCCAGACTCCTTGGGGTGGCCTATTAGGTCCTTCATGGTCTGCCTATCACCTTCCTTTCTAGGCTTATCCCACACTCCCCTCCTGTGTCCAGTGCATAGAGTCCTCTAGATAGGGGAGGATGCATTGACCATTTTTCCTACCTTCTTTCCCACCCTCATGACGTGGTTTTAAATGCTCATGTCTTTCTCCCATTATACACTGTCTTCTGGTTTTCCTCTGACATCTCTGGTTGTTCCTTCTCATCATCTTCTTCCTCTGCTCATACTTTAAGTGTTGATTTTCCCCAGAGTTCTCTTCTCAGCCCTCTCTTCTGTCTTCCTGGAAAAGGTCAGTCGTTCCTGGGGCTTCTGTTTCTAACTAATGCTGAGTTTTCTTAAATCTTTGCCTCTAGATCAGACTGCTCTTCTCAACACCTCCACAGAATGCTCTTAGCTATCTTAAACTCCATATGTCTGAAGTTTATTAAACTCCTACCTCCAGATGCATTCTCCCTCCTATATCCTCTATCTCAGTTTATGTCTCTGTTTGAAAGTTGAAGCAAGTACCTATTGCTGCCTGACAAACCTCCCCTAATCAGTAGCTTAATACAACAGACATTTATTATTGCTCACAAGCCTATGGGTCAATGGGGCATTTCTGCTGACTGGAGCCAGATTCAGCTGATCTTGACTGGGCTTTCTCACATATCTGGAACCTCTGCTGGGACAACTGGGATGACTTGGTCCATATGGTCTCTTATCCTCCAACAGGCTAGCCTAGGTTTATTCACATGGCAGATGGACAGAGTTCCAAGAGAGAAAGTGGAAACCATTCAAGGCCTCTTGGGGCAGAGGATCCTAATTAAAACACCATATCATTTCCACTGCATCCTCTTGGCCAGAAGTCACAAAGCCAGCCCAGGTTCAAGGGATGGAGAAATATACACCACCTCTTAATGGAAGTAGATGCAAAGTCACATTTTAAGGAGTGTGGACAGAGAGAGGGGTGGAGAAATGTGATCCTTTTTGCAATCTGCCAGAGAAGTAATCCTAGATATCTCCACAATGATAATGTGGTGGTGATGGTGGTGGTGGTGATGGTGATGGTGGCAGCTAATGTTTACCAAGTACCTAGCACATATCCTGCACTGAATAATGTCAAGGGAAAGGTAGATTCTGCATTGTGTTTACAGTTATGTATGAAAATCACTTTTTATTTTCTTTATATTGGTTTCTGTTGAGGCCTCTCTTTTGGCTTACAGACAGCTATCTTATTACTCTGTCCTCATGTGGCCCTTCCTCTGTATGTGTGCAAAAAAAGAGTGATCTCTGGTGTCTCTTCCTCTTCTTACAAGAACACCAGTCCTAATGGATAAGAGCTCCACCCTTAAAGGCCCTCTCTCCAAATACAGTCACTTTTGGGATTAGGTCTTCATGATTGGGGCATGGGGTGGGAATACACACAATTCAGTCCGTAACTACTACACAAACACTAGAATGGCTAAAATGAATTTAAAAACAAACATCATATGTTGGAAACTGGAACAACTGGAATTCTCATACACTGATGTTGGGACTTTAGTCCAATCACTTTGTAAAAACTGTTGAGCTGAATCCAATAAGGCTGAATATATGCCTAGCCTTTGAGATTCTACTCGTAGATATTTTATCCAAAGGAAATGCAAACGTATACACACCAAAAGACATACACAAGAATATTCACCACAGCACGATTCATAATAGCCTTAAATAGGAGAGAATTCAAATGTTGATACATAATGGGAGGAATAAATAACTTACAGATATCCATACAACAGGATATCATACAACCATGAGACTGAACACACTATGGTTAAAGCTCACAAACATCATGCTGACTGACAGAAGCCAGACACAAAAGAGTACACACTTTAAACTTTCACTTAAATAATATTCAATAACAGGCAAAACAAATCCATGGTGTTAGAAATCAGGCCAGTGGTCAGCCTTGGAGAGGGAAGTGGTGGCTGGAAGGAAACAACAGGGGGCTTCCAGGATGCTGGGTGTGTTATGATCTGGCTTCTGGCTACACAGCTATGTTCAGCTCATGAAAATTTATCAAGCTGAATACTTATATGTGCATGTTTCTGCATATATTTTACACTTCAATAAAAAGTTTTCTTTAAAAATTTTTCTGAAAACTCCATATCATCCTAGAATAAAGTCCCAAAACTTCAGCAAGGCCTGAGGCTTTATGACCTGGCCCCAGGCCGACATTTCCAGTCCCATCCCTACTACTCCTGGCCTAACCTCCAGCCAAAACAATTAATCACCCATATCCACAGTCCATCGTGCTCTTTCATGCTTTCCACTTCATTTGTTGGTTAACTCTATTTTCAGCTTTAAAAGTCAACTCAGGCTTTATTCTCCATCAGGAAGTTTTTCCTCACCCCACCCAACCCGGGCTGAGTTACAAGTCCCTCCTATGTCCTCCCTTAACATTTTATGTGTACTTATTACCCTTAGTACATTGCACTATCATTTTTGGTTTATGAATCTATCTTTGCTGCTGGACTGTGAGTTTGATGAGGGCAAGAACTGTGTCCTTTGTCTCTGTATATGCAGCATCTAGTGCAGTGCCTAGGACACAGCAAATGCACAATGAACAACAGATGAATGAATAAACGGATTAATGGACTTTAGTTTACAGTCTTGATTTTGGTACACAAAATTCTTCTTTAGTCATTCTAGCAAGAAAAAGTGGTTTTTTTTACATTGAAACTTCATCTGGCAGCACAGACTATACCATGCCCAAAATTTAGTTTGCAATGAGTGCTTTGTTCTTCATGAACATTAATATCAGAGAAACCAAATGCACATTTCTTAAAATAAGCAATAGCAATATTGCCCATTCCCTAAAGACTGTCTGACTGTACAAAATAATTGCATTCCTCTGGAACACGGGTGAAGCGTTAATGTTCTTGGTTGGCTGGAGAATCAACAAATTCCTCTAACATCTAGATTGGCGATGTTTCTTGGTGTATCTGCCAGAAATTCCTCAGATATCCTCGTCTGAGATTTATGGACTGAGAGGTTTATGATATTTCAGAGGGTAGAATCGGCTATTGTTTTACATATTAGCCAAGTCAAGTAAATGCAGTGAAAGCTGTGATTGGTCTCTGGGCCTAAAAAGTGACATAGGCTGACAACAGCCATATTCCATGCAAGATCCAAACAGGCTTCAGCCAGGCAAAATGCAAAGTAGTGATCATAACTACTTCTCAGCAATGTTTATTCTTACTTCTGATTTTGGGCTTTCAGTACGGCTCCATAACAGAAAGCCAAAAAGGTTTTAATGGTAGGAGGTAGGATGATAAAGCTATTGCCACGATGATGATTCTTGGTAAATAAGGGTGCACTATGTGCCACAGAACAAGCACAGATATGAAACTTGACCTCAGAGTGCTTATCAACCAAAAACTTAGGGCAAAGGTAAAACAGTAGCGCTATAACTTTTAAACATATGTATAATCTGGGTATTGAACTGGGTATACTAGGCCCACCTTCAGAGCCTTTGCTCACTCCCACCTCGCTGAGGACACTTCTCACTCACTCTACCCCAAGAACAGGCCGTGCAGGCTTATTTGTAAGGGCCCTGACTCCACCCAGCCTCTTGATCCACAGCTGATTGGACCAGACAGGGCACATGACTCAAGCTAAGCCAATCAGATTCTCTCCGTTTGGAATTGAGCCGCACATGGTCCTAAGAAGAGAACCTGCGGGGCTATCTGGGCAGCCATTTGGGGTGAAAGAGTGAAGCAGAGAAAAGTGGTCAGCAGGGAGAAAGCAGAGGCACAGGAAACCACCGTGGTGTAATAGCAGGGTGGCAGGAAGAGAGATCAGTTCCTGACAGCTTTCCTGTTTCTGATTCCAGTCCCTTTGGGGACATCTGATACGTTGTCTGGCCAACTCTGGCCTCCTTTTTATGTTTATGCTGGTGTGGGTGGTTTTCCGAGGTCCCAGGCCTAAGACACACATGTTCTGGTGTTCAGGCAGGAGGACTGTCTTCAATTCTTGGTGTCATGTTGGCGGAGGGGAGGGCTAGACTACGGGAGGCCTTGCACTGCAGCAACTGGCATCCACGGCCAGGGGCTGGCTGGAGTTTTAGCTCTAACGCTGGGGGTTTGGGAGCTGTTGGTTAGTGGGGGTGTTAATTTGGTTCTTTAAAAAAGGAAGCATGACACTGTGAGTGATGACATTTGAACGTCAACAATACAACATTAAGCCTGTGGAAAGTTTTAATTATGATAGCTTACACAGGAAATTGCATTTATCTATGGAAACTAAATTTAGAAGCCTGGACAGATTGACAGGATCCCCCTTAAGTCCATGTAAATAGCCCTTGCCAGGTGCTAGGAAGTAACAGCAGTAGCAGGGGCTGGCTAGTCAGGGCGCTCTTCAAAAGTCCTATCTTCCAGGTTAGGGGAGAATGAACAATTTCTGAAAGAACCCCATTTTCAAGGCTGTTCCTATTCTCTCCCTACTTTGTGTCCATAAACAAGGAAAGGGTGCGGTCATGACTTGGATTTGTTCTGAGCAGTGTTTGTGTATCCAAGGCCAGAGGCAGGACCCAGTGGGAAAGGGAAGTGTGGGAATGAGTGAGAGGAAATATCTTGGGCTCCTTCGCCTCCTCACCCTCCAATCATTCCCCGCCAAGGGAACCCCCTTAGGGTTCCCTCCTTCCCACGGTGTTCCCTCTACCCACTTCAAATCTCAGTGACATGAAAACTGGGGGCATCAGAGGCAAGGGAGTGACAGGAACAGTGGTTTTGTATAGCAAGAACATTGGAGTTGGCCAGAGGTGGGTAAAGCTGTGGCACTATCACCAGCACCACTCTCTGACCCAGACAAGAGGGTCCTCTGCCCTGGGCTATGACCTCTAAAGGGCCCTTGCCCTCCTCAAGGCTCACTCCACCTCGTGAAGTGAAGAGTTCACCAGAGCCCATATATACCCCTCAAGACCGTGTTCCAGGTCCTGAGACTCCAGAATTCCCTGTACAAGCGGCCCTGCGCCTGTTTCCAGGGCCTGTAAGAGCCTCTTCCAGGGTCTGTCCTCTCAAGGATGTGTATGCCCTAGAGTTCAGGGTGCCCTAGGGATAACTGTTTGCAGACAGGATGAAGAATGGGTGGACGGCACACACTGGAGTATCTATATTTGAATTTCAAAGGTGGGAAGAGAAGGGCACCAGGCCAGGGGCTACGGTCTGATTCTCCATGGTATACCGCCTCTTTCTGGCTCAGACCAAGGAGTCTGAACATTCTAAATTTGAATCTGGGCTTCCTGGTTGTTATGAAGGTTTATTTGTCAAAGTAGGAGGAGGGAACATGTCTAACTGTTAGCCTGTTATATTAGTTTTGCATATTTTTTCAAATGGAATATGAACAAATATTCCATTTATTCATGGAATATGAACAAATATTCCATTTATTCATGGAATATTTGGGGAGCTTGGAGCAAGAGTACAAATAGGCTTTAACACTTGGGGAGCTTGGGGCAAGAGTACAAATAGAGGCTATTTGTAGCCCCAAGCTCCCCAAATGGTAGAGGCCGGCCATGCCATCACTTCAACAGTTTGACTTTAGTTAAGTACTTTAGGCCTCTGATACTCGGTTTCCTCATCTGCAAAATAAGGACACTAACAGTAATAGTTATTGTGAGAAATTAAAGTGTAATAAGTTGTAATTATTGTTGTGTGCCCTTGGGTAAGTTACTTAATCTCCCTAGTGCCTCAGTTTTCTCATCCGTCAAATGTAAGGGTAGTAGTATACCTGTCTCTAAGGATTGTTATCAATTAATGTATGTAAGAGCCTTTGAACAGTGTCTGGCACATAGTAAATGCTATGGAAATGTTCCTTGTTGTTGTTATTGTCCGATATCTATGGACACTACTACCACCCGGCTGACTGGACTAAAGGAAACAGCATATGTAGCATGTAGGTCACAGCGAGGCACACCTCTGCCACATTTCTGAGCTTATTTGAGATTTGTCTCATACTCCAGACTCATCCTGTGATTACAAAACCCCTACCAGGCTTCTTAGGAAGGATAGAGTCTGTTCCTGCTTCCAACTGTGACTGTGTCTTTAGCCAAGTGTAATCTGATGAATACAAACTAAGAGTTCTGTCCTGGGTTAACCCTCATTCTTTTCTGTAAAAGGCTTTCAGATCCACTCAGAAAGGTGCAAAACAAATCTTACATCTCTGGGCAGAGACATGGTGGTGGCAGAGAGCAAGGAATGGGGGAGGGATGTTGGCCCATCTCCTGAGAGCCACTGATTGCCACTCCTCACTGTGGAAGAGCTTCTGCAGCCCTGCGCATTGGCAGGCTCTCAGGGCTGGGTTGGGTTTAGGAATTAACTTGAAGTGTTAATTTTGTAAATATCTAGACAGGGTTGATCCTCCACAAGAGGAGAGTTGATCACACAGAAAGACCTAAAAGCCTTAGAGAGCTACAAAAGTGTTTCCCAACTGCAAGCCCCATTTATTTCTACT